>NC_000002.12:147489618-147792648 GCF_000001405.40 Homo sapiens
ATCCCACTTTTATTGAATTAATTAATTAGGTTCAAATTAAGTAATTCAGCTCTAAAAAACTGTCGACAGTAAATTAAAAACAATAAATTTTTCCAATGAAATTTTATTGAGTTAATTTTTGTAGTTTGCTATTTCCAAGCCAATTAAAGTGTTATCTGTTTTTAATCAGCTTTACTGTCTCTTAATTTTCCTTAAAATTTTCTTTGGGGTTTTCCAGGTTTTGTCCACTTGGTTGGAAATGAAGTGATTTCTCTACATAGTCCCTAATGTCTAAATTATGAAATAGTAGTTCTGTTTTTAAGTTTTTAACTTCTTTAAATTGAGAAAGTATATATTTTAAATAGATTATCTTCTATAAATAATAATCAGTGCTTTCATCTGTCAAAGTCATGTTGAAAATTTCTTTCCAACCTGATTCTTAATGACATCTCCACCTTTCCGATAGAATTTATTATTAAGGAGGGAAATCCCACCACAACAGTAACTTCAGACCTCTCTTCTTTGTGGAGATAGCCTGAGGTATAAATTCAACATGCAAATCATTCTTTTCATTACCTGCCTGTTAAAACAGAATAAAAGTTAAAGACAATGAATTTCTGCAGGAAACATCAAAGTTAAATATACTCATCGACAGACATTGAATAAAATCAAATACAAAAAAACTGAAGGCTAAGTTGTTATAAACATCAGTTGGCATGCCTTAAAATCCATGGTGGTCTAAAATTGCCGCTTTATATTTCAAAGGATCTGAATAAAGACAGTTTCACAGTTGCTCCCAAGTCTTCACATCTGAAAGAATCCTTTTACAGATCTAAAATGGACTGATTTGATATGTATTACAGGGCCGTCATGGTCTTGCAAGAAATCAGTGATTTACATTTGTAACCATATTTCCAAATGTGAATATCTTTTTTATGAGGTGGGGGGATGTGAGGGGTACATAGACCATTCACAGCTGTTTTTGTCGAGCAGTTGCTTTTTATTTGTGTCCATTACTGAATTTAATGCTTTCTGCCATTTCCATACTTGTTACTAGTTTTTTTGTGTGTGTTATTGTTGTTCTGATTAAAAGCATGCATTACATTCTTTCTAAATTATGTGTCACTTTGTTGTGAGTGTTATATCTGGCAATTTAATAGTCTACGAACAGGAAAGCTTTGAAATGACTCTCCTCTGTCCTTTGGCATAAACCAATTACCAGGATTTAAACTTATCTGACAAAAACCACAGTGACAGATCTGAGAACAAAGTGGTTTTGAATCGTTATTTTTTTGATCTTTAACCTTTCCTGTTTTCTATAACCAGATGTTGTAAAGTACAGTATGTGATCATGAAAATAGTATCGCCTTTTCTTATTTCCTTAATAAAAAGTGTGTCTTCCAGACTTTCCTATTTGCTTTAGTGATGAACAATAGCTTAACTTCTTTTGCATGAACTACCTCTGATGGCTGCAATAGCCTTAGAGATACACATACAAAAATGTCAGAACCAAGATGGAGTCCTAAAAACAGAATTTGATTCTTGAGGAAACATATGCAATTGTTTTTCAAGTTTTCTTTAAAGGAAAGGAATTTAAAGCAGAAATACTTTTTCTTAAAACTATCTGGGATGTATCAAATCAGGTTAAGAATGTGAAACTCACCAGTTTCTCTGCAGAATGTTACAGTGTTTTGTTAGCTGTGGACAACTATTATTCATTATACATCTATAGAAGCATTATTAAGGCTCTACTTGGTACCAAAAGAATACACAGAAAATGTAGTATGTGCTCCCCAGGCACTCGTTCAGCGAAGCAGCTCCCGGGCAATTTGACACAGTAACAAAAGTAGACTAATTTTTTTCCCCAACCATATATTGCCCCAAAGTTGACATCATTTTCCCAAGCCATGAAAGCGTTGAAAGACTAAAAGATATACCTGGCTAATAGCATATGAACTAAAATAATGAAAAGCACTTTTCTTTGGTTATTCTCAAACAGACCATAAATATTTACATCCCATTATAAAACACCTTAACAGCTTGGTGAGATTGAATGCAATAGCACTTAATGCAATATAACTCTAAACACTTTATAGCTTCAATGGACTTTATAACTACACCTTAGTTTGTCATACAGGAAGATCTGTGAGTTGACTGGTTAATGTTCTTTGTTTTAAAAACATGCAAAAGCAACACTATGTGCACTATATGGACAGTATTTTCTAAAATACCATCTATATTTTACATATAGTTTCACCCAAAAGACCACGTGAGCCCTCAAGAAATAAGACAAAGGCATTACATTTTGCTTCCTGAGTGTGATTGTGCCAGTTTTCTACACATCTTATAAAAAGGAAAATGCATATGCTTAATGCAAAGCACTGTATGTCTCATGAACCTCAAATTTAAATAGTGCTTTATGGTTCACCAAGCATTTTCTCATTATTTTCTTATTTGAACATCAAAACAATCCTCTAACATAAGTAACAAGAGAAAGGAAGAATGCAGTGCAAGAGGGAGAGAA
Source organism: Homo sapiens (assembly GCF_000001405.40). NCBI lineage: Eukaryota > Metazoa > Chordata > Mammalia > Primates > Hominidae > Homo > Homo sapiens. Next base: position 147,492,122 of record NC_000002.12, read on the forward strand.
TGGATATTTATTGAGCACCTACTATGTACCAAATACCATTGGAATGTGGCATTTATTCATTGGTGGCATTCTAACAACCACATGAGATACATGTTTTCATCTTGCAGATGAGGGTCTGAAAGATTAATTATCTTAGTCAGTGTTATATAGGTAATAACAGTGGAGCTGGGGTTGAATCCCAAGTCCCATTCCAAAAAGAAAATATTCTTCCTTCTGTTCAAGTAGCCACCAATGTTGACTCTTGAACAACTCTGAGATTATGGTATTCCAAAATTTTGCTGTTATAGTATCCTTTCCTTTATGAAGTATCAAAGCTTTTTGAAGTATCCTTTAATGATTGCTCTTTGAAGTATCCTTTTTTTGGCAAAATAAAATACTGGGGAGCCCATATTAGTCTCCCATCTTTCCTTTTGATTCTACAGGACGATGAAGCACAGAACTCTGTAAACAAGTGTATTCTGGTTTTCTCCATACAATGATCTAATTTAGTCCTACCAAGTATGATCACAGAACACCGTCCTCTACATGTCTAGACAAATGGGATGGGGAAGAGAGAGTCAAAATCTCTTTGGTTCATGAGCAATATATGAATGATTCACAAGCAGATAAACAAAGATAGATTACCTTTCAACCCATTTACTACTATCCCAGTTACTTACTATCTATTAATACATGTGAGAGGAGGACAGAGGTTACTGTATCAAGGAGTTATCTAAATGCTTTTCTTCATTTTTTGTCTGCTGGCCCAATGGATCTCAACTATATTCTTCAGACCCCAAGAGTTCTGGGGCAGCACCTTAGGACCCATTAAGTGGCAATGGTAGGAGGTAAAGGGAGAGTGCAGTTCAATACTGTCAGCAATATTTTAGCTACTTCACATATGCAGGTTTCATTTTATGATTTCTTTTAAGAAAGACCTTTGCAATACATGAGCACATATGTATATATATAAATAAAGATAGATAGATAGACACTGAAAACCACTACCCTTGGCTCAATGCTTATCCATCCCCACATGCCAAAAAAAAGTCTACAAACCTAGTAATACGGTTTAGCAAATGATTTGTAATATTTCAAAATTACAGTCAATTTTAGTGCAATGAATTAACTTTTAAAAAGGTGATTTGTGATTGAATGTTTCCTTAACCTGCTTTAGAGAAAATAAATGTATGATTTACATCTCAGGGTCCTCAGAATATCTGGCCAGCAATTACATAGGTTTTTATAATGACAAAAAAGAATAAAGAAATTAATTAACAGAGGCAAACCTTGTTTTATTGTGTTTCTCTTTCCTGTACTTCACAGATGCTGCATTTTTTGCAAATTGATTTGTGGCAACCCTGCGCAAGCAAGTCTATCGGTGCCACTTTTCCAACAGCATGTGCTCACTTTCATGTCTCTGTGTCATATTTTGCTAATTCTTGCAATATTTCAAACTTATTGATTATTATTACATCTGTTATGGCTATCTGTGATCAGTGATCTTGGCTGTTACTATTGCAATTGTTTGGGGGCACCACAAACCGTGCCCACATAAGATGGCAAACATAATCAATCAATGTTGTGTGTGTTCTGGCTTCTCCATGGACTGATCATTTTCTTTCATCTCTCTCCTTCTCTTAAGGCCTCCCTATTACCAGAGACACAATAATATTAAAATTAGCTCAGTTAGTAACACTACAATTACCTCTAAGTGTTCAAGTGAAAAAGAGTCACAGGTCTCTCACTTTTCATCAAAAGCTAGAAATGATTTTTGATTTTTGAGGAAGGCATATCAAAAGCTGAGACAGGCCAAAAGCTAGGCTTCTTGTACCAATTAGCCAAATTGGAATGCAAAGGCAAAGTTCTTTAAGGAAATTAAAAGTGCTACTCCAGTGAACACATGAATGATAAGAAGGCAAAACAGTTTTGCTGCTGATATGGAGAAAGTCTAAAAGGTCTAGATAGAAGATCGAACCAGCCACAACATCAGAGCAAAGCTCTAACTCTCTTCAATTCTACGAGGGCTGAGGAAGCTGCAGAAGAAAAGTCTGAGGCTAGCAGAGGTTGGTTCACGAGGTTGAAGGGAAAAAGCCATCTCCATAACATAAAAGTAAGGGGTAAAGCAGCAAATACCGATGGAGAAGCTGCAGCAAGTTATTCAGATCTAGCTAAGATCATTAACAAGGGTGGCTACATCAGATTTTCAATGTAGATGAAACAGCTTTAAGTTAGAAGATGCCATGTAAGACGTTCATAGTTAGAGAGGAGAAGTCAATGTCTGGCTTCAAAGCTTCAAAGGACAGGCTGACTGCATATTTGAGTCAAATACAGCTGGTGACTTTAAGTTGAATCCAATGATCTTTTACCATTCCAAAAGATCATTGGATGCAATTTAAAGTCACCAGCTGCATTTAGGGCTCTTACGAATTATGCCAAATCTACTCAGCCCGTGCTCTACAAATGGAACAAAAAAGCCTGCATGACAACACATCTGTTTATAGCATGGTTTACTGAATATTTTAAGCCCACTCTTCAGACTGTTTAGACCTACTGCTGAGAAAAAAAAGATACATTTCAAAACATTACTAATCATTGACAATGTACCTAGGCATTCAAGAGGTGTCATGGAGATGTACAAGGAGATTAATGTTGTTTTCACGTCTGCTAACACCACAACTATTCTGCAGCTCAGGGATCAAGGAATAATTTTGACATTCAAGTTTTATTAATTAAGAAATACATTTCATAAGGCTCTAGCTGCCAAAGATAGTGATTCCTCTGATGGATCTGGGCAAAATATACTGAAAACCTCCTAGAAAGGATTCACCATTCTAGATGCCATTAAGAACATTTGTGATTCATGGGAGGGGGGCAAATATCAACATTAACAGGAGTTTGGAAGAAGTTGATTCCAATCCTCATGGATGACTTTGAGGAGTTCAAGCCTTCAATAAAGAAAGTAACCACAGATGTGGTAGAAGGAGCAAGAGAAGTGGAACCTGAAGATATGACTGAATCGCTGCAATGTTATGACAAAACTTTAATGGATGAGGGGTTGTCTCTTATAGATGAGCATATGTCTCTTATGGTTTCTTGGGATGGAATTTCCTCCTGGTGAAGATGCTGTGAACATTGCTGAAATGACAACAAACGATTTAGAATACTCCCCAAACTTAGTCGATAAAGCAGCAGCAGGCTTTGAGAGGATTAACTCCAATTTTGAAAGAAGTTCTACTGTGGGTAAAATGCTATGAAGCAGTATTGTATGCTACATTCCTTTTGTGAAAGGACGAGTCAATCAATACAGTAAACTTTATTGTTGTCTTTTTTAAAAAAATCTATGGAATGCTTCATGAATTTGCACGTCATCTTTGTGCAGGGACTATGCTAATCTTCTCTGTATTTTTCCAGTTTTAGTATATGTGCCGCCAAAGCAAGTATTGTGTTGTCTTATTTTAAGAAACTGCCACAGCGAGGCCGGGCGTGGTGGCTCATACCTGTAATCCCAGCACTTTGGGAGGCCGAGGCAGGCAGATCACTTGAGGTCAGGAGTTCAAGACCAGCCTGGCCAACATGGTGAAAACCGGTTTCTAATAAAAATACAAAAATTAGCTGCGTGTGGTGGTGTGTGCCTATAATCCCAGCTACTCAGGAGGCTGAGACAGGAGAATCACCTGAACCCGGGAGGCGGTGGTTGCAATGAGCCGAGACTGCACCACTGCACTCCAGCCTGGGCTACAGAGCAAGACTCCATCTCAGAAAAAAAAAGAAATTGCCACAGCCAAACCACCCAACCTTTAGCAACCACTGCCCTGATTAGTCAGCAGCCAGCAACATTGAAGTAAGACCCTCCACCCTCCACCAGCAAGATATCATGACTCACTGAAGGCTCAGGGGATCATTGGCATTTCTTTTTTTAGCAATGAAGTACGTTTTAATTAACGTATGTATGTTGTTTTTTAGGGAAAATGGCATTGCACACTTAAAAGACTATAGTATAGTGTGAACACAACTTTTATATGCACTGGGAAAGCAAGAAATTTGTGTGACTTGCTTTATTGCAGTGGTCTTAAACCAAACTTGCCATATCTCTGAGGTATATCTGTATTTTAAATAAAGAGGTTGGTTTGAAAGAACAAACTGATTCAAAGCATGGAACCTATACTGAAAGAAAGGTCATTACAAAGTTGTCAGATTTTTCCCCATCAGGCTTTTTGCCTTCTCAGCACTCTAATTTCGACAACCTCTCTTGATCCTCACTAAACTCCAAAAGTTACATAGAGCATGCAGTACTGTTAGATGCAAAAATCAGCATCCAGAGTCTTCTGACTAGGTCTTCTGACATGTGACAGAGCCAGGAATCCTGGACCTGTGCTCCATCCACTAATATTTGTCTAAGGGCTGATAGAAATTCCCGCCTTTGCAGAAACAAATAAGTATCTAACAGTGCCACTTAGCCATAAAATTGGATTAAAGGTTAATATTAATGAATTCATATTAACAGTGCTGACAGTAACTATACTACTTGACAGATATTTAATATGAGTATCACAAGCCATATGTGAAGAATACTGTTAAAATAATTATATTAGGATTTCACAGCATCCACCATCAGGATTTCTTCTCTGACAACAAAAAAGAAAACCTTTTCTACCCTGAGCAAGGTAAATGTCACTGAAAGTCTTGCTGTCTGGACTTGACTTCTATTTGTGACACTCATGATTTGAGAGTTCAAAAGCATTTTTAAAGTATTTCTCTTTTAGAGAAAAGGAAGGAAACTCATATTTTTGAATGTCTTACTATGTGCTAACCTAATTTAATCTTCATGAACTCTAATATGCAGGGGATATCAGTGAGTTTTGAATTTAAGGTTATTTTTCTGTTGTTTTTGTGGTAGTGGTCATTCTAGCATGGTTGATCAGTTGTGTCATTCTGAAGCAGCCATTGCTGAAGAGGTCTTTTGATTGCTGAAACAGTAGTACAACCTCTCACTGCTGTCCTGTCTGTGAGGACACTCACCCATCTAGTTCCAAAGCAACTTTTTCGTATACCATTTCACCTCTCTTTGCAACCATGTGATGACATAGACAATGTCCAAATCCCTCTTTCCTGAGAGATTGGCTAGGGCAATCATTGAGGGCTATAAGAATACAGTAAGAATTGATGAAATTAAGAATACATCCAGAACCAAGAGTTAAGTAGACCAGAAAGCTAGAAAAGGAAATACAAATGAACCACCCAACTAAGTGGTGTCTCCTAGCAGAAATCAGAAACAAAGACAGTGGACCAGGATGATGACAACAGCAAAGCTGTCCCTTTTGACATAAGGGACATGGTGACATGCAGAGTAAAAGGAACATAATTAAAACTTAAGTAGATCCTCCACCCCATCCCCAATGCTCATTTCCCTAGCTTGGACCCCACTCCATTCCCTGCTCTTTTCCTTTTAAGGATATGACATTGAAACTAGGATTGTTTTGCCTGAATGTGGTTCTGGGTCAGAAGTAAAAAATAAATATCAAACCATTACACAACTTTCCCTGAGGATCAGAAATAAGGTGAGTGCCTCCATTGCATTAATTTCTTGTTAATGTTTTTAAGAAGAGAGTTCAATGGTTTATTTTTAAGGTCATGAAAGAGCATGAAACTCTTGGCTACTTTCTGCTGTTACCATATGGCCAAATTATATCATTTGTATTTTACACTTCACAATATGGTCCCCACTGAAAGAGATACGTCAGGGACCCATGGACTGGAGGAGTTAGAAGTTTCGACAAAATTAGTATAATGCAAGCCCTTAGCCTCCTCCTTTCTGCCATATAAGCTTTGCCTCTAGTACTCCCTGGAAAGAAGAAATTCCAGAGAAATTGACTGGCTTTACTATTTCTCCAGCTTGGATAGCTGTATTTATTCCAGTCTCCTGGTTTGTTTTCTCATCTTGTAAATTGCACAGCTTCACATATTTTGCTAAATGTCCATGGCTTTCGTATTCATTCTGCTGGCTTCATTAAAAAGTATTTCCACCTTGAGCTCTGATCCAGGGAAAACCATGGTGGTTTTACATTAGTCAGGGCTGGTTTTCTTCTAAGCTAGCTAATAACACACCTTGCCAGCACATGGATTCATTTCTTTCCAAAGACCACCTGTCTGGTCCACATAATAAATTTCTGCTTCTCCCATTTGTATGACTGTGACCCAATTTCTTGTGAAATAATGACTCTATTCTTAACACATTTAAGACACAGATACCCTCTCCCTGTCCTGGGTTTGATTATACAGCTTTCTATACCAAACATTTTAGAATGCACTAACAATGTCCTTCTTATTCTTTTGTCTGAAAAAAGGCATTAGTCTCAACAGTTAGCCATTTTGTACTTCTCAAGACCAAAGTTAGAGAAGCTACATTATTTAAACAACAAGGGGCAAGTTCATAGATAACAGCCACTAATTGAACCCCCATTATGCAAACATAAAAAATGAGGGTCAGAGCAGTCAAGTGACCTTACTAAGCTGAACAACTGCCAAAGAAAAGAACTGGGCCTAGAACCCAGATCTTCTAACACGTAATGCAGTCTTCTACCCGTGACAGTACACAGCCTCACATTTACTTCGTAAAATTCCTTTGTAAAACAATGGTTTCATATACAACAGTTTAACAGAGTGAAGAGGGTGAAAGCCACAAAACAAGTGTTTTGGAGATATTTAAGCCCTTGCAGGTGGGGTGCAGTGGCTCACACCTGTAATCCCAGCACTTTGGGAGGCCACGGCAGGTGGATCACTTGAGGTCAGGAGTTCAAGACCAGCCTGACCAACATAGTAAAACCCCGTCTCTGCCAAAAATACAAAATTAGTTGGGCGTGGTGGTGCATGCTCTGTAATCCCAACTACTTGGGAACCTAAGGCAGGAGAATCGCTTGAACCTGGGAGGCAGAGGTTGCAGTGAGCTGAGATCACGCCATTGCACTCCAGCCTGGGCAACAAGAGTGAAACTGTATCTCAAAAAAAAGAAAAAAATAGATAAAAAATTTAAAAAATGCAAAGACCAGATGACTTTGCCTCATCCTCTTCAATAGCATAACATGATTCTATGAACTCTCTTTGAGATATCAAAGAATATTCTATTTCTTTAATATATTCAAAAATATTCTATTTACAGTTTAGAAAAATGGGATCTCACTGGGCCTGGAATCAAGGGGCAAGGGGCCCTCTTTTCAGCTGCAGGGTCAAATTTCCCATCAAATCAGCTTAAGCCCAACACTAGCTCTTGGGCATAGTTTCACATATGTCACCTCTCAGTTCGAAGGAGCCACCTTCAACTCAGGAATTGATAAAATTCTCCCAGTGGAAGTGGCTTAGAATATTTCCTCTTCCATCCTAGAGGCAGCAAGATGATGGAAACTTATGACCAAGAATACAATGAGCATTCAAGGTATCTGATTTTCTCAGCCCCAGGCATGGATTAAATTTTATAGGTCACTAGTAGCAATATGGTGACTATAAGTGTCTAATTTTGACCTGTAAGAACATGAATCTTTCAACATTTCAGCCACTTCATTATTCTCTTTGGGATGATAAGATAACTTTCACTTGGCTTGGAGAAGTTATTATTATTTTTCCAGGAAATGTAGGCAACACATGATCAATACCATAAGAACGAGAGCCACTGAGAAACAATAATTAACAAAGAAAGAATAAAGGTTTTGGACTAGCACTAAGAATTTAAGACAAAAGCCAAGGCAGTTTTACTTTCCTAAAAAAGAAATAGACAGTTCATAGGATCTTAGAAGCCGATTAGCCATTTCCCCCTTCCTAACAGCTCCAATGATCAGAGATCATTGCATCACTGCTATGACTAATTCCATAACTGTTCTCAAATAATGCCAATTGACCATTGATCCATGACTGTGGCCTAATTCTTAACTGATTGACAGCCAAAGAAAGCTCATTGGTCATAAACACACACACTAAAACACTGGAAAAATCCCTTGACACGCACTGCTTTTTTTGGTGGCCTAAATTTACAGTTTCTTTCTTTTTTTTTTTTTAATTCAAAGGCCATGAATGCAGATAGCTTTTCAGTTCTCCTTGTGTTTCTTGACTGAAAGAACCCTTTAAGTGCTCTCGAAATAGTTAGATGAATAGCAGAAACAATTGTATCTTTTCAACCCCGATCACATCAGTTCTAAGAATTTGACGAGTAAAAAGCACTGGGCAGGTTTTAAGTCAATAGTGGCCTTCCAATTTCTAAAGTTCTTTCAGAGTACAAACACATTGCTTATACTCCTCTGGCATGGTTTTGCTCATTTGCAGGAAAACCATATTTTGTACCACATCCTCACATATTGATATGTTGAGGAAATACACAGCAAACACCACTTCCCATCCATCTGGTAAGCTTGTTAGAAAGATGAACACCCAGCGTTCAGATGTTTTTCACTCAGGTTTGAAATTCTATGCTCAGCATAATTTGCTTTTACTTTCAAGACAAATTTTAATCCAATAAGAAGAAATTCTGCTCCTTTTTTGAAAGCAAATGATACTAGTAAAGTAAAAAGGCCAGCCATGTTGGACATTGCCAAGATACATCTACAGTTGGATTTCTGTTAGGACCTAGAATCCTATGCAACAATTTTGGAAAAAATATAATTTTCTCCATTTTCTTAAAAGTAAGTGCAGCAGTTATTATTCATATAGTGATAATGTAAAATAAAGTCCCAAAAGAAATAATAAAAATGAGGGTAAGACACTTAATCTATCATTTCTAACAAACTGTTTTCCAAAGATCTTTACACTCATCTATCAGTACCCAGAATTACATAAGCTCTTCTTAGGTTGCAAATATTTTAAAAGCTTGAATCAAAACAATAAAAGTCAATTGAATAAGCAAAAACCTGGCAGTCTTAGTGTCCACAGGAAATGGAGCCAAATGCTCTTATATAAAAAGCAGTGAGAACAGAAGGTGCATGCATTGCTAGATTTGTCTCCCCCAATATTTCTGCATCTTCTTCTATTTGGAACTCAACTCTTCAGGGGAACTTTTCCTTTCTCTCCTGCTTTTGACACACTCTTCACATCATAAACTTGTGGTTTTGCAAATTACATGTCAGTGGGAGAGAAACCAGCAATAAAGCAGACACACATCTGAGAATTTCTAAGTCATACCAAACATAAACCCTTGGGGTCCTATGCAACATAATTTTTTTTAATATCAGCGTTGGTTTATTTGTGTGATTATAAGATGAATATATTATAGATGTTTTTTTTTATATTGACATGAAGAATCTCAGTAGAATGAACTCAGCCACACTTGCCATTTTACAAAATCAGATATATCAAACTTTGTCAAGGGGCAATAGGTCCTGGAAGTACCAACATGACTCCGCAGGAGCCAGAATGCGGTTCTGATGAAGAAGTAAAGACTACAAAAATAAAGAGTTCCAAAAAGGAAAGAATTTCAAAAAATGACTATAGAGCAGTGCTTCCCAAACTGTAAGATACATGCAGATCACTCGGGAATCCTGTGATAACACAGACTCTGGCTCTGCAGGCCTGGGGTAGGGCCCACCATTCTGTACGCCGAGGCAGCTCCCATGGGATGCTCATGCTGCTCCTCTATGGGCCACATTTAGAAGAGCAAGTTTCTAGCGGCCCATCCCCCAGGAACCAAGAAATCCAAAACATGAAACTATTTAATAATAATTGTTTATGAAATAAATGTTATAGAATAAACCTACTAAGCATTAGCACTGTGAAGAAACAGATGAAGCGTAAGAAGGAAAAACAGGAGAGTTTTATACACAAAATGTAAACTGTTACAAATCAACATACATTTATTATGGACCTATCATGTATAAAGCAATGTTGTAGGAAAAATAAAGGGTAAAAATATAAAAAGGGATAGTTCCTACCTTCAAATCGCTTAGGCCTACCCTAGCTCATACACTCTCACCTTTCTTCAAATACAGCCCATCTCATTTGGAAAAACTCCTTGTATCTGGTTACTGCCGGCCATGTCCTCCAGTTCTGAGATCTTGTTACTAATTATCCCTCCCTTTCCTGTATTGCTCATCTGTCCACTCAGCCTTCTCTTCTGGCTATTTACTTTTCCTAACGTAATTTTATCTACCCTCTATGTCCATGGCTTCAATGACCAGTGGCTCCCAGTTCTCCACCTAAGGCAGAGACTTGCCTACTAAGATAATGTTCTTATTTCTAGTTGCCTACTGGACATCTCCTTCGAGCAAGTACAATTTAACTGAGCTTACTATCATAGCTACAGGAGGCTTTTCTCCTCTCTCCCTGTTTTCCAGAATCTGGTCTTTTCCTCAGCATCTCGCAGTTACAATTCACCCTCTTAACTGACTTCCCTACCTCCAGTCTCTCCCCACTCTGGTCCCTAATCCATAACTGTACCATAACTCTCTTCATATCAAATAAGTCTCTGTCACTTCTCTTACAAATTTTAGAACTCTTAAGCAAAATGTACACACTTCTTAACTCCACATAGAAGATAAGAACCCTGGCAAGCCAACCCCAAGCTATCACTTTGATCGTTTCTTTTACTATCCAAATCATATCTATGCAGCATATGCTTAACCCTCACAACTCAGATCACCAGTCACCAACGACATCATGCCCTCCAATAATTCTGCCTCTACACCTCTTGTTCCCTCTTCCTGGAATAGCTTTCCTCCTCTGCCTGGAAAATTTCATTTCATCCTATAAAATCCAGCCTAGTCCCATCAAAGCCTTTTCTGTTGGAGTTAGGTATTCCCTCCTCTAAGATTCCTACAGCAGTAACTTCATATCTCTCTTAAGGCACATACTAAATCAGAGAATGCTATTAGCATCTGTTTCCTCTACTAACACAAGATCTTGTTGAGACCAGACACGATGCCTTGCTCTTCTTCCATTACCAGTGTCAGGCACAGTGCCTGGAATCAAACAGATATTCAGTGAATGTTTATTGGATGACTGAATGGACATAAAACAGAAAGTAATAGTGCAATGCTGCAGATGACAAATGACTTGTACCCATGGAAAGGGTCACAGGCATGCAAAGGAAGGAGTGTTCACTGTGTATAATTAAGTGCTAAAATGCACGCTGTATGAGATTCAGTGCAGACATTCAAGAACAGCCTTGTGTAGGAAAAGGAAGTATAAGCTGGGCCTTGAGGGAGGTATTACTCTTAGATGGGTCTTGGAAGAGGCATTATCTGTAAGAAAGCACGGGTGGTGGGGCCGGGATGCAGTTACATGCTATATGTAATAAGGTGATCATCCTGACAAAGGTGGACAGTATTTTTTTTTAAATAAGTGATAAAGTTGATTAAGGGGCACAAGGTGCATGCAGGGGGACGGAGATAGGACTGTGAGTAGCGTGCCACATCCTCTTGCGCCAAATCACATTTATTATTAGGAGATGTTGCTAGTTTTTTGACATCATTCTTGGGGTCATACAAGTTCATTCTTTCTAGTTCTACCTCTATATATCTGCAATCATAAACTCTGTTGGTAATCAACTTCATAACAGTTGAAACTCATTTGAAGATACTCCCAGCTTTCCTTTCTCTAAAGTCATTCTTACATATGACATCTCCACACTGGGCCTTTTCATTCCCTCTCCTGGAACATGGAAGCCCCATGGAGACTTGAGCAGGACCAAGAAACGCTGACTCTCTCAGATGCTGCATTTCCAGCTGCTTGGTTGGAGGTAATGGTAGCGAAGACAACGTGAACACAGCCGCTGACCCTGTCCCACCTCCACCTCAGTGCCCCAAAGGCCATCCTAGTCCTGGTCCAGTCCTGGACTGGGAGTGTCTATGCAAGTCACTCCTCCAGATTAGAGCACCAAAGGTAGCTTCCAATTATTAATGATACCTGAGAAGAGACTAAGAGTATGCTATTATTAGTTGATGCTGCACTCTTGATCATTTGTTTCTTGGGTTAGTAGTAGCAGAAAGAGCCCTGAAGAAACATGGTATGTGTAAACGTAAAGCCAAGCTTCATGCACAAATAACTAACACTCAGTATAAAGTGGCAATTAAAAAGAAAAATATTCTCTCTCTCTCTCTCTCTCTCTCTCTCTCTCTCTCTGAGGCTGAAAAACTGCATTTTCAAAAAGAAAGCAATTTTCTCTCCAAAGAGGTAGAGAACAGAATTCACCTTTGGGGTAAACTATTCCTTTTTGATTTGACATCATTGCTTCAAGTGGGCTTCTTTAGTGACACAAATGGAAAGGAAGTTCCCACCCATTATTGTTCTTGGGGAAGACTGTGAAGTAAACTGAGTGCAGGTGTTTTCTACTGAGAAAATAAGTGTTCTGTTTGGTAATGTAAACCAACAGAAACCCATGGGATATGAGTTTTAGCCAGATTCCTCACACTTGTTTCTTTCAGGGAAATGTTTCTTTCACTGTACTGTTTGACAGGGACAAACTACTGTTTGTTCTTGGGGAGCTATATGAGTGTGAGTACATGTTTGGGTGCGTGTGTGTATTTTCCTGACCACTCAGAGGAGATAGGTTGAACAGGATAAGAGAAAGGTCAGTCACACCAGCCTGATCTTGACCATAGACGGGTGAAGATGAGAGACCAAAAAAAGAACTAGACTGAAAAATCTTTGAGAAATTTGGACTGGACCATATGTAGAACTGATGACTAAAAACCCCAGAAAGAACTAATGTCATATATTGATTTTTAGATAATTTATAGTAACTTTCCTGTTGGCATTGGAGAACCTCACGATACTCCCTTGAGGGGAGTGAGGGGAGGGACTTAGGTTTCTCTCCAAAGAAAAAGATATTTTCTGTCATTGTCTTCGGAAGTTTCCATTAGACACCATAAATGAGGCCCCAGAGGGGAGCCTTAGTCTGTAAGGAAGAAGCCCTCAGTTCTCTTTGAGTTGCCCACAGATGTGAACTCTGAGGCCTAAGTAGCCCAGAGCATTCCAGGATGTAGGAGCAGGGGAGCAGCAAAGCACTGGGAAGGAGATTCTGAGGGTAGCCCTGGGTCTGTGGGCCTTGAAGGCAACCCCACGTAGTCACAGCTAAAAGTTAGTTTCTAGAATGGATTTCCCTCCCATTGTTCCATGCTTACGAAATTTTTCAGTTTAGTCTCAGCTATGCTTCTAGGGAATTTGAGGAAGGGTCCTAGAACGCACAGAGGAAAGTGGTAAAGGAAGCAAAGTGATCCTCCTCCTTGGCCAGGGCCATTGTACAGGTCAGCAATGTCACTCAGGAAAGGTCAGTTATCCAGCTCTGTAAGAGAACCTGTCTGGGCACTATGGCTGGATGCAGAGGCCAGAATGGGAGAAAGCAACACCCTGGAAGGACATAACTGAAGGCTCTTGTGAATACCTGGAAAGCAGTTTAAGGATCCTAAGTTTTTTCATTGGCAGGTAGGGGTAAAGGCATGATATTAATAATATGCCTATTACTGAAAATGTGACCTACTTTTGGCCAAACAGGCCAATGAGAGCCAGACATACAAGCAAATTAGAAGGCTTTAATGTTATTTTTTCTGATTATAATACTGATGCATGTTCATTGCCAAGAAATTAGGAAATAAAGGTACCAACAAGAAAATTAAACAAGCCACAATTTCAACATCAAGAGATAATCATGGTTACTGCTAAGCATTTTTGTAATCCGCTTCTTTGGGTTAAAAGAAATTCAAAACTATTTTCTAAAGAGATTCTTGACCTTGCCCATAGATACTTTTGATACACACTGAAGCCAAGGTGAAAGGGTCTTTTGTTTAAGCATGCATCAGACCAATGCTCCTTAGTTTTCAGATGAGGATGTCAACCAACCCCATATTGGCTCTAACTAGAAAAATAACATTCTACACTTAATCAGCAATATAGAAAGATCGCATTCCAGGTGTTTGTAAAAAAGACTGTGAGCTCAGAGTCACTACCCCCCAATATTCTTCAAAAACTCTACTTAGAAAAAAATTATTAACCAAGGATATTTGGGAGCCAGCACAATGATTCCTCTTTGTACTCCATAGTCTACCCTGATATTCCCACAGAGCCGCACGCCTGAACTATATCCTAATTTCTCATCTGATATACTGATGCTAACATTCTCTCAGGTTATGAAATAATTTTTGAAAACACCATCGATAATGACCCCATGATATCCATTTCGGGACTATCGCAACTTGTTTGGATATTTACCTTAATTCCAGCTTTTCAGTATTATATCTAAAACAGCAATAAGCATCTGTGTACATAAATCTTGTAGCAAGACAATTAGAGAGTGCAACAGAGAAAAATGCCAGAGACAAGTTGCTACAGTGGAAAGCCCCTGAGTGACAGGGGCTGTATGAGGAGTTAAGTTCTCACCTAAGAGTAAGAGGCACAAGAGAGAAAAAAGATGAATAAGAGTTTTTGCCAACCATACACCTGATAAGGAATTAATATCCCAAATACATAAGGAATTCAAACAATTCAATAGCAAGAGAACAAATAGCCCAATTAAAAAAGGGGCAAATGTCCTGATTGAACATTTCGCAAAAGAAGATACACTATTGGCCAACAGGTGCACAAAAAATGTCAGCACCAGTCATCATTAGGGAATGCAAATTAAAACCATAATGAGACATCATGTCACACCTGTTAGTGAGAGGTGACAGCATGCTGACAGCCTTTGCAGCCCTCGCAGCCCTCGCTCACTCTCGGCGCCTCCTCAGCCTCGGCACCCACTCTGGCTGCACTTGAGGAGCCCTTCAGCCCGCTGCTGCACTGTGGGAGCCCCTTTCTGGGCTGGCCGAGGCCAGAGCCGGCTCCCACAGCTTGCGGGGAGGTGTGGAGGGAGAGGCACGGGCAGGAACTGGGGCTGCGCGGGGCACTTGTGGGCCAGCGCGAGTTCCAGGTGGGTGTGGGCTCAGTGGGCCCGCACTCTGAGCCGCGGGCGCCGGGGCAGTGAGGGGCTTAGTACCCAGGCCAGCAGCTGTGGAGGGTACACCAGGTCCCCCAGCAGTGCCGGCCCACCAGCGCTGCGCTTGATTTCTCGCCAGGCCTTAGCTGCCTACTGGCGAGGTAGGGCTCAGGACCTGCAGCCCTCCATGCCTGAGCCTCCCCTCCACCCGCCATGGGCTCCTGCGCAGCCCCAGCCTTCCCGACGAGCGCCACCCCATGCTCCACGGCGCCCGGTCCCATCGACCGGGCTCAGCCCAATGGCTGAGGAGTGCGGGCACACAGTGCGGGACTGGCAGGCAGATCCACCTGCAGCTCCATCTGCAGCTGTGGTGCAGGATCCACTGGGTGAAGCCAGCTGGGCTCCTGAGTCTAGTGGGGACTTGGAGAACCTTTATGTCTAGCTAAGGGATTGTAAATACACCAATCAACACTCTGTATCTAGCTCAAGATTTGTAAACACACCAATCAGCACCCTGTGTCTAGCTCAGGGTTTGTGGATGCACCAATCAGCACTCTGTATCTAGCTGATCTGGTGGGGACCTGGAGAATCTTTATGTCTAGCTAAGGGATTGTGAATATACCAATCAGCACTCTGTATCTAGCTCAAGGTTTGTAAATGCACCAATCAGCACTCTGTGTCTAGCTCAGAGTTTGTAAATGTACCAGTCAACACTCTGTATCTAGCTAATCTAGTGGGGATGTGGAGAACTTTTGTGTCTAGCTCAGGGATTGTAAACGCACCAATCAGCACTCTGTCAAAACGGACCAATCAGCTCTCTGTAAAACAGATCAATCGGCTCTCTGTAAAATGGACCAATCAGCAGGATGTGGGTAAGGCCAGATAAGAGAATAAAAGCAGGCTGCCCCCCAGCCAGCAGTGGTAACCCACTGGGGTGCCCTTCCACACTGTGGAAGCTTCGTTCTTTTGCTCTTTGCAATAAATCTTGCTGCTGCTCACTCTTTGTGTCCACACTGCCTTTATGGGCTGTAACACTCATCGCGAAGGTCTGCAGCTTCACTCCTGAAGCCAGCGAGACCACGAACCCACCAGAACGAAGAAACTCTGAACACTTCCGAACATCAGAAGGAACAAACTCCGGACACGCCGCCTTCAAGAACTGTAACACTCACCGCGAGGGTCCGCGGCTTCATTCTTGAAGTCAGTGAGACCAAGAACCCACCAATTCCGTACACATTAGGATGGCTTTTATCAAAAAGGTGAAGGTAAGTGTTGGTGAGGATGCAAAGAAAAGGAAACTCTTTCACATTGTGGGTAGGAATGTAAATTAGTATGGTCATTATGAAGAATAGTAGGGAGCCTCCTCAAAAAACTAAAAGCAGAACTACCATATGATCCAGTAATTCCACCTCTGAATATATATTCAAAGGAACTGAAATTAATATATTAAAGAAATATCAGCACTCTTATGTTCATTGCATCATTATTCACAATAGCTAAGATATGAAATCAACATAAGTGTTCATCAACAGATGAATGGATAAAGATAAGGTGGTATATATGCACAATGGAATACTATTCAGCCTTTAAAATGGGAAAATCCTTTCACTTTCAACAGCATGATTGAATCTGAAGGGCATTATGCCAAGCGAAATAAGCCAGGCACAGATAGACAAGTACCACACAATGTCACTTATATGTGAAATCTTTAAAAGTTGAGCCCAAAAGTAGAGAATAGAATGATGTTTACCATAGCTAAGGGCTTGGGGAAGGAAGAATTGAGGAGTTGTTGATCAAAGAATACACAGTTTCAGGCTGGGTGCGGTGGCTCTCTCCTGTAATCCCAGCACTCTGGGAGGCCAAGGCAGGTGGATCACCTGAGGTCAGGAGTTCGAGACCAGCCTGACCAACATGGTGAAACCCCATCTCTACTAAAAATACAAAAATTAGCTGGATGTGGTGGCACATGCCTGTAACCCCAGCTACTTTGGAGGCTGAGGCAGAAGAATTGCTTCAACCTGGGAGGCGGAGGTTGCAGTGAGCCGAGATCGCACCATTGCACTCCAGCCTGGGTGACATGAGTGAAATCTCAAAAAAAAAGAATACAGAGGTTTCAACTGGAGGGATGGATTTTGACATCTATTGCACAGCCGGTTGACTGTAGTCAATGATAATATATTGCATATTTTAAAATAACTAAAAAAGTATATTTCAAATGTCTCACCATAAAAACCAATAGGTAAGCAAGGAGATGGATATGTTAATTCACTTGCTTTAATCAGCTCACATTATATACATATATCAAAATGTCACATTGTGTTCCATAAATGTATACAATTATGATTTGTCAATCAAAAATCATATTAATAGTAATAATTTCTTTAAAGAGGAAAAAAGGTGGCCACCTTCTCAATATTATCTAAGGACAATATTGCCTTCAGCTTATGAGATATTAAAATACCTACCAAGAGTGTCACCAAGTTCTATAAATTCTCAGCTATTCAGTATGGTCAGGGAAAGATACACTTACTTTGATTACTCATATATTCTAATTAGTGGAGAATTGCCATATATTCTATACACCAATGACTAATTTTACAAGGATTAGAATAATATTTTTCTAACACTAAAGCTAAGGAGAACAAAATTTATGTCTGTTGATAATTCTAAAGATTTGTCAGAATCTGATCATTAATTCATTCATTTCCCAAATATTTACTAAATCTGTCACTATGTAGGGTGTTACATTAGGGGTTATTACATCAACAATCTATTGTCTATTTACTCATATCAGTATATATGTTATTCTGTCTGACTTTACATAAGATGTGAGGTGGCCATGCCATACAGTAGGGTAAAAATCATGCTCTATACAGAGTCCAGGTATCTTAATTCAAGCTACTATCATGCAGTACCACAGACTAGGTAACTTAAACAACAGAAATTTAATTCTCACAGTTCTGAGAAAGTTGGAAAGTCCAAGGTTTGGTTCCTGGTGAGGGCCCTCTTCCTGATTTGCAGGTCATTTTCCCATTATATCCTCATATGGTGGAGAGTGAGATCATCTCTCTTGTGTCTCTTTTTGTAACAGTACTAATTCCATTCATGGGGGCTCCACCTTCATGACCTCATCTAAACCTAATTCTCTCCCAAAGTCCCCACATCCTAACACCATTGCATTGGAGGTTAGGTCTTCAACATAAGGATTTTCAGGAGACACAAGTATTCAGTCCATGGCACCAGGCTATCAAAAATTATTGTTAAAAAATCAAAAAGACAATAAAACTACCAAATTTGTAATCAGAAAGTATTTAATAATATATTATTTTTAAAACTTTATTCTTCCTCAAAGCCCTCAAATATTGTCAAATAGACTCAACACATAGGTGAAATTCTGTGGGAGACTTAATATAGTGTTAATGTTATAAATAGTAAGTATGGAAGAAATATCACATCTTTAATTTCTATAAAACGACTTAGTTTTGAGTCTCCTCCTTCTGGGTGGTGGGAAATGCAACTTCAAGCATGCTGAGAGCCCTCATGTTGGGCTGATTTTCTGGGTCTTTTAAAGTTCCAAGGCACCATGGAGTCCCTAGGGGTCACTGGCCATCTGCCCAGAGTTGCTGGGACTGAGGTATCCTCTGTCCTAGCCTGCATAGTCTCTCTAGATCTACCACTCTGGTACCCTGAGGTGCACTTGAGGCCTGGAAATGTTGGGCTAGGTCAGCACCCCAGGCCTAAAACCTCATTTACCCTGAGGTTGTGCTTTCAGCACAGGATACAGTCAGAGAACAAGCCCCATGGCCTCTTCTCCAGGACCCAGTGACCTGCTCTCCCCACTACAATCCCAGCAGCAAGTTGATCCTCTTCAATGGAGTTTACTGGGCACTGGATAAGTACAAGTACGGTTCCAAAGGTCATGAAGGCATCACCTTGTAGAATGTCATTCAGTCTTTACCACTGCTCTGAACTAGAGGCCATATTCCCTTACAGAGAAGGTAAATGAAACTCAGAGAGTTCAGGTAAGTAGCTTAAGATCACAAAGAGAGTAAGCCAGGACCACAATCATCATTCCCTATCATTCCCAATCTTACTCTCCTATACCTTATAACAGCTCTATCCATTTAAAAAAACACAAAAATTGAAACACCAAGAGTTGAAGTGATTTATTCAGAGGCACACAATCTGATATTCCTCCAGTTGAACACGAAAAAAAAAAACATAGAATTCAGGCTCATGAGCACCTAAAATGTAAGCAAGACATCATCATATTAATAGTAGCGGCTAGAGTATAAAATTAACCATACTTGTCAAGAGAACAGGGACTTACCAAAAAGACAAAAACACATTACTTTTTTAAAAATTATGATTATTTAGCAAATATCTACCTAGTGGTTTCTATGTACAAAATTCCGTGTTCCGTGCTCTGAGAGATAAGAAAAGGACTCCACCTCTGTCTTCACAGAGCTTTCCAGCCAATGGAGAACACATAGGACTACAAATAGATCAAGAAAGAGAATAGAAACTGGGGAAGAGGAATGTGGAGAGTGGCGGTGCGTAGGCTGAGCGTGGACACAGCCAGCCTCAAGTTTCCAAACCAGAGTGTAGGAGCATGGGTATCAAGCAGACAGTGTGGGTGACCCTGCCTTCCTCCTCCTCCCAGGGGATGAGAATGCTGGAAGCTCAGCTGCTGCAGAATATAAAACATACGGATTGCCCAGAGTTACTGACTTGCCTAAAGCCATAAAAAAATTGTGTGTGTGTGAGTTATTTTTCACTTCTTTTTCTGCCAGGATCAAGTATCAGCATTGTTATATTGAGAAACATGCCATTTTCAACACACTAAAGAAGAGCTGGCCCAACCCGGTCGGGTAGGCATCAAACAGTTGTCAGAGGCAGGAAGTCTCCCAGACTCCAGCCCCAAGCTACAGCAGAGTAAATTTGAGACATTCAACAGATTTCTAATGCGCTGAGATGCCTGAACTAGCCTTCATATTTACTAGTAAAGAGACAAAGAATGTTGTTTTGACAGAGCCAAAAGGAGATTTCAGGCAGATTTTGAATACTCAGATGAGTTTTTCAAGTTACATCTAAAAAAATGTTAAAAATGACTTCTCAGAACCTTAAAACTGCTGCAGAGACTTCCTTCCCATTGCTGGTTTCCTTGAGCTCTTTTAAGGAATACCCAACAGTACCAGGGGCTTTGCACTACTATAATAAATAATTACACTCCATATGTGCCCCCACCGTTTATTGAATTCTTTACCAGAGAAAACTGTCAAGAGACTCCAGTTGCTCAGGGTTTTAGGTTTTGACTGACTCCTACCCCATCAGCGGCCAGGATCTCCATTTTCTTTGTCTTTGACTTTTCAGGAGACCCAGAGACTGAAATCCAATACTTTTGTCTGCATCTGCTGCTAAAAGCCTTTTTTCCCTGGCCATGCCACAGCTCCCTCGAGGCTCATTAAGCACATTTACATTTGGTTCTTAAAATCCAAAATAGCCCATTTCACGCCTAGCAATGGTGTATTGATGAAAGAAGCACTCAGTGATGGCCTGTAGGATGAGAGTGAGGACTCGTTTGACTCCAGATATCTCCCACAAAGGATTTGTATATGCTGTTAAGGACTTAAACAGAATCAGGCAAGCCATAGACTATTTTAGAAAGACACATGCACTCAAACACCATCACTATGTACCATCAAATGCACCCATTTGTGGGCAGAAAAAGTGGCAATGGCAAGGGTCTAAACTTGAGTGGAAATGCACAGAGATGCTTAAAGAGATAGAGGAAGAGACCGAGACAGATAGAAAGTGGAACGGAGGAATAGGGACAGAAAGAGGAAAGAAGAGAGAACAGGAAGGAGTATGAGTAGAAAGGAGAGTCTGCATTGGATTTTAGTGTAGATCATCTTCTCAGAGTTGTAAGGATAAAAATGAGGAAACTGGGTTGGGGGGCTACTGAAAGCATATAAGTCATGTTTGGTCCGGATGGAAGTGAGTGAGCCATGCCTGGGTCATGGAAGACTCATGAGGACACAAAAGGGGATGCAGGTGGAGACACTTGAGAAAGAAACAGGAGACTCAATGGTTAACGATTCTCTCTTTGACAATCTTCTTTCCTACCGACACCCCACACTTAATGCCTGAAAATAAAGTAATATTTATTTTTGTGACTCGTACCTTCTGGAGGGGACTCAGCACACAAAGAAAGTGTCTTTTCACTCCTTCTAGCCCCTTCAAAAGGTATTCAATTCCACATCAGTTTCCTCGAGGATACTCCAGAAATTCTTATCCATATTAGGGGGTTAAGGTGGAAAAGACAGATTTTATTTTTCATTTTATACCTTTCTGTACTTTTTAAAAAATAAAAGTAATAGATCCATATGATTAAGGTTCAAAGTCAATAAGGATTATCTGTAATTGTGGCATAGTTTACATTTCAGTTTTCTTCTGTATTATTTTTCTGTATTAAAAAACACCTGTCAAAAATGTCTTCATGGGTAGACTAGAAGGAAAGGGTATCTACTGTATTGCTTTTACCTTCCTCTGCTATATATGTAAGCTGATTAAAATTTTATATCCACATAACTAGGTGAAATTTCCACTACGAAATAGATACGTTCCTGAAGACAAAAGCATAAATCAATCTTTTGCCAACTGAACCTTCTTTTGAATGTGTCAAGAGCATTTGCTATTTACAGAAATATTTTGCAAAATCCTTCTATAAAACTGAATGGCTTTATGTATATAAAGCTGCGGTTGGTGACATTGTTTCAAATGGAGTTTCTGTGTGCAGCACAGAGAATTGCTCATGTGGGCAGGTTCTGGAGCCAGACAGAACAGTGCTGCTCCTCACTACTTATATGTCCTCGAGCAGGCTAGTTCACTTCTGTGCCTGTTTTCTCATCTGTAAAGTGGACATAACATTGGCATCTCTTTTGTTAGGTTCATGAGAATTTTAAATACTATAATCTATTTAGATCACTAATAACCTGGCACATCACAAAAACATCAGTGTTATCTATTCTCATTATTCTTACCACTAGTGTGATTACTGTGCAGGTCATTATATTATTCTTACAGCACCTGTGAAGCTTGCAGGCCAATCTTTCTTCTCCTTCCAGCCAGATGGCAAGCCCTTTGAGAACAAGACTGGTCTCAGTCTAGGCTCTCAATGTTAGCTCCAGTGCTAGAACAGAGATACTGGTGATTCAATGAGATACAACTGCATCAAAAATGGCCACCACAAGTCTCAATTCCTTGCAGCTGCTATGTAAATAACAACTCTGGTACCTAGCAGTGTGCCTGGGACAGACTGGGGGCCCAATAAAAGTAGATGAATGAGTGAATGAATCCACATAAATGTGTGGTATTCCCTAGAGCCTAAAAGATAATATATATGTAGTATACTCATATAATTAAATTCTAATTTTATTTTTCTTAACAAGGCCTTTAGGAAATTTAGGGCCGTCAAAGCTTCAGCTAAGTGAGGAAAGGCAAAAGCATAATTAGCAAGCCAAAAACAGATGATGTTTTCAGGAGGTTTCCATCTTGTTAAAAGGAAACAATTTGTACAATCCTCACTAAACACACCTCATCTATCACTCTCCCAAGTCCTGCTCTCCCAGAGAGCTCTCAGCCCTGCTTTCCCTCCTCAGTTCTCTATGTTGAGCCAACAGACTTTAAATGTTTGTCAACTGAAAGTGAAGCTGGGCCTTTGAAATTGGTCTCGCCCATGACAGCTGCTGCCCAGGAGTGTCTCCAGCCAAAGCATATATTTTATAAGATGTGACCCCCAAATCTAGCAATTCCCACAGTTCAGAGCTGCCAAGTCCACAATTTCTACATTAGTTGAAACCACCAAGCTCAAGCAGGCATTTGATGTTATTTTTCTTGATTGTTTTGTGCACGTGTTGGGGTGTGTGTGTAAATCAGCAAGAATGTTTGTTGTAACTCTTCTTAAGGAAAATTCTCCATGCAGCTAATTCTTAACTGAAAACGATGCTGCTAACTAGAGAGTGTCTGGGGCCTGACCAAGAGTGTGGGGAGTGGAACTTGAGTGGGAAGAACCAGGCTTGGTTAGTCCCTCCAAGGAGTAAGCAGACCACTGTGGACAGTTGACAGTGTCCATTCATCAGAACTCTCTCCATCCTCATCTCTGTTTAACAGAGGAGGAAACTGAAGCTCAAATAGGTGAAAAAAAAAAAACTCTCCAAGGACACAAAACCAGTGAGAGACAAGCAGGATTTGCTCCAGCTCATGCTCTTTCCTACTGTCCTCTTGACAATGTCTGGGTACTACAAAGAAAAACCCAGAAAGGGTAGAGAGGAGAGACTAAGAGAAGGATACAGCCATTCACTCTTGCTCAGCTGGGCTCCAACAAAATGAAAGTAATCTTGTGTTTATGTTACTAGCACTTGCAAATATTTACTCAGCAGCTACTGCAGGCAACACCCAAGGCTAGGTGAGAGGGTATATGATCCCTACCTTTGAAGAGGGATCCTAGGAGGTAGCTCCAGATTAAGACGCAAAAACAAGAAGATAATCACAGCCAAAACTTATCACAATCTAATGCTAGCCTTTTTTCTTTCTTTTCTTTTTTTATTTTTATTTTTATTTATTTATTTTTTTTGAGATGGAGTCT
Organism: Homo sapiens; assembly: GCF_000001405.40. Lineage (NCBI taxonomy): Eukaryota > Metazoa > Chordata > Mammalia > Primates > Hominidae > Homo > Homo sapiens. The sequence continues at coordinate 147,515,635 of NC_000002.12, forward strand.
CGCTCTGTTGCCCAGGCTGGAGCGCAGTGGCGTGATCTTGGCTCACGGCTAACTCTGCCTTCCGGGTTCAAGAGATTCTCCTGCTTCAGCCTCCCAAGTAGCTGGGATTACAGGCACACACCACCACGCCCAACTAATTTTTTGTGTTTCTTTTTTTTTAGTAGAGATGGGGTTTCACCATGTTGCCCATGCTGATCTGGAATTCCTGGACTCATGCGATCCACCCACATCTGCCTCCCAAAGTGCTGGGAATACACGCATGAGCCACTGTGCCCAGTCAGCTTTTCAAGGATTACCTTCTTTAATCTTCACAACATTACCGTCAGGTAGGTGTAATGATATCCCCATTTCACAAATGAAGAAACAGGCTCAGAAAAGCCTCTACACAGTGGGTAAATCAAAAGACGGGAATTTTTTTTTATATATACTTTAAGTTCTGGAATACATGTACGGAATAAGCAGGTTTGTTGCATAGTTATACACGTGCCATGGTGGTTTGATCACCCATTAACCCATTGTCTACATTAGGTATTTCCCCTAATGCTATCCCTCCCCTAGCCCCCCACACCCAACAGGTCCCGGTGTGTGATGTTCCCCTCCCTGTGCCCATGTGTTCTCATTGTTCAACTCCTACTTATGAGTGAGAATATGTGGTGTTTGGCTTTCTGTTCCTGTGTTAGTTTGCTGAAAATCATGGTTTCCAGCTTCATCCATGTCCCTGCAAAGGACATGAACTTATCATTTTTTATGGCTGCATAGTATTTCATGGTGTATATGGGCCACATTTTCTTTATCCAGTCTATCATTGATGGGCATTTGGGTTGGTTCCCAGTCTTTGCTATTGTGAATAGTGCTGCAATAAACATACACGTGCATGTGTCTTTATAGTAGAATGACTTATAATCCTTTGGGTATATACCCAGTAATGGGATTGCTGGGTCAAATGGTATTTCTGGTTCTAGATCCTTGAGGAACCGCCACACTGTCTTCCACAATGGTTGAACTAATTTGCACTCCCATCAACAGTGTAAAAGCGTTCCTATTTCTCCATATCCTCTCCAGTATCTGTTGTTTCCTGACTTTTTAATGATTGCCATTCTAACTGGCATGAGATGGTATCTCATTGTGGTTTTGATTTGCATTTCTCTAATGACCAGTGATGATGAACTTTTTTTCACATTTTTTTGGCCGCATAAATGTCTTCTTTTGGGAAGTGTCTGTTCATATCCTTTGCCCACTTTTTGATGGGGTTGTTTTATTCTTCTAAAGTTATTTAAGGTCCTTGTAGATTCTGGATTTTAGCCCTTTGTCAGATGAATAGATTGCAAAAAATTTTTTCCCATTCTGTAGGTTGCCTGTTCACTCTGATGTAATTTCTTTTGCTGTGCATAAGCTCTTTAGTTTAATTGGATCCCATTTGTCAATTTTGGCTTTGTTTCAATTGCTTTTTGTGTTTTAGTCATGAAGTCTTTGTCCATGCCTATGTCCTGAATGGTATTGCCTAGGTTTTCTTCAAGGGTTCTTATGGTTTTAGGTCTTACATTTAAGTCTTTAATCCATCTTGAGTTAATTTTTGTATAAGGTGTAAGGAAGGGGTCCAGTTTCAGTTTTCTGCATATGGCTAGCCAGTTTTCCCAATACCATTTATTAAATAGGGAATCCTTTCCCCCTTGCTTGTTTTTGTCAGGTTTGCCAAAGATTGGATGGTTGTAAATGTGTGGCATTATTTCTGAGGTCTCTGTTCTGTTGCATTGGTGTATATATCTGTTTTGGTACCATGGTGTTTTGGTTACTGCAGGCTTGTAGTATAGTTTGAAGTCGGGTAGCATGATGCCTCCAGCTTTGTTCTTTTTGCTTAGGATTGTCTTAGCTATACGGGCTCTTTTTTGGTTCCATATGAAATTTAAAGTAGTTTTTTCTAACTCTGTGAAAAAAGTCAGTAGTAGTTTGATGGGGATAGCATTGATTCTATAAATTACTTTGGGCAGTATGGCCATTTTCATGATATTGATTCTTCCTATCCATGAGCATGGAATGTTTTTCTATTTGTTTGTGTCCTCTCTTATTTCCTTGAGCAGTGGTTTGTAGTTCTCCTTGAAGAGGTTCTTCACATCCCTTCTATGTTATATTCCTAGGTATTTTATTCTTTTTGTAGCAATTGTGAATGAGAGTTCACTCATGATTTGGCTCTCTATTATTGGTGTATAGGAATGCTTATAATTTTTGCTCATTGATTTTGTATCCTGAGATTCTGCTGAAGTTACTTATCAGTTTAAGGAGATTTTGGGCTGAGACAAAGGGGTTCTCTAAATATACAATATCTTTTTGACAATTTTGAACTTGTCAAAAAGACAGAATTTTAACTGCAGACATCTGATGTGGAGTCTGTACTCCTAACCTGCATTGGCCTCCTAGAGCTGCCGTAACAAAGTACCACAATTTAGTTGGCTTTGAGAAAAAAATGGAACATATTGTGTCACAGTTCTGGAGGCTAGAAATTTGAAATCAAAGTCTTGGCCCTTCTAAGGGCCCTAGGGAAGAATCTATTCCATGTCTTTCTCTAACTTCTGGTGACAGCAGGCAACCCTCAGTGTTTCTTGGCTTGTAGATATCATCCCTCCAACCTGAGCCTTCACCTTCACACAACATTCTCCCATGTGTGTCTGTGTCCAAATTTCCCTCTCCTTATAAGGACACTAGTCATATTGGATTTAGGCCCACTTTAATGACTTCATCTTAACTTGATTAAATCTGCAAATATCCTATTTCCACTTTATATGGAAACAGGTTAGGACTGCAGCAGATCTTTTTTAGGGAAACACAGTTCAACCCATAATATAACCACTAGGCCATGCTGCCTCTCATAATCTCAATTTCAGAAAACAAAACAAAACCAAACAAAACAAAACTTACTGAACCTTCTCAGAGATATTTTCTAGTGTTTGCATATTCTTTTTCATTTAGCAATATGAAATCACATTCCACTATCTATACTGGCAACTGAACAATTCCAGACCAAAAAAAAAAAAAAAAGTACCTGTGTGATGGTTAATACTGGCTGAGTGTCAACTTGATTGGATTGAATGATGCAAAGTCTTGATCTTGGGTGTGTCTGTGAGGGTGTTGCCAAATGAGATTAACATTTGAGTCAGTGGGCTGGAAAAGGCAGAACCATCCTTAATCTGGGCAGGTACAATCTAATCAGCTGCCGGCTTGGCCAGAATAAAAGCAGGCAGAAGAATATAAAAACGTTAGACTGGCTTAGCCTCTCAGCCTACATCTTTCTCCCGTGCTGGATGCTTCCTGCTCTCGAACATCAGAATGCAGGTGCTTCATCTTTGGGACTCAGACTGGCTTCCTTGCTCCTCATCTTGCAGACAGCCTTTTGTGGGACCTTGTGATCATTTGAGTTAATTCTACTTAATAAACTCCCCTTTATGTAGACATCTATCCTATTAGTTCTGTCCTTCTAGAATACCCTGACTAATACACAAAGAGTCTCTCTGACCCACCCGACTGCCAAATCCTGATTCTGGTAGTGATTATTTGGAAATAAGTATATATAAAGTCTTGAACTTCATTTTGCACCAAGTTGAAACTCTGAAGCAGATTTAGCCCGAAGCTAACATAAGACATCTGGAAGCAAGTCATACAAAGAATTTTAGAATATCCTGGCAGTTGGAGCCTGATAGGTCCAACCACCACATTTCATAGGTGATTGGCATGAGTGTCAATGACCTATCTGACATCACATGGCTGATTATGACAGCAGGAAGAGAATGCAGTCTCCTGGCCCACAGCCCAAGTCTCTTCTCAGGCCTCCTACGGCTGCTGGTCTTCTGTCTGTGTCCAGTGTGCCAAGGGTGCTCCTGGGGCTCTGCACTATCTTGGACTCCCAAAGAGGTGGGAATATCCAGCAAGGTGTGCACACATGCTCCAAGACAAGTGCTCCTACCCCACTTGCCTTCTGAAGTATCTCATTTTACAGTGAAGCTGAGCAACACCAGGCTGGGTAGCAGGAATGTTCTGAGTGCCAGGGTTTTATGCATGGTCCCAGGAGCCTACTTTCACTCTAGAATCCTTGGTTGTAAATGACACCTTAACAGCACTTCCTTTCTGCACTCGTTTCAGTCTGACAATTCAGATATGAAAACATTTGCCAAAGAGATAAGTGTAGAGTAAAAGACTCCAAAGAGAATAATTACATAGGTTCACCTCGGAGAATATTACTCTTCTCAATTAGACCTAGTTGGCAGTGTCTGATCGGGAGGCTGAGCAGAAAAACATTCTCCATTAAGTACCATGCTCCAAGATTTCCCAGGTCAGGGAGGCAGAAAGGAGAAGCTTACTTTCTCCATGGTTGTCCATACAAAGGAAGGTGCAGCCTGTAGCAATTGTGGTGTCCAGCTTTAGAAACTATTATCTTACCAAATGGCTTTCCCACCAAGAATTGAGCCTGTTTAAATAAATCAACCGTGAAAAGCTCTAGTGTGGATCACAATAAAAACTCTATTTAATGGCTACTCAATAGAATAATTTAGACTAAAATGTCTATCTACACAGTTCTTTTATGAAAAGGTAAAATCAAATCTCATCCCACCTTGTTTTCTGAATTCTGTCCTGTTGGGGCCAGGGTGGCAGGCATATTTATGCCCAGATAGTAAACTGGGATATGGGATGTAGGGAGAGTCAGGCAGCTGAGAGCAGTAGAAGTCTTGATTTTCTGATGCCCAGCTTGTTCATGCTTTTTTACTTTGCCGCTTGAAGTGTGAGCAATTTATTCCTGGGTAGGTAGGATGTATGAGAGTGCCTTAGGGTTGTTCTCCCTGCCTGAAACTTCCTCCCAGCCCTCTTCTCCCTGTGAGTAACTCCCAAGGCAGCCTGGACACTATCAAGCAATCCTACCATTCTTCCAGCATTTATGAGTCCCACCCCAGGGGCAGATGATGGGGAGCAGGCATGGGAGGGAAGCTAAGAACTGATTGGGCAGAAGCAGTTAGAGAAACTGGGAATAAAAGAAGAAAAATGAATTGTGCCCAGAGACAGTGCCTAGAGTGAAAAACCAAACCTGCATCACTCCAAGGGATCCGCATGGGACTAAGAACTGAATTGAAATCAGAGATGGAGGGGCAGCTCAGTGGAGAACCATACAAGGCAGAAAAGAGAAACAAATGGGAACCAATGGGCAGGTGAAGCTGGGAGGCCATGACCAGCGCCCATAACCAGCTGCACAGGTGAAGCCTCGTCTAGTTGGTGTTAGCTGCAGCAATCAGTGAAGAGCTTTTTGTTGGGGGCAGAACAGTGCAATGGAGTAAGAGACTGTGTTAAGTTAAAAGCACAGTAAGTGAGGGAACATTTTTCGCATTGCATCCTGTTTTCTCTGACACTTGAAGTGAGGGTGTGCTCTTGCTCACCTCTGTGTTCCTGACACCTAAACAAACAATGCCTGCTACAAAGTGCATGCTTCAAAAGTGGGCATTATTTTGTGTTGTTCAGCTTCCCAAATGCAAGAATTGTCTTCTGATAAGACAACCATGAGAGGTGATTAGGAGCTTCCACTTGACCCTTTCACCTGCATTCAGGTAAAGCAGTTCTCTTCTCTCTGGGAAGTTCTAGCTATAAAAGAACGTTTCATACATTGCACATCCCTGTGACATGTGCATTTGAGCCTTAGCTCTACCCTCTGGAGCCACTCAAAATAATTCTCACATTATTCCTTTTCCACATGAAAGTGCCACCCCAAGGATAGAGGCTTGCAGAATGCCCCTAGTGATGTCCTCTGAAATTGACATAATCCTGTATCCTTTCTTCAGAGAGGCTGATATGGAATAGTGTAAGCTTGGAAACCCATGATGGAGCTTTACCTTCCCATGCCCTTCCTTAGTCCTAACCTTTGTCAGACCCAACATTCCCACCATTTTCTCTCTCAGGGCCTTCTTGCCAAGTAAATTTCTTCCAATAGTACCACAAATGTCATTTCCTCCCAAAAAAAACCTTCCCTATGCACCCCCTTCAACTACAGTGGGTCCCACTATTTTATCTAACATCACCCTACGCTTCTCTTTTGTGATATACTTCACAATTGCAACTTAATCAATTGTGGAATGAGTTATTTGGCATCTGTATCTCCTGCTGGAAGGTAAGCTTCATGTCTGTCTTACTCATCTTAACGCTTAGCTCAATTTATTAAGCACTTAAAATTTTTTTATTGAAGTTTCTTGATTTTTTTTTACAAGAGATCAGCATCGAGTTCATACTTCTAGAGTTTATGACTTTCGATAAATGATATTGTCCCTGAGGCAGTTTATCAAATGCTCGGCTTTTAGAAGATGGAAAGGTCAAGCAGATGTCTGGATAATGGAATTTGACCATGACATTGCCCTGTATAGACTCTGTTTCAGTTACCACATCAGCACTTGCATTTTGCACCTGATCAAGTAACACAGTATGCTCTCACCCAGTAACACCAGTCACTTCTGTCTTCTCTCCTTTTACATTCAGTAATGTTCTCCATCATGCATTCATGCTTCAATTATGTGGATGGCCATAAATAGCTGAGGCTTTGGCCCATGCTCATCACTTCTATTTCATCAGTTTGTTTCCTTTGAACAAGACGAACCTTTGCATGTTGTTCTAAATGCTAGCCCACAAGGTCCCAGTGTTTTCTACGACAGTGGATTTTAACTCCTACTGTTAAAACTCCAGGTTAGCTTTATTTATTACTTATAATCTGTATACAACCTGAGATCATAAATATAGTTCTCAAACATCTTCCCTGTTATTTTCTTCAGTAAATTACTGGGCACCGCCCGCATCACTGTTCTTTCTGTGCCATACCAGCAGTCTCTCATCATATCTACTTTATAGGCCTTTTTTCTCCTCCCCCTCAAATTTCAGTTTGAAGCTTTCTTAATTAGGTTGGTGAGTCTCTTGCTTTCTTTCCTTTTTCTTTACTCTTCCCAGTGTTTTTGGTGCACACGTTGCCTCTTGTCATTTTGCTTTCATGAGCCATATTTGAGAAAACTCAAGCTTTGACTATCTCTGGAGCTAGAGAGTTCCGTTTTCAAGTTTTCTTTTCTCTTTCAAAATTACGATTACTAACTTAGAAGGAGAATTGAAACTGGCATCTGTGTCCAGGAGTTCTTGAGATTCCTAACCCCAATTTTGTTGTTGTTGTTTTTGTTGTTGTTGAGATGGAGTTTCACTCTTGTTTCCCAGGCTGGAGTGCAGTGGCACGATCTTGGCTCACTCCAACCTCTGCCTCCCAGGTTCAAGTGATTATCCTGCCTCAGCCTCCCTAGTAGCTAGGACTACAGGCACCTGCCACCATGCCCGGCTAATTTTTGTAGTTTTGGTAGAGACAGGGTTTCACCATGTTGGCCAGGCTGGTCTCAAACTCCTGATCTCAGGTGATCCACCTGCCTTGGACTCCCAAAGTGCTGGGATAACAGGCGTGAGCCACCGTGCCTGGCCTCCAAACCCCAATTTTTATAGGAAAGGGAGAATCTTTTGGATGGAAAAGTACAAGAAGGACCACTGGTAGATCCTACCAGCAGAAAGATAGTGGGTTTCTAGAGTCTCTCAGCCTCTGTCCTATGTGTCCTATAGACATATATCCTAGATACCTGAGAAGGAAGAATGATAATCATAAAAATACTGGACACTTATTGAAGACCCACCATGTGCCAAACAATTTTAAATACTTCCACTCATTAACTTGTTCAACGCAAGTGATGGAAAATGGTGAAGTTGTCTGTTAACCACTGAAGGCCCTCCGTGTAGCATGCCCCATATCTCTTTTGGACCAGTAATGGGAGTGCTAAAACCTGCTACTTATCATCATTCCTCTCCATTATTCTGTGAAGCATAGCACACTAGTCCTTAGAGAGCAAATCCAGCTTCCCCTCACAGTAGTAAATTAGCTCCTCCTCAGAACTCTAGGGATATAGGGTTTCATCTCCTTCATCTTTCTTCTCCATGTCACATTCTTCTAATCATCAACACCTTGCCTGCTTTTAATTTCCTCTTATATCCTCCAATATTTTTTCCTTATTCTGTCTTTCTTGGATCAAACTTCCTGCTCATCTGGAAGGGTTTCTTCAGCCCTTTCAAGATGCCAGGTTCCAGAGCAGTTTTCTCCATGTCCTTTGATCTTACACCCAAGCAGGAGATCAACCATAGTACAGGAACGACCATCCCCAAAACCCACACAGTGAAAGTTGACATAATTTCTCATGCCCAAGGATGAAGATCTCATTCTTTTAGTTTGATCCTCTGGGATAAGCTATACAGACATTAAGACACAGCTAGAAGGCAAGAAGGCAGGCAGGCAGGCAGGCAGGCAGGCAGGCAGGCAGGCAGGCAGTAAGGAAGCAAGGAAGGAAGGAAGGAAAGGAGGAAGTGGGGAGGGGAGAAAAAACATTGAAGACATAAAAATTTCATTTCTTTGTTTTTTTCTTTTTTTGGAAACAAGGTCTTGCTCTGTCACCAAGCCTGAAATGCAGTAGTGTAATCAAGGCTCATTTCAGCCTCAACCTCCTGTGCTCAAGTGATCCTCCAACCTCAGCCTCCCAAGTAACTGGGATCATAGGCATATACCACTGTGACCAGATAATTTTTTTCATTTTAAAATTGGTCGTACAGATGGGGTCTCACTATGTTACCCAGGCTGGTCTCAAACTCCTGAGCTCAAGTGATCCTCCTGCCTCAGCCTCCCAAAGTATTGGGAATACAGGTGTGAGCCACCACACCCAGCCTAAAAATCACATTTCTTCTATTTCTACAAGAGAAATGTGTAAATTTGGTGCACCACCCCAAAAAATCAGTTCTCCAGATCCATGCATACTTCATTGCCACTTTCTCAGACCACTCTTCAGTTATTTAATTGTTACTGATTACTTCCTTTAAGATTTGCAATCATAGGACACATCTACAGATGAAGATGTTCTGGAAGCTCTATTGAGTCTTCCTGCCATTCCCATCCTTAAGGGTAGCTAGAAGGAGGAAGGAAGAGTCCACTTCTGTGCTTCTGAGAGGGGAAATAGCAGGTGGCATGGGGGCTCCTGCTCCTATACTACCTAGGTGATTCTCCATTGTCCTTTTCATGGTGGAGGAGGGCCATGTTCAATAAACAATTCATTCAACAAACGTTTGTTACAACCCTATTCCATGCTAGACGGTACCTAGGCACTGGGTATATGAATGAGTATCACAGGCAAGTAAAAGGTTTAAAGAATTTAGCTGAAGAATACTACTAAAAATATGCAATTTTTTAAACTTTGAAGAACCTATTATAGAGCCTAAAACATTGTAGCTCCTCAATGAGTATTTGTTAAGTGAATGAATGAATGAACAAATGAATTTCTATTGTAACTAGTGGGGAATGGCTTTCTTCAGCCTCTGGGCAAATACTGCCTACTTGATAATAACAGTGACGTTACTCTACGAGGGCTAAGCTGACTCACACTGATGTGTTTCTACATGCGTGTTGTGTTTGCAAGTCTTCATCTCTGTCAGTGAAACATCTTTTCAAAGAACATTAACATTTTCCTATTTCAACCTGTACCACACTGACATAGTTCAGGCCCTGATCTATACTCTATCCATATCTGAGTATGTCATTTCCTCATTAGTCTGTCCTGCATCCCACCATCACCATCACACCAGCCCCATAACATTAAGGGTAGAGTCCAAAGGTTAGCAAGACTTAAAGGGTCTATTGTGAGGGGGCTGCTGAGTATCCCTCAAATCTCATTTCTTGCCTCCTCACAATCATACTATACTTCCTATCAATTATTAGTTCTTAGAGACAATTAAAAATGCTCTCATTTCTTTGTGTCTTTGCACAGGCTGTTTCCTTTTTTTCCTGGATAACACCCACTGGTCTTTGAGGATTCAACTCAGGCGTCCTCCCACTCAGGAAGCTTTTCTAGAAAAACCCAGACTGACTTGGATGCCTCTTCTAAGGCTCCCAAAGCATTCTGCCGCTGAAATTGTCAGCTTTTAAAAATATATATCTCACCAATTACACCAGCTGCTCGAGGGCAGGAACTGTACCTTAATCTCTGTTGTACCTCTAATATCCATCCTAGGGTCTGGAACAGTGTGTGTGTGTGTGTGTGTGTGTGTGTGTGTCTGTGTGTGTGTGTGTCTGTGTGTATGTGTGTATGTAGCCACAAACATATATAGAATAGAGAAAGACAAAGAAAACAAAAAGCACCTGGCTCCGGAATCTTTGCCTCTCAGAGGTAGCTGGCAAGCAGACAGGAAATGGCCAATGTTGACTGAGTTCTCTCTCTCTCTCTAAAGACTGGAAATAAGCCAAAGGAACAGAATATTCTAGCACTTAGAGGAACATTGCAGTCTAAGAAAGAAAAAAAATCCGGCATTTTAAAAAGGCATAAACCTTTGGAGAGTCACAGAGATAGAGAGGTACAAATTAACAGCTTGCAAATTGCATTATTATTATTATGTTACTGGGATTTTAGGAGATACTTGATGATGCAATCTTTTGGCATTATTTCTATGTTTGGGGAATATGGATCTGTAGGAAATACAGACTATCAGTGGAGTCTACCTGCAGCATTATTAAGAGATAAATATTTCAGAGCCTCTGGCACCCTCTGGCTACATCCTTTCTCCTCACCTAGCAGGTTCGTCTGGGGCAACAGGTCACATGTAACCAGAGTTCCTGCCCTGGTCACCCCATAGTCAAGTGGTGCTTCACTGATGAAGTGCCACCATCATCCTGATCCCCTGACCCTCTCTGTGCATAAGGCAACTTGTATGTTCAGGCTCACTCCTCATGGACCCTGCTCTTTAAAGGGAAAGGGAACATTCATTGAACACTTTCCATGTGACGTTCTCATCCGACTTGCAGTTTCAGAAAAATATGGCCATTTTATAATGGTCAAATTTAGTCTCTGGAAGATGAATAAACTGCCCATGATCACAAGGTTAGTAAATGGTAAAGCCAGATTCAAATCCCAGACAGCCTAATTCTAAGGACTGAGTTCCTTCTGTTACAATGAGCTAGTCATGCTGAGGTAGACTTAAAGTGTCTCTTTCCCCAGTTAAAAATGTATACTTTAACTGGGACCTTTGGTTCCTTACCCCAAAAATGTGCCCACCAAGGCCACACCAGGTATCATAGCAAAATTGGCAGATGGGAGGATACTGGCCATGAGTGTCTCACAGCTCCCCTTCAGATTACATCTGTCTGGGTACCGTGGACTCTTGAGAATTGTTCTAACAATCACTGTACCAAGGTATTTTTTTTTAATTGCTCAGCATGTACAATCTAAAGCAAAATTATATGGAAGTTCATAGTGAAGTAAAATAAAACACCTCATCTATCCACAAAACTGCCTTTGTATTTATAATTTCATCAGGAAGGGCAAACTTATAGAAAGATAATGGCACCATTTATTCTCAAAAGCAGGTTTATACCTGTAACTACATATGAGTTAAGGTTAAACACTGTAATCTCTTTTCATGCATTTTTAAAATTTTAATTTGTGTTTGAAATATTTAGATGGCTTCTTTGTACCCATGAATAAATAATCCTATATATGCTTTTTTGGCCCACTTAGCAGAGAATGACTGATCTATATTTTAATCCTTTCTCATAGAATCACTGAAATCACAGTTACCTAGGTTCTCAGGAGAGAAAATGTGGACTCTGCTTTTTGCATTCGCTTTTTCTCTTCTCTCCTGACTCTGGACCTAGGAAGCAATAAAGGAGTGATCCTTCTGGAAGGGGAAGGGAACTTGGCACTGTGGAAGCTCTGGAAGTATCCAGAAGGATGATGTCATGTAACAGAAAGGCTGCTTCTGGGTCTCCTGTCTGCAATAGTCAGTTGCCACAAGGGGATTATCATGGAACATCCAAAGAAATATTACATACCTGCTTCCCCTAGGACTAGGTTCTAAACTGCCATAAAATTGCTTCCAGGATGCGTCTGTGGGAACCATGCTGAGGGCTTGGGTGGCTCATTATGATGGAGGCCTCAGAATGAACGTGAAACAACAGTGAGATATGGAGAAAGGTATTAATTTGAGACCCACCATTAGCAATAAAATTGTTGAGAAAAACAGTCAGAGTTCAGTGTTGGAGCCAGGTTTATTCTTGCACATGATTAGCTTAGTTAAACCACATCAGATGCCCTGAAGCCCGCCCCCGCCACTCTCACCACCTCACCTGAAACACAGAGTTTTGAGAATTAACAGCAATGAAAAAAATCACCTCATGAACATATTAAAGGGATTTTTGTTTTTTTCTAAGATTCTCTAAATGCTTTGACAAAATAAATCTAAAAAAATGTACATAAACTGTACATTCAGGGAACCTGGATATATCAGAAGTATTCATGGTCATAGGCCTTACGATGTTCACCATTTTCACTTTTTGGATTGAGATTCTAGAGTCTGGCACACAAGAAGTGATTTGGGGGGTGGGAGGCACATTGCTGGCACTAGGGATATATTAGCCCATTTTCACACTACTGATAAAGACATATCTGAGAATGGGTAATTTATAAAGGAAAAGAGGTTTAAGGGACTCACAGTTCCACGTGGCTGAGGAGGCCTCACAATCATGGCAGAAGGCAGAAGGCACTTGTTACGTGGCAGCGACAAGAGAGAATGAAAGAGCCAAGCAAAAAGCAAAACCCCTTATAAAATTGTCATATCTCATAAGACTCATTCACTACCTCAAGAACAGTATGGAGGAAATCACCCCCATTATTCAATTATCTCCACAAGTCCCTCCCACAACACGTGGGAATTATGGGAGCTACAATTCAAGATGAGATGACCAATTCTCCACTAAATACTTTTTATCAAAGAAAAAAAAACTATATTAAAGCACTTAAGTCTAATGGTATTAAAGAACACTTTAAGAAAACAATACATGACTAGAAAAACATACAAGGAAATACACTAGAACAGATTATTACTTTTCGCACTAATACTTGTCTGTTAAATAGAAAGCAACAGAAACGTATATAGAGATACGTAAGTGGCTTTAGTAGAGACCTGTGACCAAGAAAACAAAAAGTTAGACAAGGTCCTGAGGGAGTGTGTTCCACATAAGTGGGAATTATAATTAAAATTAACAATATGCTTGACAACATTGGTCTCAGGCTAATAATAGCTGGTATGTAAATAAAATAAATGTTATGGAAGCACACTGGCTTTGATAAAAATATATTTCATCTGCTATTTCTCTTTATCTTCACAAAAAAATCTCTCATGTGATATGCTAGGCAAAATACTATCTTTCAATTTTACAAATAAGAGTTATGAGGGACTGGAGGAAAAATTCAGAATGTATAATATTGTTACAGTAAGAATGCCTGCAGGATATCACACAGACAGTTATTATAGGACCTGGGACAAGATTCCAGGGCTCCTAATTCTCATTCCCTACTCCTTCCACCAGCCCAGTCCAGCTGCTCACACTTCTGTAGCTCAGCACCATCACAGGGCCCTGGGGACACATCAGTGAGATGAGACTGAATCGTGTTAAAGTAATGTTTGTGTGTAGAGACACTTGCACACTAAAATTGGATTTGACATGAAGCAGGGAGGGAATAATTGAAAGATGGATGAAGAATCATGATTAAATAAAATTCCTACAGGCCAGGACATGGACCAAGTTGAAAACACACTCCCTCTTAAAAGGGGTTCACCCACCTTGGATAGCTCAGATACTCCAGCTAGTGATCTGTAGTCATTCTTTCACATATGCTTTTCTTCAAAAATAGGTATTAAGTGGTTATTCTGTGACAGGTAGGTATTTGTGCTAGGTCCTAGAATTACAATGGTGCATGAGTGAGCTATTGCTCCATAACGAGCCATTTTAAAACTTGGGGACTTAAAACAATAAGCATTTATTACTGATCTGAAGTCCACAGGTCATCTGGGTCAGTCTCTGATCTGAGCCAGCCTCACTCACTCATGTGTCCACTGGCAGTTTGAATGGGAACCTAATTCACATGTCTGGCAGTTGGCTGAATGTTGGCTAGAGCAATAGGATGACTAGACCATATACCTTTTGTTCTCCAACAAACAGTTGCAGGGGACCAGGGGAGCAAGTGGAAGCATGCAATGCTTCTTAAGGTCTAGTATCAGAAGTTGCACACTGTCATTTCCACTGAATTATTTAGCTGAAGCAAAGACAATTCAAGCTCAGAAATAAGAGATGAGATAATAGAATCCACATCTTCACAAAGAAAGCTGAAAAGTTACACTGTAGGGCATGAGTGCAGGAAGCCATGAACAACTGGGCCATTTTTGTAATCAATCTACTGCAAATGATAAATCAGGCAGGCATTGACCCTACTTTATCAGAACACAAGAACTTTGTTGCTGCAACTTCTACCCATGAATTCTGGTTCATAGAAACAAAATCTAATTGCTTTCCACATGACCAGTTCTTCAAATGCTCGAAGTCATCTCTCATATTTCATGTGAGTTTTCCTTTAAGAATAATTATGTCAAGTTCCTTCCAACATTCACGATACAATGTGTAAGATGGGACTGTGCTGTAGTAAGAATGTTTATCTCATATGGGTTCTGAAAACAAAGAGGGAGAAATTATGGCAAGGATATGTTGCGACTTGTTTCATCTTAGAATTATGCTCTCAAAGTAACACATAGCTGCCTGGCAGAACAGCTCTGGCACATACACATGCATGATTGTGCATTTTAAAATGAAAACTATTAATGTCAAATATGGGATGAAATTGAATAAACTGGAAATTCATTCAAATTGGAAATAAATTCAAAATGTATAATTGGAGTGGAAATTAATTTTTTAATAACATGGAGATGAAGTAACATCAAAAAAGAAGAGATTTTTTACAGGCACAAAAGCAAGGGAGGAGTACATGATATTAATCTAAGTTATCTTCTGTCCACAAGATTTAGGGAAAATGACTAAAACGTAAGAGGTTTGAGGTCATTCAAATAAAGAGCTGAACATTAGAATCAGAGTAAGTAAGAGTAGGAAAAAAATAGGTTTAATGTGGGAGAAAATTAGTCAAATTTCTGTGGGGATTGTACCACCTATTAGTAGGAATAGTCAGAGATAATGGCATATAGTTTTTATCAACCAGGGAAAATTAATACCACCCTATTTTAAGTAATAGACAGCAATGAAACACTGAGTTTCCAGCATGACCAGAAAACCAATCACAAAATTCTCAAGTAGGAAGCCCTATGAGCCCCTTGAAATAAAAAACAGTCAAAAAGATACTTCCATGTCACAAATATAGATGATATTAAATTTGTTTCTCTGGTATCCATGGCATTATTTGGAGGAAAATTCATCCATAAAGCCAGATTGACTATCAGATTTAGTGTGGAAATACTTGAAGGATTTGAGTGTCTGCTCTTTGGAAGGGAATGAACAGTAGCCTATAAAGGGGTTTTGGTTTACAAGGAACTTTCTCTGAAAATGTTTTTGACTATAATAAACACTCCATCAACCAGTTCGATCACCCAATTTATTCATTAAGTTTGGCTCTGCCTGACTAATACAGATGTTTCCAAAACTCCAATTCAACTTAAAAAGACACAGAAATGGTACCACTGCTACCTCATCTTCAAAGACAATTCCAAAAAAATTTTCAAGGCATTTTAAATAAAGCAGCATTAGAATAAGTGGGTGGCCTTCTCTAGCAATTACTTTGAAGGAAGTTTTGGATACAGCCTGGGCTGCTTTTCATCCAGCAGACACTGGAAGGCATGCCAGCCAGTGTTCTGATTTAAAAATTTAGATTAAAGGTCAGGAAACCAGCACCCTTAGGCCAAATCCACTTCTCAGCCTGTTTTTATGGATGAAGTTTGGAACACAGCCCTGCCCATTTGTTTATGTGTTGTCGATGGCAGCTGTTGCCTACAACGGCAGAGTTGAGTAGCTGAGATGGAGACCGTACAGCCTGCAGAGCCTAAATATATGTATTATCTGCTATTTTTCAGAAAAAGTTTGCCCACTCCTGATTTAGACTATCACCAGTGTATGTACTTATTAAAATCATTTATTTTATTTTGTAATTAAGCTCTGCATTGTTATTATTTGTTGATTGGTTGGGTTATTTATTTGTCACATTTCAGTTTGTTTATTTTAAAACCACTTCATTGAAAAATAAAGCAGAGATACAGAAAACTACACAAACACATGTATAGTGTAATGAATTATTACAAAACAAAAACTCTTATACCATTACCCAGGTCAAGAAATAGACATTGCCAGCCATCCTAATGTCTTTCCACATGTCTCATCCCAATCAGAAAAACCTCCCTCTAAGTGCATAACCAATATCTTAATTTTTATGGTAATTGTTTTCTTACATTTTTATAGGTTTATCACCCAAGCATACATCTCTGGACACTAATTTTATCTTGCTCATTTAAAAAAATGAGGCTGAGCATGGTGGCTCATTGCCTGTAATCCCAGCAGAGGCAGACGGATCACTTGAGGTCAGGAGTTCGAGACCAGCCTGGCCAATATGGTGAAACCTTGTCTCTACTAAAAGTACAAAAATTAGTCAGGCTTGGTAGTACATGCCTGTAATCCCAGCTACTCGGGAGGCTGAGGCAGGAGAATCACTTACACTCGGGAGGCAGAGGGTGCAGTGAGCCAGGATCGCACCACTGAACTCCAGCCTAGGTGACAGAGAGAGACTCTGTCTCAAAAAAAAAAAATACATATTTTAAGTCACTTTAATCTACACTTCCCCTCCTTCACCACCGCCCCCACTCTCTTTTCCTTAAAATTTGTCTGTTGAAGGCTCCAAGTTACTTGAGCCAAAGAATTTCCCACAGTCTGGATCTTTCTCACTGGATGCTCATGGTGCAGTTCATCATGTCCCTCTGTCCTGGGTATTTTCTGGAAATCGAAAGCTGGATGCAGAGGCCTGATCAGATTGCTTTGGTTTTCTAAAACTGAATTTGTTTATGAACAAACTTCAGAAAGCAAATGGAATCAAACAGGCCACTTTAATAAACACATGAAAAAAATCATAACCACCAAGAAAAAGGTAGGACTAAGCAGTGTCATAAGCGCTCCCCCTTTCATCTGGTCCTCACAATACATTTTAGGGTGAATGTGTAACTGTTTAGGACTCTATTTTACAAATGAGAAAAGGGGGGCTCTAGAGAGTAAGGGGCTTGTTCAATATTCTTCAGCCAGGATGAGCAGACAGGCCTTCTGCCTTTCAGGCATCTGCATCCATTCTACCACTCCACAGTCTTCCTGTGTGTCTGTTCCCAGTCTGGCAGTTTGCTCAACTTCTTAAATGTGATACACATTAATTTAGCACCTACAAGGTGCTAGGTACTGTGCCAGGCACTGAGGGCACAGATAGACATGGTCCCTACCTTCAAGTCATAAAATGATCTACTGGAAGTGAATTACATCTTTATTATTCAGATAATTACTTAATTACCATGTGTTACATGCAATAAGATAAAAACATACAGTGTTTTTGGAGTGGGTAATATGATCAGTAACTCAAATGGTTAGGGAAAAGTGCTCTCTAAATTAAAAGGATGATATAAG
Organism: Homo sapiens; assembly: GCF_000001405.40. Lineage (NCBI taxonomy): Eukaryota > Metazoa > Chordata > Mammalia > Primates > Hominidae > Homo > Homo sapiens. The sequence continues at coordinate 147,533,201 of NC_000002.12, forward strand.
AGGTAGACAGGCTGAGAGGAGGAAGGAGTAGAAATGGAGGCAGAGTAGGCAGGGCCTTGACTTCTGGGCAGAATGAATGTATTTGTGAAGTCCGTGAAATGATAAGGGTCTCTCAAAGCCCTGGAAGAGATGGTATAATGCAGCATCTGAAGGTAGACTCTGCAGCTAGGCTGGCTGGCTTGGAATCCTTGTTCTGCCCCCAACTAGCTGCCTGACCTTAAGCAGGTTATTTTATCTGTGCTGCAGTTGCCTCGGTGCAAAGGAAGAATGAGAAACATAACAGCGGTCTTGGTTCCTTGGGGCTGTGCTAACAAAATACCTCTAACTGGGTGGCTTATAAACAATAAAACTTTGTTTCTTGCAGTTCTGGTGGCTGGGAGGTCCAAGAGCTAGGCAGATTCAAAGTCTGGTGAGGGTCTGCTTTCTGGCTCTCAGGCAGTTCCTTCTCTCTGTGTCCTCACACTGTGGAAGGGGCTAACTAGCTCCCTGGGACCTCTTTTATAAGGACACTAATCTCAATCATGAGGCCTCCATCCTCACAACCTAATCACCTCCCAAATGCTCCACCTCCTAATACCATCACATTGGTGATTAGGTTTCAACATATCTGGGGGGAACACAAACTTTCAGATCATAGCAACAACCCTATAGGAGTTAATTAATATAAACTACTCAAGCAGGGCCTGGCACATATTCAGCAGTTAATATGTATTTGCTGAATCAAAGAAGGTGAATATACTGGGCAAAAGGAGAAGTTGGTGGTGGTTACGCTGTCATGTTTGGACTTTATCCTAGGAATAGTGGTAGACCTTGAAGGTGTTGCACAGGGGGTGACAGGATCAAAGGGGTTGGAAAAACAAATGCCTGAAATAGCAACAACAGCAAAGAGAGCACAAGGCGCTTGATCATCTGACAACCCTAATGTTTTGATCTGCTACAAACTTCTGAGGAAAAGAGCTACCATCAACTAAATAAACAAATGACTGGATTAAAAATGAATGTACCCATATAAGCACCATCTCTTTCTCCACAACTAAAGAATAATCAGCTATGAATTCAACATTCAAAGAAAGATTATTTAGATGCTGGAAAAGCATGATAATCAGAATGTGATGTTTCTGTGCTTGCAAATAGTTATCTGTCCATGTGCTCCAAACTCAGACTAGATCATAACCTCCTTTCAGGACACGGATTAAGTCTTACATGTCTTTAGATTCCCTGCCTTGCATCTTTGCTCAGAGTAGGCACTCAGGAAATTCTTGTTGCAGTGGGTTGAACAATTCTGTGACATTTGATCTCAGAACAGTCTCCATTCATGCTGCTCTGAGCCAGGAGAATAGCCTACACAACGCCCATCTGTGATCAAGGTGGAGGCCTTGGTTATTAACTCATTAATGATTGCACCAAATAACATGAATTTCCAACAAGAGCTGCTGGAAAATCTGGGGAGTTTACAGGCTTGTAATATACTGTCACTACCTCACTACCACCTTATCTGGGAACCTTTAGAGAATCAGCCTTCCATTTGGTCGTGCTCCGGTATCTAGCATAACTGCAAAATGGTGAGCACTTTCTTGATAAGCCCAATACTCTTCAATACCATCTAACAGTGTTGTTTTGGTCACTCACTTGGTCCCAGCCATCTTAATGCCATTATGAGGTGAGACTTATAACCTACAGCTTGTTATCTGGTGACCTCCCAAAGAGCCACCAAAGAAACCATGGAAACGACTTCTCTCATGGGCCTCAAATACAGGGAGCATTTCCTCTCCCTGACTAATATAGGACCAGATTCATTCTTCTTAAGGTCAGAGTCAACCTCCACCATCACTGCCTGGGTGACCTTGGCCAGGGGCATTACCTCTTTCTGCCTTGACTTCATCATCTCTAAAGCAGTGCTCATAACAAGACACAGCTCATAGGGCTGCGAAGGACAGAACAATATAAATTGCTTTGCCCAGTACCAAACACACAAGTAAGAATTCAATTAACTTAAGGGGCAAATACCTTCCCAGAATCTTTAAAGCAATGAAATCCAGCCCCAGTTTTATACCATCCCAAATTCTGAAAAGAAACAGTGTTAATTCACTTTAATTTTAAAAGTGCCATACAGCACTTTTAAGAGGAGTGGGAGGGTGCCATGAAGTCAAAAGATCTGGTGTTTGCAATTCCAAAAAGAGGTCAGGAATCATAGCCTAGGAGTGGACTATTTTGGTCTGGTCTCACTGCCCCAACCAGACACTGCAGAAATTGTCCTGCACCTCCTGGGTCACAGCAAATCTTGAAAGGGACCCATGGAAAAAGGGGCCTCTCTCAGGATACACAGCAAGGATATTACAGGAGATAGAATTCCAGAAAAGGACATGGAAGCTCTGGGACAAACTTTGCTCAGCAAAATCCCAAACTTAGTTTACACGTTTTCCAATGTAAATTTAATATACCTCTCAAAGGGAGATAAACATAACAAGTACATGCCCTAGTGGTGTAGTTCTTTTTCTCTTTCTTTCTCTCTCCTTCCTTCCTTTCTTCCTTTCTTTCTTCTTCTTTCCTTCCTTTCTTCCTTTCTTTCTCCTTCCTTCCTTCCTCCCTCCCTTCCTTCCTCCCTTCCTTCTCTCTCTCTCTTTCTTTCTTTCTTTCTCTCTCTCTATCTCTGTGTGGCTGTCTCTCTCTTAAGCAGTTCAGATTTAAGAATATAAGATGAATCCTTACTATGTACTTCAAATAAATGGCAATACATTCAGCTTTCTGAATCACTGGCAGCAGACAAGCCCTGTAAAAGCTATCATATGAGAGCATTTACTTGCATTCAGTCTTTAATAAATTAAATATCCCTGTTTCTTATTCATAAAGGCACAAATGTGGCCACTGACATATGGAACAATTATTGCCTTTTGATTACAGATAAATTTTCACTTCTGACAAGGCTAAGAACTTTTTAGCCTAGAAACCCAGACTGCTTTATTCTTAATATTTTCTAGAAAAGGAAATTCTATCTTTCATTAACTTTAAAGTCTGCACAGATTTATTCTTAATGATAAAGTATCCTCATCTGCTACATCAACCACCAGTGATTATTAGCATGGAGATATTGTTTTAAATCTAAACACACATAGTCACCAGCCATCCTTTCTGGATTGCTTAGAAATCAAATAAGAGATGAGCTAAGTGTAGAGGAGAAATTGGACACAAACCTGTCTTCCTTTGCCCCACCCATTTTCCAATTTCCTGGAAATGCAAATATTGACCTTGAGAATTTCAAAGGTCTCTCACAATTTTGTACCTTTTTATATCAACAAATCAGTGTGGGCAAGCTCATAAAACTCTTGTCAGTATACTCAAAAGAGTTGAAAATAAACAAATGCGGTTATAGGTTAAAATAAGATTAGTGAAAGGGAAGGCTAACTGTTGTTATATCAAGTAGTGTTAAGCACAAACTGATCCCTTTTCTAGATAGATGATTGATAGATAATAAAAAGACACATAGATAGATAGATAGATAGATAGATAGATAGATAGATAGATAGATAATCATTACTATTATTTAGCCAGTGTGGGACATTGAGCCTGAAGATTCCTTTTCTATTCAAGGAAATAGATTCTCTTAGCCAGGTCTTCAATAAGGTAAGGGCATCACTCTCCACCCATCACTACAGGGCCCAGAACAACCCTGAATCTAATGGGAGCCTGGAATCAAAGGGACTTGCGAGTGGATTAGGTAGAAGTTCTGAGCTCCACAAAGGAAAATGTGTTCCCAACATTCAAATCACTGCCCTTTCTGGACTGCTCAGTGTCAGAATGTGAGGAGTCAGCTACTGGACACAGCCACCCTTTTACACATCTCCAAAGGCCCCATACTCATTGTAGTTTATATGTGCAGTGCCCAGCCTACACAGCAGGATACAACAGCCTTGGTCAGCAGTTCTGTCTGTCCAGGTAACACAGTGGCCAGGGTGAAGCTCTACAAATAGATTAGGCACTCCAGAAAAACACAGCCTTTTTAGCAAGGAAAGGAGCTAATTGGTCCAGTAAACACTCACCAAGCGCATTCATAGCCTGAGTAAGAGCTGAGACAAGAACTTGCTATGCAGGACTCTGAACACTTTTACAACTAATCTTCATATTGTCCAAGTAAGGTAAGAACTGAAGGACAATTTCCTGAGATTATCACCAGGCTCCCAGGCCCTTGTTCTAATTCTGATCTTAACGACCTGTGTGATTTAAGGCAAATCACTCAAAGTACATATGGTAAATCTCTCAACCATATCCCATTTATACCTACCTTGCTTAGATGAGGAAGTAAACATGCAAAGTTTTGAATGTTAAAAGTGCTAAACATATATTCACTATTATTGTTATTACAATGTTATCACGATGGGGCAGTGTTAGAGAGAACATGGAATTCTAATCACTCACCTCCTGGCCAATTTATTTAACTGTTCTTTGACTCAGTATCCCCTTTCCATAAAATGAGCATTAAAAAAACTACACTAGGCTGGGCGCAGGGGCTCACGCTTGTAATCCCAGCACTTTGGGAGGCCGAGGCGGGCAGATCATGAGGTCAGGAAATCAAGACCATGGTGAAACCCCGTCTCTACTAAAAATACAAAAAAATTAGCCGGGCGTAGTGGCGGGCGCCTGTAGTCCCAGCTACTCAGAGAGGCTGAGGCAGGAGAATGGCGTGAACCTGGGAGGCGGAGCTTGCAGTGAGCCAAGACTGCGCCACTGCACTCCAGCCTGGGCAACAGAGCAAGACTCCATCTCAAAAAATAAATAAATAAATAAGTAAAAAATAAAAAAACTACTCTAATTACCTCATTCAATCATCTGTGTACCCAATTCATGATACATTGTAGGTTCTCAACAAACGTGAAGTTCCTTCTCTTCCTTTTGCCAGTAGTGTTCCAAGGTTCTAAGGAGGACTTCTATTTTAAAAGGGTGATCATTCACTCCCCAGGAATCCTATTCCAGGGAGCCCAGAGAAATCCCCTACAAAGAACTGGGTCCAGCTGCATGGAAAGGAATTTCACAGAATTTGGCTCTTCCTCCACAGATTCCTTAGCTGTCTTTTCTATCCCAGATATATTTAACACAAGCAGCTCAAGGGAATTGAATAATATCTCTGGCCTGATCTGAGACACGAAGCCATCTGGAGAACATAACTTCTAACACTTATTCCTGGTTGCATCACACCTAACCACAAAACCCATCCATGCTCAGGGTCTCTCCATCACTTTCCTCTCTCCATGGACTTAAATGCACAGGCCTGCAATGACCTTTGAAAGCTTAGCAAGAGCAATCTATTCTCCCTTTAGTCTCCTCTAGGCTGTTTCCCTAACGAGGGAACAGTAATATGGAGAAGGCAAATTAGAAATAAAGCCAAACTATCCAAAGTAAGTAATTTCTGCCTTGTTCTGCAATGTATGGCACATGTTTTCCTGGGAGCAAATTTGTTTTCTTAATTGGGTTTTATTTAGGCAACTAGCAAAATTAATTTCCATTCCCTGAGCACTTTTCATCTGATAGCAATGGGGCAGCCTGAGATTAAATGTTCCCTATGAATAAGCAAAGAAGGAATTGTTTGTGTGGCAAATCAATAACAGCACTTCTTTGATACAGACCTAAAGATCTCAAAGCTCTATCTCAGAAATTGTACGTAGTGTTTTGCTGAACACCCAACCATCTATTAAAATCTGCCTTCCTCACTGCATATTTCATCTTAATTCTTATCCTGGTACCATTCCCAAACTTTCTATCCCCATTGGGCTAAAGCTACTCCAGAAATCCTTCCACACGAGATGCAATCATTATACTGCTCTCTGCCACGTTGTCCCAAGCCAAATAGAACTGGCTGCCTCAAATGCCTGGAGGTGGCTTATTGTTACTAATACATGTTTTACAGCATAAAGAATGGCTGAGTATCCTACAGTCCTGAGGTTTGGCTCTATTTGGTGGGCTGACTCTGCCTGTGACCAAGAAAACAGCTGAGTAGCAGGGTGGTAAGTATACATAAGGCAACTAGACTCTTAGAAAAAAGCAGTTAGAAAATGTATTCAATAAATATTCACATCCAATTGTGGTCTCTTCCTTTAACTGTGACAAAGGGAATACAAACAAATCATCAGCACACAATTAGCGCTCTATCCATGGAACAGAATTTCTCAAAATTTCCACGTGTGACCCACCCTAAGACTGCCACGTATGCCCAGATGCTAGTAAGAAAACTGCCTGAGATGCAAAGAAGGTGCCGCTTCTTTGGTTACCTTTGCTCACTGTCCCATTTGTTTTCTCAGACTCTGGTTTTGGTAAATCTTCTTTGCCCTGGTAGTTGACAAAGGGCCAGATTTGTAGCTGGTCAGTGGTTTGAAACTAATTGGTCAAAACATCAGGGTGTTTTCCTAAAGCAGGAGGAAATAAACAGCCCTAACTGTAATAGCATTTATCAGGAGATTTTTTTCCATAAGCACATAATACAGACAGGTAGAGAGAGAATCAACATGATAACAAATTCATCAGTATAATTATTGTCAATGAATTTGATCCAAGGTGACTTAAGTGATTTCATTTGGAGAGTAAATGTTGGGAACAAAAGTATTAGGATGGTAGTACAAAGGGTGGTTAAGACATGGGTGATGTGGTCCAACCTGGGTTCAAATTGCAGTTCTACTATTTACCAGCCGTGTGACCCTGAGCTAGTAATTTAACCTTGAAGCTTCAGTTTCCCCATATTATGTGCTTAGTGAAGTATAACACACAGTAAGAACTTGACAAAAATGAGCAACAATAAAGCCTCAAATACCAGACTGTTATGGAACTGTTTTAGTCTCAGTTTTAACTAAGCCCAAAATGGTTCCAATAATTTCCAAATTTCAATGTTAGATACCAGACAACTTGAACAGGATTTACAAAGCAGATGTTCTAAAACTCTTTCATGACCCTTGTCTCCTCACCCACTCATGAGTATAAAAAAATAATTTGGTACAACTAGTAGAATTAGAATTAAAGATTGGAGTGGAATATTTTTTTGGAAATGTCTACCCTCACTTCAGTACTAATGAGAGAGACTTCAAGGAGATCATTCAGTGAGCTTGTTATGGGTCTCCTGGATGTCAAGCAACACAGTAAATGGAAAGTGGGCCACACCTGAAAAATATAAAGGACCAGACATAGCTAGAGTCCTGTGAAAGAAGAGGAGAGAATTGTCACTGGGAAGTAATTGCATTCCCACAAAAAGAAAATCTCAGATGTGGGCCACATGAAAGAGATGGCAGTAAGGTGGGGAGAGTGGCCTTATAGTTCCTTCCCAGGAGAGACAAGGTAGGCAGAACTCTAAGATGCCCTTCAAGATTCCCACCCCCTCCCATATACGTCTGTATGATTCTCTCCCCTTGTATAATAACCCCCATTGGAGCTAGGCACAGTGGCTCATGCCTGTAATCCCAGAACTTTGGGAGGCCGGAGTGAGCAGATCACCTGAGGTCAGGAGTTTGAGATCAGCCTGGAGTTTGAGACCAGCCTGGCCAATATGGTGAAACCCTGTCTCTACTACAAATACAAAAATTAGCCGAGTGTGGTGGCACTCGCCTGTAATCCCAGCTACTCAAGAGGCTGAGGCAGGAGAATCGCTGGAACCCAGGAGGTGGAGGGTTGCAGTGAGCTGAGATTGCACCACTGCACTCCTGCCTGAGCAACACAGTGAGACTCCATCCCAAAACAAACAAACAAACAAACAAACAAAAAAAACCCATTGGGTGAGACCTGTAAGAATGATAGGATAACACTTTCATGATTAGGCTACTAGTCAGTTGGCTTTGAGTTGATCAAAGGAGAGATTTCCTAAGTGGGCTTCACCTAATTAGGTGAGACTTTAAAAGAAGACAGTGTCAGAGAGACGTGCTAGCCTGGAAGATGTAGCCTCCATGAGTTCTGGAGCTGCCAAGAAATACATGTTGCCAACACCCATGTGAACTTGGAAGATGACCCCAAGCCTCAGATGAGATCACAGCCCTGGCCAACACGTGGATTTCAGCCTAGTGAGACCCTGAGCAGAGGACCCAGTTATGCTGTGCCTCGACTTCTGACCTACAGAAACTGTGAAATAGTTTCCGTAGGTCAGAAGATCTATGAAGGAGTGGATCCTTCATGAATGGCTTGGTGCCATCCTCCCCATAATGAGTAAGTTTTTGCTCTATTACTTCCTGAAAGAGCTGGTTGTTAAAAAGAAACTGGTACCTCCCCACTCTCTCTTGCTTCCTCTCTCTCCATGTGATCTCTGCACACACCAGCTCCCTTTCCCTTCCCTTCCCTTCCACCATGAACGGAAACAGCCTGAAGCCCTTGCCAGCAGCAGATGCTGGTCCCATGCTTCCTGTGCAGCCTGCAAAACAACCTCTTTTCTTATAAATCACTCAACCTCAGATATTCCTGTGTGTCAACACAAATGGACTAAGACACCTCATTTGTGATAGAACATAACAGATGAAAGATCTTCAGTAGCTGGTTGCTGAAGGAAGAGTGCCAAAATCTCACAAGTGCTCACAGGAGAATCAGGTTCAGCCTTCTGCCTGGCCCACCATGCTCCAGTGCCTGCTCACAATGGTACCAGACACGCAGACCTTCTCTGTTCCCCTACCTTCCTCCCATACTCACCCCCAACTTGAACCCACCACTGTGGGAATCAGGGTCAGAAACCGTAATCATTAAGATGGGGAGAAGGGTAGAAATGCAACACCAAGAGATGTAGAGGAGGCCTCTCAGCTCCCCACCCCCTTTTCACTGCCAGCTTCCTACCTGCATGGGCCTAATATTTTGAAGGAGGAAGTTTGAGTGAGGCTCCTAGTCTTGATCATTACACTAAACTGACCCTAAGTAAACTGAGTAAATACAAGTATCTGAGTCTAGCTTCCTTCTTTCTAGTTAAAGTAGCTAGAGAAGATTTTGTCTCTGAAAATAAGAAGATACATTCCAGGCCTAGTCGAGATTTTATCTAAGGGTAAGGGAAAAAATGACTGGGTTTACAAACAAACACTGAGAAGAAAGAGTTGCTTTACAGTAGCACCAGCCTAGTCTGTTGTTTGAACATAAGAGTTACTGAGATATTAATTATAATTAAATACACCAAGATAAATCTTCTTCTCTGTTTCTCAATAGGAACCATCCAGGTAGAAGAATGAAGTGAGAAAATCAAGTCCACATTAGCTGAAGAGAGCCTTGAAATTGACCTAGTGTCATGACTGACAATACGGATCAGGCCATGAACAGAAATTCTGCCACTGGGTTGTGATGAATTCTGCTCTAATGGGGATCTCAGACGTTTAAGGGGAAGGGAAAAGGGGAAATGGTTGGGAGACTCAACATGGCTTTTAAGGTCAAGTCTAAAATGATGGCGACAGCTCCCCTGACAACCCTCTTGCCTCACAGAAGTGGAAAGGATTTCTTGCACACTAAGAATAAACAATTTTCCCAGGGTAACTCATTATTTATTCAGTGCAAGTACAATTGAGAACAGTCCCTGGCAAGATCTGTAATTTACCTAAAAGTCATGGTTTTCACTCCTAAAAAGACCAATTGCTGTCTAAAAGAGTATTTTCAATATAAATTTTCTTCCTGAGATACAGGTATGCATGAGTGGTAAGTACATACAGGCACACACTCACAGACACGCCTCCTTTTTAACAGATGTCCATGTTTTGTTAAAGTATGAGAAAGCAGCCAAACTGCATTTGTATTTTCACTCCTACAGAGAAAATGTTGGGCCATAGAGAGAACAGGGAGTCTCAAGCAGCAAGCATGGAAAATGATGATGAGACAATTGGGTTAAGAAGAAGGGCCTGGGATGGCTCCAGAAAAGGTGCAGAGAGAGGCAGATACATAAAAAGCACCAAGCCAGAAGCAAGAGTGAGGACCCCAGCATCCCTTCAACTTATCTAGCTTACTCCTGGTGAGGACTAGGCCTGGAGGGCTGGGCTCTAATGGCAAGGTCCACATCACCACATTTGGTCCTCATCAGAAAGGAGGCAGCTGCTTAGGGAGTGTCCTCCTGAGCAGTTTCATCCCTCATTCTGAAAGAGTTAGGGCTGACCATTGCATACTTAAGCAGTGAGTTATGCACAGGCTTACTGAAAGTCTCTGTCTGTGACCTTGCTTCCTCCCACCTACATTCCCTGCCTGGAATGCCTCTGTGACACTCTTTCTTCTCTTTATTGAAATCCCAGGCTACCTTTAAGACCCAACTCAACACCTACCACTCCATAAAGTCCACAAGTACATCCCTCATCTCTAAATTCCTATGAAATTTAGAAGGAAAGGAGAAGGGAATTGACATGCTGAGATCATCTGCTTTATACAAAGGATGAGTTTGGATGGTTTCCATTCTGTTTCAGTTCTCTCTCACTGTATAACAAACCATCCCCAAAACATAGTGGTTTGAAGCAGCCATTTTACTGTGCTCATGAATTCTGTGTCAGGAATTTGGAAACGGCAAAGCAGGGACAATTCTCATTGAACTTGCTATGGACTTTGAGCGAGATGACTTTCATGACTGGGAGTGATTCAAGTCACTGAGGACTAGAATAGCTCAGTTTGGAGGATCCACAGCGAAGATGTCTTCTTCACTCACAAATCTGTGCCCAAGCTGGAATAGCTAATGAATAGTTCAACTGGGGCTCAACCAGAATGCCCACATGTGGCCATACCAGCATGATAGTCTCGGGGTAGTCAGGCTTCTCACATGGTAGCTCAGAGTTTCAAGAATAAAAGCTCTGTCTGGCCTTTTATGACCTAGTCTTGGAGCACAGAGTATTTCTGCCATACTCTTTTGCTCCAAGCAGACACAATTTGTCCAGTTTCAAGGAGAAGATACATAGACCCCACCTCTCAATGAAAGAAGTGACACAGAATTTGCAGTTGTGTTTTAAACCCACCACAGATAAAAATCACACATTTAATTCTCACAGAAATGTTTAGAAAGTATAAGTATTTCTCCTTTATAGATGAGGAAAATCAAGACTCCAAGAGGCTAAACAAGTTGATTATTAGTCTCGTGCCCAGAGAAAGGAGTCCAAGTTTGTCTGATTTCAACACCACCAGTCTTTTCATGCAGACATTCTGCCACCCTTGAGTCCTTATCACAATGAGACTTCTGTAATCCTAAACTCATTAATAGCACAGATTGTATCTTGTTTCTTGTTACATACATATGACCTAAAAACCTAAAACAATTATGAAAATTCTCAATATTAGCCAACTGGTTTCCACCCCCTTTCTCCTGCTACAAGCATTGCACCTTTCATCTTGCTTTCCCTCTTTACACTGCATAGGTAAACGGACTTTCTGACACCAAGGCTGCTCCCTCTCCAGGGACAGAAAGTATAGCAGAAAGTCAAGTACACAAAAACAGAAGTTGCTTTTTGTTTCCTGGCAGAAAAAAATGTAAAAAGCACCATTTATTAATTCAACAAATATTTATAAAGCACCTACTATGTGGCCAACAGTTTTAAGCAACGGAGATAAGGGATTGACTAAAGTTTCTGCCCTAATGGACTGATATTCTAGGAGCTGACATGGGCTAGTCAATAGATTAAAATATAACATAATGTCAGTTAATGATAAGTGCTATAAAGAAAGTAGTTGGGCACTGTTTTAGACAGGGTTTCAGAGAATACAATTTGAAAAGTTGACAAAGAAAATGAGGTTAGACAGTCAATGAAGGGCCTCCTGTAGGATCTCATAGGTCACAGTAAAGATTCTGAATTACATGCTGAGTGTGATGGGTTGACACATAAAAGTTTTAAAGCAATAGGAAGTAACATGATCTAATTTACATTTTTTAAAAGGTGGCTTGTGGTACTTTTTTTAAAAATTGACTATAGAGGAGCAAGGAAGATTAAATATGGTCATAAATTTTTTGACACTTCTCTCATTGAGAAAAGGGATCTATTTTTCCTTCCCTTAAATCCAGGCAGACTCTGTAATTGTTTTGACCAATAGAATATAATGAAAATGGTGCTTTGACAGTTTTTCAGGCTTACACTTTAAGAAACTGGCAGCTTCTACTTCTAGTGTCTTGGAAAACTCATTCATGTAACCTAGCCACCATGTTGTGAGGAAGCCCAGGTAGCCACAAGAAAAGGCCCTGTGGAGAACTGAGGCTTCCAGATGACACTTCTAGCTAAACTCATATCCAAGAGCCTGCACCAACATGCCAGTCATATGAGTGGACCATCTTGGAAGTGGATCCTCCAACCTCAGTTAAGCCACCCTAGGTGACAATGCAAGGAGTAGAAACAAGTTGTCTTCCTGAACTCTTCTGAATTCCTGATCCACAAAATTGTAAGCATAAGTTTGGTGTATTTTGTTATGCAACCATCAATAACCAGAACAAAAGACAAGAGAGAAAGCAGGAAGACCAATGAGGAGGCTATTGCAGTAATCTAGGTGAGTGATAATGGGGTTTAGGGTGCTATCAGTGTAAAGGGTAAAAATTGTTAAGATTCAGAATGTATTTTCACCGTGAAGGAATTGGTGACTATATATGGTTGCCTAAAATCTTGCGTGGAAAGAAAAGATATCTAAAATTCATGGTAAAAATTAAAGTATTAAGTGTTTTATTAAGTGTTAGGCATTGTGCTAAAAGTCTTCTATATGCCTTACCTGATTTAAACGTCATGACAGCCTGTGAGGTAAGTACTATTGTTAACCATGATTTATATATCAGGAAACTGAAGCACAGGGATTTAAGTAAATTTCCTATGTTTCTTATTTAGTGAATAGTTGTTCCTGGTAACTTGAATACAGGCAGTCAAGCTCCAGAATCCATGTCCTTACCAGTCTTAACCACTGTGTTATACAACTGCACTATATTCTCAGTTATTCCAGAAACTAACTACGTGACTTTCAGTAAGTTTCTTGACCTTCCTGGGGTTCAGTTTTATAATCTGTAAGCTGAAGAGGCTGGAAAAGACAAGCTTTAAAGTCTCTGCAAACTGTAACATCCTGTGATTCTAAATGCCAGAATTCTTAGAATTTGACCTGTTTGTTTCTGGAATTCAGGATGGATAACCTCAAGTGTAGTCACAAGAAATAACAGACAGAAAGTTTATTACAGACCCTAGAGATATTCCAGGCCTGTGCAATATATGAAAGATAAGGCACTTTAAAACCATCCCCCTCAAGACAAGAGCATGCACCCAGGGTCAGCTGCAGCTTGTCTCCCCGCCTTCTCTTCTTCTGGCTCTGTGGCCCAGGGTGACCAGCAAGACCTCCCAGAAGTTTAGTCCCAAGGTTCATATAATGCTGACTACAAAACTGCAAATTCATTCTGGAGCCCCAAATTGGACAAGCTCCTCATGGATGTTACATGGAGAAAGAAGCAGTTCTGAGTTTTATCCCTAGGTCTGCCAGTCTATGACACTCCTCATATCACCTCAAGCATGTTACCAAAAATCAAAGTATTTTTTTAAATTGAGAATGCATGCTGGGCTTAGTTCTGAGTTCCAAATGCTTCTGTTTATCTCAAATTGTTTCAAACTCTCAAGATACCATGAAGAAAATTATGATTGCAGCTAGAAAAGCACTTTAATCTTCTTAGTGAAGGGTGGCATGTATACTCAAGGAACCTGAAGCGTCATTTTTTACCAATATGATATGATTATTCTTCCTACAAGTAAAACCAAAGAGCTAAGTTTTTGAGCACTTATTATGACTGAGTCTGGTGTTTCGTGTGCATTCTTTCCTTTGACATGCATATTAATATTATCATCCCATTTTCAGATGAAGAAACTGACATTTAGAAGCAGGAAGGGGCAGAACTGAGATTTGGGTTCAGAAAGTCAAGCACGCAGAGCACAGGCTCTTAACCTTACACCATACTGCTCCTCTCCTGTTTCTTAAAACACAAAGCTAGATTGATCTCTCCTATAGATGTTGCATGTTAAAGTAGTGTAAGAATGAAGCTCTCAATGCCAAGATTACAACCAAAGGCCCCCAGCAACCTGAAAGTCAAATTTTCTGCATATATAAGGTGCTAGGAGTCTGTTTTAATCCATTTTGTGCTTCTTATAAGAATACCACAAACTGGATAATTTATAAAGAAAAAACATATTTCTCACAGTTGTGGAGGTTGGGAAGTCCAAGAGGACCTGGTAGAAGGCAGAAGGGCATGAGAGCACACATGATAGCAAGAATCCACACCCAAAAGCCCTTTAGTAAAGGTGCTAAACCCACCCATGAGGATGGAGCCCTGTGGCCTAATCACCTCTTAAAGTTCCCATCTCCCAATACCATTATATTGGCAATTCAATTTCAACATGAGTTTTCAAGGGGACAGACATTCAAACCATAGAAGAGTCCTTTTGGACTTTTTCATTTCACATAGCATGAATATTTTAGTGAAATTCCTATCCACCCACCCCCACTCACACATCAGGAAGAAGGATTGCTAATATTATTGGACAGATTTCAAGATGCTGATGGAACCACAGTGGGCAGAGACATTGTGTATTAAAAGATCTTATCCAGGAGGGCTTACTTTTATCCGCTTCTAGCTTCCATGTCTCTGGCTGGTTAAGATCTACACTGACCTGGTCATCTTGCCTTGGCCTCTGCCATTATTGCATTAAATGGTCAGCCTGGTGAGCTGAGCCAGACCTCCTAGGAACCTGGCAATCTTGATGTCTGCCCTCTGATTTCCATGTAGCTAAATGGCCAAGAAAGCAAGCCAGGATCTACCTCAGACCTACCTAGTTTATTCTCTTGGCTGTCTCCCCATGCAGAGGGTTTTGCTGAATGAGCGAAGACCTACTTGGGAACTGGTTGTTGTGATATTTTTTCTTCTCTGTTCACTGAGCTGCAGCACTCTCCTCCCTCCTGACAAGGTCCCAGGTTGGTAGTGATGGGGCCATGTTTCAGTGAGTGGAATTGTGGTGTGGTGTTGCCTGGCCCTACATGGTTTTCTTTCACAACTCCCAGCCTCTGTCCTCCTGGATCAGTTATGGAGCCATACCTGAGCAGGTTGGTTATTGTGTTTTCCTTTGCAGCACTTGTTTCTCTTCCCTGTGAGCCATGGAGTAAGCTGCCCTAGTATATCCAGAGGCCCGAATTCTTCTGTCTTCTCAAACCTGATCATAAGTGCATGTACCATTGCAAGTATCTCTGTAACCCGTGGTTTGGTCCAAGGGTTCAGATTTAGAGATTTGGGGCTTGTGGAAGAGTAGCTCTTGTGGGTCTCTCCCTGAGCCCTCTGTGCCAACCTGGCCTTCTCTAGAGAATACTGCATTCATGAAGGGGACATTTATCCAGTCACTGATAAGGTAAAATTTAGCTTCCCATTTGTCAGTTTTAGTCATGGGTGGAGCTTACTTCCTGAGAAACTTCCTACAGTATAGGTGTCTAGTCCAATGCAAAATTTATGCATTCTTAGGTCCCTTGACTGAACTATATCTCAACATCAACAAAACCTCACCCCAAATTCCTACCATGCTAACTCAGCTTTCATCAGAGGGCTCTATGTTGATTCATCTGACTTCAGCCCAGCTTATTTAAAAATTTGTATTTTGTTTCTCATCTATTGTTCTTTGTGTGCAGTATCTGTCTCAGGAAAAACAGAAGAATGCTTGGACCAGCACAGGATCCAGGCATCCCTCTCTCTTCGCCCATAATACTATTAAATTCTCACTTAATTCCTAATAATTCTCTTCTGTTTATTAAAGATGGAAACCAGAAACAACATTGTCTCTCTGCTACTGGAGAGAAGCAGAAGAGTGAAGATAACATAACATTGCCCTATTACACGCAAGGGCCACCAACCAAGTTCAGATGGAGGAGGATAAAGCTATGCTTTAAGAAAGCCACTCTAAGTTTGCCCTTACAAGAAGCATGTAAATTGGGTTTTTATAGCAATGTTTCCATAGAATAGATGAAAACCCAGAAGCCTATGGGCCTCAAATGACCTGAGACATTTTCAATAGCATCAGCAGGAACAGAAGTGCCATGAAGCATCCTGTTAAATCACCAGTGCCTCAGCCTGACCACAGAATCTTAATGTGAGAGCCTTATAGGTCATGTAATTTAACTCATAGAGAAATGATGCTCACAACTCCCTGGGGATTTTGTTACCAGTCTCTGTCTTTCCCACAGCTGGATGTTTCTAAGCATAGAAACATCTTTTACTCTAACCTGCCTCCTACCAATGTCAAAACTGCTGTACTGAGGCATCAAATAAGTCTAGGTCCTCTTACAATTTTTATCTCCTTGAGTTTAAAAAATTAATCATCATGCCCTGATGATGGGCCAAGAGACTCATCACCCTGAGCTACCACCAAGGCTCTTCAGAAAATTAAACTTCCCAATTTGACCATGTTTTCTCATGAGACGTGATTTATAGACCTCATGCCATTATGTTCCCTTGTGTCTGGATGTACTCTAGATTGTCAAAGTTATTTGAGTGGGATACCAAAAGAGAACAATATTCCAGATATGCTGTGGTCATCACAGAGTAGAACAGGACCTTCCCCCTTTGTTGATATGAATACCAATGCCTCTTCAGTGACATCTATGATCTTGCTACATTTTTAGCATCTACATCACACAAGTGGCTACCCATCTGCACGTAGTCAAGGACTCGGCTTTAAAAGTGAAAAGTTGACTAGGTGCGGTGGTTCACGCCTGTAATCCCAGCACTTTGGGAGGACAAGGCGGGCGGATCACCTGACGTCAGGAGTTCGAGATCAACCTGGCTAACATGGTAAAACCCCATCGCTACTAAAAAATACAAAAAAGTAGCCAAGTGTGGTGGCAGATGCCTGTAATCCCAGCTACTCAGGAGGCTGAGACAGGAGAATCACTTGAACTCAGGTGGTGGAGGTTGTGGTGCACCAAGATCATGCCACTGCACTCCAGCCTGGGTGACAGAGTGAGACTATGTCTCAACAATAATAATAATAAATAAAAGGGAAAAGTTACGAAAATGACCAGGATCACCAGGTTACCAACTTCTTCCTTCACTGAGCCTAAACTTTTTCCTGGTTCTAAAAGCCAATTTTTTAGTCCTCATGTATGGTGACATTACCTCTTCTTGAGAAACACACTGTAGGTGGCTAGAGTGGGAGTCCAGCTATAATCATGGTGCAACACTATTGAAGGTGCAGGGAGTGACATCTAGAAGCAAAGCAAGTGGAACATTACCAGGAGCTCCTAGGAACATTTCACTGGGGCCCATCCAGCCACTCAGAGAGTTTAAGAAACTTGCCCAAGACTGCAGAGCTCTTCAGTAGTAGAGCTGAATAAATTTGTCTGGGTAGTATTCTTGTTCACTACTCTATATTCTCTAACCAGCCAGGTTTAGTGTTTCTCAAATTATAGCTCATGGACCATTACATCAGAACCTTAAAAACAAAGGTTCTTGGATACCACTCCCACTTTATTGAATCAGATTCTCTGATAGGGCTCTAAAATTATCTTTTTCCCAAACTTCCCACATGATCCCTAAGTGCATCATTGTGTGGGAACCAGTATCATAGGTAACTTTGACTAAACCATTCTCCACCTAGGAGGAGAGGATAAAGACCAGAAAACCCTTAATGAAAGTAACAGGATCTCCCAGGTATATAAATGGCAATGCCTTCTCTCTTAGTCTGTAAGATGTACTAGGATACAAACAAAAAACAGAAAAAGTAAAAAGAAAAACACTTACCCCATGAACATCAAACAGTGGTTAAGCAACAGTGCTTACATTATCCTGTCTTTTTTGTTTGGTGGGAAAAATATTGCTAAAAGCTGGTTGGTTCCATGGGACTAAAAGATAAGAAGATCAAAAGATTTTAATAATTGCTAGTCACTGCTCTACTGGTAAACAACATGATTATGTGAGCCATCAACACCTCAGGGATCTCTGTCATTCACTGACCTGAAATGGAATAGAGTTCAAGACGCAAGATAAGGCTCCTGAGGTAAATAGGAACCCATCATAAAGGACCCTGTAGTCCTTGACAAAGAGTTTAGACTTTAACTCCTTTCAGATAAGGAGTTGTGACAGAGACTGGCTAAGTGTTCTCCAACTCTCTTTCTTTTCCTGATGGGTAGAAAGATTGAAGCTGGACTACGTTTCCCAACCTCCCTTTGGTTAAGTGTGGTCATTTGACTGATGTTTGGTCAATGGGTTATGGGTGAAAGTTTTGTGCTCTGCTTCCAGGCTTCGGCCATAAAATCTTCCCATACTATCCTTCAGTTTCTCTTTTTCCCCATCCAACCATCTAGAAGTTAAGGACTAGAGGAATCTAAAAATTGATAAAGTCCAAAGAAGGAAGGAGCCTGCGTCCCTGACTCATCACATTGAAAGCTGCCCATTGCACTCTCATATTACACTAGTGCATGAGCAAGAAATACATTTGTATTTCATTAAGATATTGAAATTTGGGAATTTATTCAGTACAATGGCTAGCATTATCTTAACGAATACAGGAATTATTACAGGACTTATGGTAATATGATGAGCTCTTTTATAGAAAAGCCATCCTGATGTCACACCACTTGGCAAAAATTAGATACAAAAGGTAAGTAAGAATATGAGTTACTTACAAGGAATCTTCTCTGTTTAAAAAAGAACAACAATCAAGAATACTAATGATTGCACAGCTTAGAATGACTTCTATGGGTCATTTGATTCTGTAATCTGCCTATAGACAGCTGAATATCTATCCACCATTCCAGTTGAAGGGTAATTTTCTTATTTTTAAAGAGCTCCAACAACTTATACTCCCTCTCATAGTAATCCAGAATTGTCCTTTGGATTAAGATATTTTTCTTTATGTATAAATATCATTTTGCTGCATTTGAAAAATTGTCTCTGAACAGCTGGTATGGCAGTCTGCTAGTTTTCCCCCAAATATACTCTTCTTTCCTTCCAAACACTCATAGTTTTTGTAGGGCACATGGGCAACCAGTTAGAAACTATGTTTTCCAGTCTTTCTTGCAGGTAGGTATGACTAGGTGACAAGTTCTTTCTCATAGAATGTGAATGGAAGTGTTGAAGGTAACCACCCCCAGCCAGACAGAACATTTGTTAATGTCATTGGCAAGGCTATGCTTTTTCAGAGGTCCCGGCAACCAGGTGCTCTCAATAAATGTTAAATTTATTTCTACCCCATTTAATCTGTTATGAACTCAACACAATATGCTTAATATGATACTATTTTCTGAGTGTAAGAAAATGGACAGGAAAGTAAAGGACAAGGAATTGACTATTCTGGCTCATTGTACCATAGTTTAAGGTTTCTATTTGGTGCTCACTTCCCAGGCCCGCACTGTCCCTCTAAGACAAAGAGAAGCTGTTTAACGTATGTTTAAACCAGCCATCATTTACCCCTCTTTTTCTCACATTTAAAAATGACATTCATCTTTGAAGTTTTACAAAATAAACCAGCATAATTTCTGTAATTAGGAAAAATACAGATAAGCACAAAGAGGAAAATGCCAAATTCTCATAATTCCATTCATACTGGTAACTTTATCATTCTAGTCTTTTTAATTAGCATAGATCTATACCTTTTTGTTTTGTTTTTACAAAAATAAGACCATTATCATTACATGGAGTTAGGTAACTTTCCTTTGTTTCCTTTTTTAGTCCCTTTAGTCTCTCTCTCTCTCTGTGTGTGTGTGTGTGTATGTGTATCAGCTTT
Organism: Homo sapiens; assembly: GCF_000001405.40. Classification (NCBI taxonomy): domain Eukaryota; kingdom Metazoa; phylum Chordata; class Mammalia; order Primates; family Hominidae; genus Homo; species Homo sapiens. The sequence continues at coordinate 147,552,871 of NC_000002.12, forward strand.
ATTGAGACATAATTCACATAACATAAAATCCAACCTTTTCAGGTCTTTTAAAGTGCATAATGTAGTGATTTTTAATATACTCAAAGTTGGCAGCCATCTAATTCCAGAAAGTTTTCACCACTCCAAAAAGAAACGCAGTATCCATTAGCAGTCACTCCCCATTCCTGCCTCTGCTCAGCCTTTGTCAAGCATTAATCTACTTTCTGTCTCTGCGTAATTGCCTATTATAGACATTTCATACGAATGGAATATTATCATCTGTGGCCTTTTGTTTCTATCTTTTTACTTAACATAATGTTTTTAACCTTCATTCATGTTGTAGCATGTGTTGGTACCTTCTTTTCCTTTTTAAGGCTGAATAATATTCCATTGTATAGATTTACATATTTTATCCATCCATCAGTTGATGATGGACATTTGGTTTGGTAACTTGTTTTTTACTTATCAAATTTTTATTAACATGGAAGTGATCCTCTTTAAAATCAGTTTACTGCCTGCAGAGTATTCCATTGAATGAGAAGAATCATTCTATTGAATGAGATGCACCATATTACAAACTATATTGTGATAACATATTTTTGCAATACTGTCTCACTGTAAGTTAGACTTGGGCAGCCAGAATGAAATCCACCGGTCCTCAAGTTGCATATGGGGCAGGAGCAGGGGAGAGTAAGTACAAATATGGTATAGGATAAGATAGTGAGGTGAGAGGGGGAGGCCATTTTCTTAAGCTACCTACCATTAAGGAGAGCAGATTCCGGAATATGCTGCTGACAATGTCTGTTATCTTTCAAACAAGATTTGCCTGACCAAGGGCAGATGTAGGTCACAGACTGTCAAGGTGTGATGCTAGTCTCTTTCAGACCTGAAGCGGCCTGAGGCAGTACTCTCCTAGCCCTAAAAGGCTGAATATAAATCATGCTTGTTGGCAATTTCTGCTGACGTGCTGCCTGACACATGGCTAAAAGCCTTTCTCAGAGCTGAGAATAAATTCCAAGACAGCAATGACAGCTATAACAATGCTGCCACATGTTAAAGTGTTTAAAAGCCCTCAACAGGGGTAGTCATTCAACACAACATCCTTTACTTAGATAGATCCTGCACATTGCAAGACAATGGGGTGGGGGGTGCTATGCTGAAGAAGAAAGGGAGAATAAAGATAGTTCTGCAAAAGACTACAGGGGTGAGGTTTACAAGCAATGTTTAGATGAAGGCGTCCCGGTTCCACCCTCACCTCCCCTAGCCCAAGGGATCAAGTTCTTCTAAGGCATTTCAGTCATGAGCAGATGTCTACTGTGCAACAAGAAAATGGGACAAAGGGGGATAGAGCATCGCTTGAAAGAGCATAATAAACACAAATTATGCTGCTTCCAATAGACCGTACGGCTTTCATTTGCAATCTGGCTTATTCCACGTGATTTGTTTCTAAAGGGCTCTGGTTTGTTCTGGGATGGAGTGGTGGGAGGTGGTTAGGCTGACATTGTGTCCTGGGGATCAGCTTCTGTGGGGTGTCCACTCAGGAACATGTGTTCCAAGAACATTTTTGAGATTCAAGGGTTTTACTTAAAAAGCAGTCACAAAGGGAGCAGGTTTGCCAGCCTCTTTGAAGGAATAAAAACGATCTCTTTTTAGTAGTTTGCCTTTGCAAAAATTTGCCAGAGACTAATTTTTTAACCAGTAAAACTGTATGTGTGTGTGTATATATGTGTACGTGTGTGTTTTTGGAGAGTTGTTTTGTGAAAGGAACATGACTTGAGATTTACAGAAAGACTTGGCAACATGGAGCAAACTGAGGGACCTTCTTGAGTCAAAAGAAAAAAAGCAACTCCCCGGTGGTTGCTGGCTCACAGATATTCTGCAAAATGTCCTGGGATGGGGACCATCTGGACAAAGATATTCCCACCCCACCAAACAAAATTTGAGTTAGAAAACAGGAAAAACACACCCCCACACAAAGCTGAGCCAAGAAGGCAAATGATGGAAGGGCGGCACCTCTGTCCAATTGCCAGGAGGAAGCAGAGCTCCCTCAGCACCTTGGAACACGCGGGCACTCACAGTCCTGGGGGCATGACCCCTCAGGATGTCCCAGGAGAGGGAAAGCATCAGGGTCCTGCTGACTGTGAAACTGAAGAAGACTAGCCAAATGGGAAGGAGAAGAGGGAAATTGAGAAATTTCTATTTTTATAACCATTTTCCATGTTTTCTCCAAGTACTTAGAAGATGTCCAAAATAAGGGCTATTTCCTCTTTGCCTTTGGTTGATAGAATGGCCATTTCCTTCCCAGGATTCAATACTGAGTTTGAAATCTTATGGGGTTTAAAAGGATGGAAGATTTCATCAGCAAAATCGGATAGACAGTCAAGTTATCAAACATGTAAATTAACATATAAGACAGTCCCAAATAGACAAGACAATTCCACTGACATGAGAGACTATCTACAAACTTAATCAAACTTGTTTAGTTTATTTTGCTTACCGTAACTCCTTAAAAATTCTCCTATGGACTAGATTCTCTAAATTTATAGGTTAGTTTGAAAAAGATAAACTTTGATCATAGTTGTTAGCAGTCCACAGGAAGAATGCAGCTATTTGTACATTTGTATCATTGTTGCTTTCATGGCATTTGTTTTCCAAGTACAGTAAGATGTCAGAGTTTTCAATCTTTGTATGAAAAATTACCGGTGGTTTTACCTGGATTGGGGCCTAAAACATTGCTTTCCAATCAGAGTGGTGAAGGCATGCCTTCAACTTATAGCTAAACACCCCACTCCCCGTAAATTACTTCAACATCTATTTCTTTTCACTATATCTTTGAACTATGTAGTCAGAGTGTCTCCTGCCAATCAAGAGCCCATCTTTCTGCATTTGAGAAGCCCATTGATTATGGGCTTCTACTTTCCAGAACAGCTATCCACAACTTGTGGTCCACAGTTCTGTGCTGGTCCAAGAAAACTCCACAAGTGGTCCACTTGCCCTCCCTAGATAGAGAAGTAAAAGCTGACTGCTGCCTGTCAAACAAAACAACTATACAAAGACACACTGGGAATCGCTCATCCAGACCACAGGATAGTCTCCAGCTATTATCAGAGCTTGAAAAAATGAAATCAATCCATGTGGCCAGGCCAGAAGCATTGTGGTCCTGGTTGCTAAGCACCCACTTTCTAGTCAGGAGTTTTTGCTTCACCAGCCAGCCTCCAGAGCTTTGCAATTTTTCTAAAGTGTGTGTGTTCGTGTGTGTGTGTGTGTGTGTGTGTGTGTGTGTGTGTGTCCATTTTTACCTCTGAAATAGGAGATACAAAGATACAGGCATTTTAAGATTAGACTATTCGGGAAAAAGAAAATGAAAAATAAGATAATACTGTGGTAGTCTTTGTTTTTTCCTCTCTTCCTTCCTTTTTTCCTTCCCTACTTTCTCTTTTACATTTTATCAATGGGATGCTTTCCCTACAAGAATGTTACAATGAACCCCATTATATAAAAAGGTAAAAGTAGAGCTGCTTTGGTGAAAGGTGGAGTAAAGGATCTTGATTCTTGCTCTATCTCTTCCTTTAAGTAGTACTTTTCTTTGTCAGCCAGAGATTACTCCACTGTGCCTGGAGATCCACAGAAGGCCTATGAACACTGGGGTAGTAGAAAGACCACTGAGTGCCTTGGCAGGAGATGAAGACTCCAATTTAGAAATGGAGCTCAGGGGCCAAGTGCAGTGGCTCATGCCTGTAATCCCAGCACTCTGGGAGGCCAAGGTGGGCAGATCACCTGAGGTCAGGAGTTCGAGACCAGGCTGACCTACATGGCAAAACCCTCTCTCTACTAAAAATACAAAAAAAAGAAAGAAAGAAAAAGAAAAGAAAATAGCTGGGCATGGTGGTGGGTGCCTGTAATCCCAGCTACTCTGGAGGCTGAGGCAGGAGAATTGCTTGAATCCAGGAGGTGGAGGTTGCAACAAGCCACAATCATGCCATTGCACTTCAGCCTGGGTGACAGAGCGAGACTCTGTCTAAGAAAAGAAGAGGAGAGGAGAGGAGAGAAAAAGAAAAGAAAAGGAACGGAAAGAAAAGAAAAGAAAAGAAGCTCAGGCCACATTCCGCACGTCAGGAGCCAGAAGGAACAGGATGGGCCAGGCACTCAGAGCAGCCTCAACGGAGCAGGTCAGCTTAGTGGGCGGGGAAGTTGGCTTCACTCCCCTGCTTCAACCAGAGTCACTTCTCTTACAACTGGTTCCTATGTTGGGTTCCACTAGGATTCCAGAATTTGTAAAATTACGTATATTGGTGATTTCTAAGGTCTCTTTCAATCACAAAGTTCTGTCCTAAGGTTCTAACTCAGTTGTGTTTCATCTGACTTTTCTTTGGAGAAAATAATTCCTGACAGGTCACCGAATCTAGCCAATTATTCATTTGCCAGCTGTTGAGTGAACATCATTAGTGTTTTTCAGTGTTCCCTCCGTGTTGTGCTAAAGTCCCATAGTAAAAATGCCTGGCTACTTTTCTATCAGGAAAAGAAACAACCCCATGACAGTTCAGAAAGCAAATAATTAGTTAATCCAGTTTTATTCCTAAAAATGATTTATTATAGCCATGTACATAAGATATAATCACCTCAATCAAGTTAACTTTATGAGTTCAGCCCAATTTAAGTCTTTTAACCTTGATGTTATTCCCAAGCATACACATTTTAGAAATCTTCTTGATAGTTTCCCAAATTATAACAAGCATCAATGGGCGGTTTGTATAAAAATCACATATTGAAGAAATGGTAGACCTACAGTATATAACTTTTTGAAAAAAAATTAATCCCCAAATAAATAACCTTTACCTCTATTTTAATTTTTTATGTTACCTTCCAGTTTCTACACATGCTTTACATGGCTGTCATGGTATCTATATTAATTTGCAACGTAACTTTTAAGTATTTTGAAAACAGTTCATAAGTTTCTGTATACTCTTCCTAACTATAATTGGTAAAGTCTGCATAATATTCCACTGTGCTGATGCATTATAGTGTGTTAACCTGACTAACCTGTTAGTACATCCATGACAGACCAGGTAGCAAGAAAAGCTCAGAATCATAATGCCAGAGGTCACAGCTCTGCTTTGTAGAGTCCTATCTCTGAACCATCAAAGTACTCTGTTTGTCTCACATTACCACTGGAACAAGGACCAGCAGATTATAGGGGCTCACTTTGTTCTCAAGGTTGGAAAATACATATGGCAACTTGGATGTAAAGTGCATATTATATAATGACATTCCAGCCTATTCTGGCCTTCAAATACAGAGAAAACTGAAAGTATTAACCTGCACAGTCCCATCAGGTTTTGCTTGAAGCTCCCAGGTCTTAGACATTGCCATATCCAAGTCAGTCTTGGTTATCTCCAGTCCTGCTTTACAGAAAACCAATAAGTCAGAAATGTCTGTAGAAGTGACTTAATTGGGAAGTAACTTAAAAAGCATATAAATGGGCAATAAACTCACAAGCTTTGGAGTTGGAAATCTTTAAGGATCTAGGAAATATGTCTCCACTTAAAATATGTAATACACCTCTTCTGTTTGGCATCTTGTGAGCTTTTAGATATATTTCTGGTAAAGCTTTTGTCATCTCTCAAAACATCAGGCAACATTGGGCCTTCAGTTGTGTGTTTCAAAATGGATAGGCCTTGACTTTTTTCTTCAACCAGAATTTGGTTTTCAGGTATAGCAGGTGGTTATTTTGATTATGTTCTACATATGTTTAGAGGGTTTTGTCAACAGGAACCTAAAAATGTCACTTCATAGAAACATTCCTTTTTGTTCCCCTCTTACTGTTATTTCTTGTCATTCTTGATCTAAAACATGCTAAATAATTCCAACCATCCAATGTTGTTTGCACCTTTCCAATGCTCCTAGCGGGTACATGGGATGTATAAATACTAACGAGGAAATCAGTCTCTGAAAAGTGCTAAGTAATCACATTGTTGGAGCTCTAACAGCAATACAAAGCACTTTCATTTTCGCAAGTACATTTGCAATGTAATAAAATAAAGAGTGTTAGTTAAACAGAGACATTTGCACCATGGGAGGTTGCAGAACTATTCAAAGGTAACATTGATAGAGGTTAATACATGAAAAGGCTGTTGGGAAGAGATTATTATTATTATTATTTTAAGTGGAAATGTACTTATAGTGTTTAAAAAGAATAGAACTGAAATTTTGTTAAGATAGGTCCTCAAGTTCTGGGTTTTTTTAAAAATACAAATTTGCATGTGATTAGTATATATCATTCAGTGAAGCCTGAAATACTTCTAGCATTTCCCCACCTTCTTCTTTTTTTCTCTTAAACCTACCAAAGTTCAGTATATCAAGTTGACAAAGTCTAACCGGGATAAACGGCTGGCTTGAAATGAACCTTGATTCTCAGCAGCCACAATCATGCAAAGAATAATAACCGCTCTGCTAGGTTGTCACCAGAGCTCACGTGTCATTAAGAAAATGAAATCCTAGCCTTTGTCTCCACCTATGAAACCTATTATTGAGACTTTGAAGTTAGGAACTCCATTGCAATCATTAATACCAACCATCAGAAATCACTTTGTGCCAAAAATATTTCAGGCCTTCTTCCACATCACTTTTGGAAAAAGTTCCAAAACTCCACTTTGACACAATATCTAATTGTTTGAAGAATTTTATTGAGTCAGGTAGTCACAGCAAAAGAGATACATGTGGTCAAAACATTACTTAACTTTCCAGACTTGTCTTAAATGCATTTGCAAATTCTCTTTTTAACCTTCCCCTGCCTTCCAATCTCATTTTTATACAAGGAAAATTTAAAGATAATACTGGATCTCTTCAATACCTAGAACTGTGATGACTGAGCCTCAACTGTATTTCATTAAATATGTTTTTTAAATATTCCACTTGCCAACCTCATTGTGTAATAGAAAGACAGGAAATGTGTTTACTGAATACCTGATCTGTACATATAAATATTATCAAAATGTTTCTTAAGCCTCCAAAGGTTTATCTTGGGTGAAATTTTCACAATTCAGTATTGTCTCTGTTCCTAGTATTGTCTCTACTACTCCTCTCCAGTCCTTTCAACTCTATACTTTGTCAATGACATCACTGTCTTGAGTGCTCACAGCTCTAATATTTAAAAAAAAATGCTCCCTCAAAAAATATCCATAGTTGTGCACTTCATGGAGCTTACAAAAATACCCTAAAAAAATATCCATCGTTCTGCACTTAATGGAGCTTACAAACTCACCCCTTACTCTAACTTATAGGGCATGCACTGACTGGCAAGAATCCCTAATTCGCCCTCACTTTGTTTGTAGCTCTTCCACCCCAGTTGTAAAAGTTTCAAATTTTGTTAAGCAAACATCTCCCCAGACCTAGGAAAACAGCAGAGCATATTGGCTTAAAACAGACATCAAATCAAATTGCACCTCTGATGCTCATTAGTTGTTTGATATGACAATGACTTATCTTCTCTAAGCTTGTGTCCATATCTATAAAATAGGATAATAATTGCATTTATGAGATTATTCTAAGAACTTAATAAAACATTTGTGAAGTATCTAGCTCGGAACTTAACACAAAATAAGCCTAAAAAAAGTACCTTTTTTAAAAAAAAAAATTGCTTTTGTTTTTATTTTACAGCTTCTCATTTTGTTCAATTATGGCTACTTATCCAGTACCAAATATACTCTCTGCCCAAGTTCCATAGACTGAATCTGTGGAGTTTATCTATGCCATTATTATCGTCCTTCTGATAGTTTGGTGGCTTATAATTTATTCTTAAATAACTTCTTGTTTGAACTTTTCACCTCATTTATAAATGCTTTTAGGAAAGGGATTATATCATATGCTTCTCTGTTGGATGAATTACTTGAGAAGGTAATCACTTATTGAACATCTATTAGGTGCAAAGTGTTCCACACACTGTCAATCAGTCAGCAAGCTTTACTGAATACCTGATCTGTACATATAAATATTATCAAAATGTTTTTTAAGCCTCCAAAGGTTTATCTTGGGTGAAATTTTCACAATTCAGTCCTTATTTTGTAGAAGCCTCATATACAAACAATGGAATCACTCTGCTTGACATAGATTTACACTGCCAGCAAATCTTTCTTTTTGAGCAAGGGTAAACATCTCAATGTGAGCAGGAAGTTCAAGTTCTGTTAGAAAGTGTTCGTGTACAGTAAACACAAAGTAATAAAGATACCACAATTTTAGTGCAAGTCTGCAGGGAGCCTGAGAATCCCTCAATCATATAATGTTACAATTTCAAAATTCTTTTAATGAGTATCTGTAGGAATTGAGTTATAATGCCTTTTTTCAAAAAGATTTGTAACATGACATGAATTCCCCACCGAAGTGAACTTCACGTTGGCATCCAATTTAAAATGTTACAAAAACGACATTATTGCCCAACATCTGTTTCATCATCTGATGATTCTGTTGTAAGATTATGATGAGGAAGTTATTTCAGCAGAAGCCAAGAGACCCTTATGCTGCCATTATCCTTAGATTACTTTCCTATTACTCCTACGTCAGGCTCCTGGCTGGGAAGGCACAGAATCATCTCATCAGAAAAGAACATGGAATGGCACATTGGCTCATTCTCAGATTCATGCAGGACCCCATTTTATCTGCTTCAAAGAAATGGCTGTCTATTTGTCAAGCAATGTAGTTGCCAATTACCAAACACAATTTCTAGAAATTTAGAAAAGAAACATTTTCTAATTTCAGCTCTTATTTTAATAAATTTATTTCTTTATTTGGCCCCAAAGTGTCTTATGTTGACAGACATGTAACAAATGTGATGATCTGCCTACTGGCAAGGTATGTAGATATTATTTCATGGATAGAGATTACCAATCAAAGCCATCACACTGCTCTTTGAAAAAATAACTACTATACATATGATTACTAGAAAATTATTTTAGTATATTTTAGCTGTTTGAAATTATCCACTCAGATTAAAATCATTATTAAAAGTCTGCAGTCCCATATCTCATATATAGCAGGTATTCAATTACATGCTGAAAAAGTAAAATAAGGAAAGTTACATATACATGCATGGTACTTTGCAATAGCCTGGACATTAATCCAACCAACCAAGCCTCACTAATTTTCATGGTGATGCTAAGTATTACACACACATTCACTCATACATGTTTCTGAAAAAAAATTTTGTTTGGGCAAAAGAGCAGATTTCATAAATCTCTTCAGAGACACAAGGCTAAGGTGTAAACTTACTTTTTTCCACAATGAAAAAACTAAACGAAACCAAACCAGGAGAAATGTTTAAGGTCACATCAGTAGTCTACAATCACTATTCCTGGAGAGTACAGTCCCTCAAATAGAAGAACTAACTTTTTACAACAATTGTCATTTTTAAAGGTTAAATGTATTCCAAGCTTCTAGCACAGTGCCTGACACACAGTAAACATGCAAAAAAAAATGATGACTACTACATTCCAACACCATTTAAAAGTGAAATCAGGATAGGAGGAGCAAAATGTTTATGCTACTGCTCTCCCACATCTTGCCCCCACTTTTCTGATTACAAAGATCAGAGGTTTGCTGCTGGAGGCAGGTGTCGCCTGTTATACTCACTGCTCTAGGATCTGGAAGAGTGCCTGGCATATAAGAAGATCAATAAATAATTAGTGGCCAACTAACCGGCCCTTCCCCTCTCCCCTTGGCCCCCTTCCAATCAATCCTGTTCCTGCCTCTCCTCCAATTTCATTGGATCCTAAACCCAGGAGACAGATGGAGGACCAAGAAGGTGGGTAGGCGCTGAGTGCCTAGATGAAGGAGGCCTCAAAGCCTGGGACCACACACTCTGGCTTGGATTACATGGTCTTTTTTTTAGCTCTAAGTCGCCTGTAAATGCATTAAAGATTAATGCACTAATGCATTATTAGGACTTGACTGTTCATTATGGTAAATGATGCTTTGTTTGAAATTTGTAAATAAAAAATAATTCCTTCAAGCTTCACAGAGGTTTCCATCCAAATCAATAAGACCCTTGGAATCATTCAGAGTGGTAGGAGGTTCAGATGGGAAAAACATTTTAAAATGCAAATCAATATAGGAATCCCATAAAATGGCTGAAAAACAGTATCAGTTAAAAAGAACAAGTAGGTTCTTATTTTATGTTTTGAAACAAAAATTGAACTAGACATGGCATATTGAATCATGTCAAAGGGCCATTAATCTCCAGATTAGAAAAATATCACTTTCTGGGATGCCATAATATTGGCAGGTTTATAAATTTGCCTTGTTTTGCTCAATCATTTGAGAAAATATAAGATTTGATCCTATAGTCTTTATAAGCGCAGGCTGCTTTAGAATAAAATATGTATATATACACAGTGTTATTTACACATACTTACATAGAGAGATATATACACGTATAATAGGAAAAAACACATCTACATTTGATCCATATTTTTAAAAGAAACCAAATAACATAAGAAAAGATAAAAGTTGAATTCTATACTCTATCCAGATGGTTTTACTTCCTATTATTCCCTATTTTATCCCTCTGGATAAAATACTGTTTTCCTCATAAATAATGCAGCACAAATATTCTGTTGGCATTGTAAGAATAATGCTAAATATAATAGTTAAGTGGTATTAGAATTCTATTAAAACACATACACACATATAGGCCAGATATTATTTTATTTATTGCTTGAATAAAGAATAATTTACCTTATTTAACAATGTTAATTACTTGTAGGAGATCTTATAGGAGAAATGTAGAATTTCTAGCTAAAAAAATGTTATGGCTGGGCGCAGTGGTTCATGTCTATAATCCCAGCATTTTGGGAAGCTGAGGTAGGAGGACTGCTTGAGTCCAGGAGTTCAAGACCAGCCTAGGCAACATAGAGAGACTCCGTCTCTACAAAAAAAAAAAAAAAAATTAGCCAGGTGAGGTGGCACATACCTGTAGACCTAGCTACTTGGGAGGCTGAGGTGGGAGGATCACTTGAACTCAGGAGTTTAAGACTGCAGTGAGCTATGACTGCACCACTGCTCTCCAGCCTGGGCAACAGGGGAAGACCCATCTCTAAAAAAAAGTTACACTCTAATAGTTATTGGTTGATTTTTTTACATCAATTTAATGCCAATGACACATGTCTGGAAACATTTAGGTCCTTAACAGCCTCATATTTGGGGGAGGAGGGGGGAGAAGGGGGTGAGAAGTTAAACTACTATAATGAATTATAGATATTCTCCCTCAAATTGAAATGTCACTACTATTAGTAAAATAGGATATAATTCTAAAATAATGTTGGAATATACTGAAACATATGAGCCAAATTACAAGAACGATAGTATAGATAAGTAAAATAGGAGGTGTGCAGTCATGATGTAGAAAGAATTTACTGACTTCAAAAAGTGTAATTCCCTAAATTGAAAGTCACAAGTCACTCTCCCCACATATATGTACACAATTAATAAGGGTTCAGAAATAAAAAGTGAATGAATGAATGAATTTCCACTTTAAAGACTAACAAATTATGACTCAGAGAATTTAAACATCTTGGTGAGAGCACACTTTTAGGAAATTGAACCTAAATCCCAGATCTCTGAGTTCCCTTATCACAAGCACCGCTCCATGAAATGCAGACAGCTCAGGTCCACACCCAATTCTGCAATGAAAAGCGGAGAGAGGGAAGAAGAAGGGAAGGAAAAGAGAAACTGATGGGATACTGTCATTGGGGAGGGGAGCAGTCAGAGTCCAAAATTACAAGTCCAAAGAACAGGAGCCAAATTCAAGTCCACCTCAAGCAGAGATTGATTCCAGGCAGGAGACAGGCAAGAGAGAGGTAACATTCAGACTTCTGCAAGGCACTATTCTCAATAGCAAACACATGGTGCCCATCAATGACAGTTGGATAAAGAAAATGTGGTACATATACACCATGGAATACTATGCAGCCATAAAAGAGAACAAGATCACGACTTGTGGGAACATGTACAGAGCTAGAGGCCATTATCCCTAGCAAACTAATGCAGAAACAGAAAACCAAATACCACGTTTTCACTTAAAAGCGGGAGCTAAATGCTGAGAGCTCATGGACACAAAGAGGGGAACAACAGACACAGGGGTCTACTTGAGGTGGAAGGTGGGAGGAAGGAAAGAGTCAGAAAAAATAGGTATTGGCTAAGTACCTGGGTGATAAAATAATCTCTATAACAAACCTCCATGACACAAGTTTACCTAGATAATGAACCTGCACAGGTACCCCTGAGCCTAAAGTAAAAGTTATGAAAAAATTCACTTCTTCTAGGCAAACAGTCTTAACAAAAAAAAAAAGACTTCTGCAAGGGGGTAGTTCTGCCAGGAAGCATGGTTATCAAGTAGGGAGTGAAGGAAGGTAAAAACCAAATAAGAGAGAAGCTCTCTACCTACTGACAAGGGCTCCAGAGTAAACCCTAGAACACTGATGTGCACTCACCTTCTTCACAGAAGAGAGGCAGCAAAGAAAACAGGCTGGGGCTTCAATCAGAAGTTGTGTTGGAATTGACTGCCACACACCAGTGAGAAGGCTTTAGCATAAGCCTATCGCTAGATTAAGACTACAATACTTCCAGACACTTAGGCCACCAAGCATTATTTCCAACCCAATTACTGATAGGGATGTGGCTATAGATATTGTGTCTGCTTGGTGCCCACTGGTTCGATGGCTGGGAGGGCTGAGTGTGCAGGGGTTGGCTAGATGAAACTGGGAGAGGCCAAGGTGGACACAACTCATCCAGAGCTATTCCAACAAACCACATGATAGACAACAGCCCTATGTCAAAAAACTGGCATAAGTGCAGGCTTGGTGATTTCAAGGCCACATAATAATGGGCTGAATGTACAGACACTAAGAAGGCAATAAAAATTTAGTTATTATCCACCAGCTAAGAGGGGCAAAATGATAAATGTGGTGCCATAGGAGATGGCATGAGGTTGAAAATGTAAAAACAGTTTTAAACTCACTATGAATCATGTGAAATACCAATATACAATTTTAACAAAAAATTGGCAATTGCTTTTTAATAACAATATTATATGCAGTGAGTGATGCTGATACTCTCATATATTAGCAATAAGCATATAAATTGAAGACTGCAACTTGGCTATGAGTATAAAAAGCCTTAAAAATTGTGCTTATACCCAGTAATTCTACTTCTAAGTATACATCATGAGCAAATAATCTGAGATTCAGATGAAGACTTTTAAGCCATAATGTCCACCACAGTATTACTTATAATACTAAAAAAGTTGGAATGACCTAAATATTCCAAAATAGGTAAATTACAGTGTATAATTGAACACTGGAACATTAGGTGATCAGTAAACAGGTTGATGTTGATGTTTATGCATTTTTAATACTATATTGCTTAAGTAGACCATAAAATCATTATACGCCATACAATTCCAATTATGTGTATAAATGTATACAGAAAGGTATACATTTCTATATATTTGTTCATATGTATGTGCTCATATATATCCATATAGATATAGGTGTAAACATAGGTACAGATGAAAAATATAGAAATATAACATGTAGATAGTAAAAGACTAAAAGTAGCATGGGTAATTTTATATTATTATTTATTCTGAACTCTCCAAGTTTCCTACAGTGAACCCATATTGCTTTGTATAATCAGAAAAATATGATAAGCTGTTCCTTTGTGTTGGTCTGTTTCTCATTTTAGATAGAAAGACATAGCTTGGACTTGCGGTCACACAGCTTTGTACTAGAATCCTATTTTGCCCCTTAAACTAGCCCTCTGGCCTTGGGCACATGATTTATCTTCTCTGAGATGAATTTTCCTCATATGTAAAATAGACATAATATCACCTCAAATGGTTATAGAGATAAGAAAATAAAAATAAGACATTTAGCAAATATATAAAAATGGTGTAGAGACTCAGTACATGGCAGCTGTTATAATGCTATTCCCGGTAATTTTTCCCCAACCCCAGTTCCATCCTGCAACTACATACAACTCCCTAAATGCACACATCTAGTCTTCAGAAACTAGATTTACAGTGATGTTAAATGAGCAGTCCCTTGCCAGGCACTACACTACCTCCAGGGACTAAACCCTGAAACTAGGAAGGACTATTTAGAACTACATGGCTCAAACATGTCGGTCCCGGCTGCTTCCCTAGCAATTCATTTCAGCCCCACAATTACTTCCTCCCATAGCTGAAGAGTTCTACAGCCATTGCTACTTATAAACCTAACTCTTGGTTGAATTACACAATGTTCTATACTCTCATACTCTATAAGATTAATTTTATGTGTCATAACTTGGCCTCCATGCTAAAAGCAGTCTCCCTCATCTTTATTTATTTTTTAGAACTTTATTTGCTCTTCATACAATTCTGGGCATATGTTGAGTTAAACAATTTGCTCAACACACAGAGTTCCAATTGCACTCTCTCCAAAGTAGCATGTCCAACTAATAAGTCACTGCAAAAAAGGAATGTGCATATACAGATTAAAGATGATTCAACAGCTGTAAATTAAAACGCAACAAAAAAGACAGAAGGAACATACATTGTTTATCCTGGGAAAGTGAAAACTATGGCCTGTTAGTCTAAGAGATTTTGCTTTGTCGAGTTATTGTTTATCCTGGTACCACATAAAAGAAACACACAAAAAGACAAAAACCAAGGCAACGAGGGTGGGGGATCTTAATATACAGTAAGATAAAGAGTTCCCTTCAAAAAAAGAAAAAAAATAAGACTCCTCAGATGATAGAGCTCTTTAAATATTGATATAAATGCTTATTGTAAAATTTTTTTTAATTTAGAGTGGGAGGAGGAAATGGGAAGAAAATCTGGAAACATTTTTATCTGCCTAAACTGATGGCTAAAGGTGGGGTCCAACTGATTCCACAGATCATAATTATTTAATTATTATACTTTAATGCTCTCCTTTGAAGATTGTATGCAAAAAATAACCTACATGGTAGATATATTTTCAGATTTCAGAGATGTTTCTATTTGAGGTCAGTATGAGAGAAAGGGAGAAAACAATGCTATTCTCTGCACCAAGTGCCACTTGCAAATCACTCATTAATTCATTCAATAAATATTTATTGAGAACCTGCTCTGTGCCACGCTCTACTCTAGGGCTGGGACTATAGCAGGGAACAAGACCTTCAAGTCCTTGATCTCATGACTACATATTTTTAACAGTCTTAAAACTAGAAAAATAATATATGTCACATTTGCAATGTAGATTACTCCAAATAAAGTGATCAGAAATTCTTAGTAAGCTTCATGCCCTGAAAATAAATAAACATATGAATAGATGGAAGGAGGGATGGATGAATGCATGAGTATATGGAGGGATGGAGGGATGAAGGGATGGGTGGGTAGGTGAATGGGTGGCTGAATCGATGGGTGGATGGAGGGAAGGAGGGAAAGAGGAACGGAGGGATTGATGTGTGGATAAGTGGAGGGATGGATGGATGGGTAGATGAGTGAGTGGGCGGGTGGATGAATGGATGGACCTATGGATGGATGGATGGATGGATGAATAGGTGGAAGGGTGGATGGGTATGTGAGTGGGTATATAACTGAATATGTACAGTCAATCCTCATTATTTGCAGATCCTGTATTTCCAAATTCACCTGCTCGCTGAAATTTATTTGTAATCCCCAAATTAATACTTGCAGTGCTTTCAGTTACTCATGGACATGCTCAGAGCAGTGAAGAATTTAAGTAACCCAATGCTCAGGTTTCTGAGGCCAAAGAAGGTGACACACTACATCCTTATTGTAGATATCATATTGTGGGCAAGTGTCCTTTTTGTGGTCCATTTAGTGGCACATTTATCAAATGTTTTTGTTTTTTGTTGCTGATTTTACTGTTTGAAATGGGACCCAAATGTAGTACTTTAGTGCTGCCTAATGTTTGTAAGTGCATGGAGTCTGTGATCTACCTTCAGGACAAAATATGGTGTCAGATAAGTTTTGTTAAGGCATGAGTTATAGTACATTGGCCATGAGCTCAGTGTTAACAATATATATTATATAAGGTGTCTTTAAATAGAAACTCACATACAAAAAGGTTCTATATAGTTCCGTTGACAAAAATATTGTGACTCACAGGAACCTAATTCTGTATTTCCCCTGAGAACAATGGTTTGGTATTCACTAGTTCAGTATTCACAGCAACTTTATAAAATATAACCACCATTAATAACGATAATTAATTATAGATAATAGAGATGGATGGATGGATGAGTGGATGGACTAGATAGATAGATGGATGGATGGATGAATGGATGGATGGATGGGCGGGCGGGTAGGCAGGCAGACAAATGGACGAATGGATGGATGGATGGATAGATAGATAGATAGCTTTTAGAAGTATGGAAGAGATCATATACAGTGGAGTCAAGTCACATGGATTTTGTTTGGTGGCAAAATGTCTCACTTCCAGATAGAGACATAATTTCACCTTGCGTTTTTCTGGAGTGATCAGCTTCAGTGAGGAGGCTGAACTTCCTGAAAGAGCACTTTGAAAAAGGAGGCTAACCCTTACAGATTTTCATGTGTGCCAGCTGTTGGCCTTTCCTGCCTACTCCATCAAAAAGGAATATTTTCCCAGGCCTGTATTTTATTTCAACGCTCAATTATTTTCTTCAACCTCACCCACATGCTAGTACATGTCCAATAAAGTGTTGAATTTTTTTCTCTTTAGCTGTAAACATAGTACAAATCCAACTCCCACATAAACAGTATCTGCTGCAAAATCATGTAGCACCCACATATTTGTTTAATGAAACAAGGCCCAAACGGAAAAGTTACAATCTAATTTAAAGTTTAGATGCCTGGGGACAATTCTGATAATGTTTAGAGGTAGATAATTGTGGGAAACAGAAGAAACGAAAGACAAATATTGGCAGTGACTGAAAGAAAATTAAAAGGCTACATTCAGATCCATGAGCAACACCAAGAAATGGTATGATGTAACATACTAGAGATTTCATGAGTATTTGATATCTAGGTACATATTTTCCTCAAGTGCTAGGAGCCTTTTGACTTCCACAGGCAATAACTTATGAAAAATTTATTATTGCAAAGCATTCAACAATGGCCTTGCGTTCACAAAATTTAACTAGAAGTCCTACTGCTTTCAGAGACTAAAGACTTCTAGGTAGATAAAGCTCTAAGAAAACTTAATCCTGGTATCTAGATAATGCCATGAGGTATACACAAGGGAAGAAAGAGATGCAAAACAATGGAAGAATAAAATGCTTTGGAAGCCTTCATTTATTCCCACAGGATGGGTACCACACTCCACAAACATTGAAGAAAGTCACTGAGAGTCAACATTTTGTAAATGGATGAGGTACAGCAATTAATTACAAGAATCTTCTGTTGGCTTTGTTTTGCTTTTCAAGATTAAAAAAATTAGAAATTACATAATTGGGCCTTGATGTTTGTGTGGCTTGGAGGATGACTTATTGCAACATTTTGACTGATGTTTACAAGAAACTTTGCAAGTTACTTATTTTCACTGAAGGATGCAAAACATTCAAAATTTACTTGAAAGGGGAATAGCTTCGTAAAAACATCTGATGACCAGATTTGGCTTTAGCTAAAATTATACATTTTTATTATTCTTGTTTTTGCATCTGGTGTGTGTATATGTGACTGACATTAGAGTTCTTCTCCCAGAAAAGACCCTCTAAATATATTCTCGGGTTCTCATTCTCAGTGGCCAGGAAGAACATCCCAGAAAAGTTTGTCACAGTGGGAGTGGGGAATTAGGGGTTCAGAGACAAGGCTGGAAAAGAATGATGGAAGGAAAACAGTTCAACAGAGAACACAGGTGCCCTGGGACATGGGCCCTGGGTGCTGATATAAATTGGCCAACCTACAGGCTCTCAACTGTATAACCACATTTCTTGTTCTGCTCCTGACTGTGACCAAAACAATCTGGGCACCCCCAGGTGATTCCATGGTGCTAAGAAGACAATAAGTTCAACTGCTGTACAGACCCATTACTTCCCGTCTATTTTAAAGCCAAAAACATCCTCATCTCTCCGGTACATCACTAATTAAAGTCTTTATCACTTACAGTTTTGTTACAGGACATGGCTCAGAGTATGAGCTCCAGAGTCAGACTTCCTGGGTTAAGCGCCTGTCTATACTACTTTACACCACTGTGCCATGGGCAAGTTACTTTACACTGTCTATGTGCTATTCTATTCTCCTCATCCATTAAAGATGGGCTAGTGAACATTTGTTGTCATCATCCTGGTTTTTAGCTAACCATTATTTGAAGCTCTTTTCATGTTTGGAGAACCTCTTACTTTATGAATCTTGGCACAAGACACAGCTTGCCTCTCATTATGGAAACTGGAAATGCAGAACATTTGTCATACCTGACTCCCTTGCAGCTTGGGTGCAGTTGCATGGTCAGCCCTGGCCCATCAAACTCACTCACTCGGAATTTTGCCTCAAAAAAAGCAGAGACAGTGGAGAATCATTCTGGGGGTAGGTGGCACAGCTCTGGCCAGAAGGTCCATGCTCTCAGGCAGCAGGGGCTGAAGGGACAGTGAGGACAAGGAGGTTGGCAGCATCTGCACTGCAAGTCGAGGCATCTGAAATTGTAGTAGTGTCCATTCTGGAGCACAATTTTGGCTAAGGCAGAAAGTAATTGCTTAACAGAAATATATGAAGACTAGAAGGAAACCTTTAACTACTTTCCACCCAATACAATAATATGCAAATTGTTAGCTAGGTTCATAAATCTGGCCAAGCCATACTTTCTAAACAAAAACCCTGTTGCTAGATTCACACAACTTAGTCTTAAACCGTAACAGACTTTTCTCCAGGTGGCAAACATTATAGTGAACATTCATACTTTCACCACCCACTCCTATTCACCTGTAAGGGCCCTTCTCAAAAATCCCTTCCTGGGTGCAGCCTTTTCTAACTCTTTTACCAAGGAATGAACAATCGTTTCCTTCCCTGTGTTTCCCTAGTTCTTGGTAAGTGTCTCCTAAGAGTGTTTGCCACATGGAATTGTGCTTTGCATGCCTGCCCTGGAGATTCGTGTTCTCATTTCCTGATTCCTAGAATCTAGCTCAATGACAGTCAGTTAATGGGCCCTCAACAAATAAGTATAAGATTTAGGGTCAAGGACACAGTTTGGGCGGAAACAAACAAACAAACAAAAACTTTAATCATCAAGACACAGCTTGGTTTCAGCCAGGAAATATATTTGGAAAATATAGGAAAAACATAGAAATGTGATTTTATGTTACCTTGTTGGCAGAGGAACCACAAAAATTCTAACATCTAACTAGAAGGGGAATTAAGTGAACAGATCCTGACATTCCAGTAAACATTTTTCTCTAACAAACTCCCACAGACTTTTCACATCAGTTCTTGAATTATTTGCAAAGCCTTCAATTGATGGAGGCCAAAGATGTCAAATCTTTGAATGACAAGGAGCCCAGAATACTTCTCCTGTTTAGTAAAGGACATCAGATCAGGCTCCTAGACCATAAAATCAAATATCTACTTGATCAGATCTCATCAAATACTTGTTTTACTCTTCTACTTTAGTTGGTAAGCCTGTGAGTTTTTGTGGAGTTCTAAACATACCCTGCAATACCAAATTCAAAAAAGAGGTTGGGGGCAGTTGGAAAGAAAAAAAAAAAAAAGCAAGAACCTAAATATGCATGGGTGAAGCCAGTGCCCAATATAGGGATTCTTGTCTTCAATGCATTCACTGCAGTAGTCCATGGTCCTCATTAAGGCTTCTAATCCACTGACTTCTCTCTACTCATGAAGAGAGAACTCATGTTCTCACTTCCTTTCTTACCCAGATCAAGTCTGATCTATCACTAAAATTACTCCTGGCAAATACCTGTTAATCCCTCCCACTCTTTGCTTCTGTAAGCCCTGCCTTGCGAAATCCCAACCCTGTTCACTGTGGCATGTTGGTACGACTCACCCTTTATGTACCATCCCTTTCCACCTTCTCAGAGAGGCTGCTCTGTCTCTCTTGCTAATTCCCACTGGTTTCTAAACATGCTGTAGTGCCTTTCATGTCTTCAAAAGTACTCCCTTAACCCATAATTCTCACCAGAGACCACTACTCTCTCTGCTTCCCTTGACAGTCAAACTTTCCCCAAAATGTTGACTACACAGTCTATATGCACTTTGTCATTGCCTATTTACTGTTCAGCCTACTGTAATCTAAGTTCTGCCTCTACTTCCAAAACTACCCCTACTAAAGTCACCAATGGCCTCTAAGTTTTAAAATTAAGTCTTCTTCTCACTAAACTACCAAACATATTCAACAAACTTGGCCTCTCTCCCCTTGTTGAAACACCCTCCTCTGGTCCTTCTATGACACCGTTTCTCCTGAATGTTTTCTTACCTCTCCTACTAGTACCTTCTTAAGCTCATTAACAGTACCTTCTTTATGTGATATTTAAATTTTCGAGTTTTTCAGGGCTCAGTTCTGCGGGTTCTTTCTATTATATTCTTTTTCTCAGTAAAATCTTACACACTCACATGGTTTTAAGTAGCATCTGTATACCAATGTATTTTCAACCTATATCTTTAACCAGAGACCCTTATGTCCAACTAATTCTTTAACGTCTTCTCTATGTCTCAAAAATATTTCAACCCTGGTATATTCAAAATGGAATCTTTATTTCCCCCTCCAATTTGCTTCAACTCCACCCTTCTCTACTTCAGTAAATGGCATCTTCTCCATCCACCCAATTACACTAACCCCAAATCCTCCTTCATCTCCTCAACTAAGGCATTAACAAGTCCTCTCAATTTTACCAACAAAATATCTGAAATCTGCTAACCCCTGCTCATCTTTGGTGCTAACCCTGGAGTCCAAGCTACTGTGATCTTTTCCTAATCTAAAGCAGTAATGCTCCATCACCTATTCTTGTCTCCTCCTTCAATTAATTTTCCAGAGTGGTCTCTGGCTAGTTAAATCTAGTTGTGTTATTCCTTTGCTTAAAAGGGTACAGTGGCTTATTGTATTAATCAGGGCTCTCCAGAGAAACAGGACAAATAGGTTTTAAGTATACACATTTAAGGAGAGATCGAGAGGTTTATTATAAGAATTGGTCCATGTGATTATGGAGGCCAAAAAGTCCATCTGCAAGCTGGAGAACCAGGAAAGCTGGTGATATAATTCAGTCCAACTCCAACGGCTAAGAACTAGGAGAGCCAATGCTGCAAGTCCTGGTCTAAGTCCAAAACACCAAGAATCAGGAGCTCTGATGTCTGAGGGCAAGAGAAGATGAATGTTCCAGCTCAAGAAGACAGAAAATTAGCTCTTCCTTGCCTTTTTTATTCTATCCAGGAATTCTATCAATGGATTAGATTATGCCCACCCACAGTGGTGAGGGCAGATCTTTACTCAGTCTACTGTTTCAAATGCTAATCTCTTCTGAAAACACCTCCACAGACACATCCAGAAATAATGTTTCAACAGCCATCTGGGTATCCCTTAGCTCAGTCAAGTTGACACATATTATCAACCATGTCACTTATCATTCTTCTCATAATCTGGCCCCTGCCTATAGTTCTAGACATATCCCATACCCCTCACTCTCACACATATACCATGTTCCAGCCATCCTGGTCACCTTTTCATTCCACTAGTGCTCCCTGTTCTTCCCCTCTCCATAGCCTTCTCACTTGTGCTTCCATATGCTTGGAATGATTGTCTCTCCAACTCACTTTTTGGCTAACTCTTACTCATCCGTCAAGTAACTTTAGCACGATTCTTAGAAAGGTCTTTCCTGAATTCCCAAACTAATGTAAATTTTAACCTTTGATTATACTTTATATTTTTCCACAATAGTTTTTGGAACAATTTGAAATTATATAATTTTTCATTTAATTTTTATTTCCCAGTAGACTATACATTCTTTAAGGACAAGAACTGTGTGTGTTTTGTTTACTGCTGCATTCTCAGCATGTACATCAGCGTGTGGTTCATTGATAGCCATTTGTTAAATGAATAGGAAGTTAAAGTTTTTGTAAAGCTGCATTTGGCTGTCCTCACCTGATTTAAGGAGGGAAGGAAACTGCCAACTCTAAAGGGGAAAAAATAACTATATGCCTCCAAGACACAGAAGGACAACATTCAGGGCAATTAGCATGGCCAGGATGTTACAGAATAAAGCCCCAGCTCAGTTCTCTGGATACCTGTTGTAGAAAGAAGGCCTCAGAATATGAGATCAGACCAAACTGGAGTTATAAACTCTGTTAGACACAGTTGCAACTATTCAGCTTAATTTTTGTGTCACGTGCCTCTCTTCACATTGTTGGTGAACTTAATTCCATTAAACCACCAGACCTAAGGCTTCAAGTATGGTGTACATACTCTTGCAAGTATTTACAAGTATATACTTTTGTACATTTTGCACAAAAGAATAAGGCTGACTGCCTCTTATCACTGAACGGCGCTCTGATTTCTCTGTCCACAGGTATAAACAAGAACATTTTGCATTTTATTTTATGATTCATCTTGTTACAGATATAAGATAATGAGCCTGAAAGAGATGATACATGGATGGAAAAAAAAGAAAATTCAGGGCTGTGAATAATATTCCTGTAGATTCCCAAGTAAAATAAAATAATAAACAAATCTCATATCACTCCGGGTCCAGATCTCGTGATTAAAGTGTTATAGTCCAGAAATCCCATCAATGTTCATTGGAATTACATGTACTAACAACCAGAAAAGAATCCTCTTATCCCCCATTGCTGCCTCTAAAGGGATAAAAGAACAAATCCTAGAAATTATATAGTTTGCTTCACTTTCTTATTTCCTTTTCATGAACTGTCTTATTCCGAAGTTAAAAAAAAACTATGCTTATATATTAATATCTTCCTTTTGCCAGGTGAATATTTCCTAAGCATAATACTTTTCTATTCTACAGAGTACTCAAGCCAAATGCATTGAGAATGAGATGGCTAATAATTCCTTAGCAACATTGGTAAATAAATCTAAAGTTATATTACAGCCTGAAAAATATACCTAAGCTTAAATATACTGTCTTCCATGCTAAATGGGAGGTCAATACCATTCAAGTCAAGAAATTAGCTCAGCAAAATTTTGCTCTTTCTAAAGGGCTAGTAAAACTTAAATTAATCAACATCTGTAATATGAGATTTCACAATAAGGGTTAAGCAAGAACAAACTGAGTTCAAACTTTGTTCTTCTTAAACCTTTTTGAATCTTTAATGACTTGAGGTTTTGCTTTACCTTGGGTCATTTCTGAATATTAATAATAGTCATGAATGGTAGTTATAAGATAACAGGTATTAAACAGATTTTCCACTAATCCCAAAGCAACTCATGAAAGTTGTTTTCTTGAACAAAGCACCAGAAGATACTTCACTGGCATTCTTTTCTCCTGAAAACAGATTATAAGAAAATTGCAACCAACAAAACATTCTGCTAAATTATGGCCTTTGTACTTTAAGAACAAACAAAATGTCCCTAGGTGCAGTCCCATAGCACTAAGGAATTTCTAATAGAGCTATCTTTTGACTCCATTACAACTAGCCCATGAGTTCACAAGTACATCTGTCTCTTGGAATTCAAAATAGAGATGCAGTTGTTAAAAAGAGGGGTGGGCTTTAGAGTCTGCAAAACACTGAAGCTATGGGATGCAGATTCTAGAGAATACTGAAGCTATTTTCTCAAACTACTGTGATCTCTGCTTACTGAGTTAGGGTACAGTAAGTCCCCACTTATCCACGGTTCCACTTTCCATGCTTTCGGTTACCTGTGGAACAGTACAAGATATTTAGAGAGAGACAGAGACCACATTCACATAACTTTCATTACAGTATATTGTTACAATTGTTAGTTATTGTTGGTAATGTCTTACCGTGCCTAATTTTTCTTTTCTTTTTTTTTTTTTTTTTGAGACAGAGTCTTGCTCTGTTGCCCAGGCTGGAGTGCAGTGGTGCAATCTCTGCTCATTGCAACCTCCGCCTCCCAGGTTCAAGCCATCCTCCTGCCTCAGCCTCCCGAGTCGCTGGGATTGTGCCTAACTTATACATTTAACTTTAGCATTGTATGTATGTACAGAAAAAAAAGATACTATATATAAGGCTAGATATTATATGTAGTTGCAGGCATTTACTGGGGGTCTTAGAACATATTTCCCATGGGTAAGGGGGTCTATTTTATGAGGCAACTTGTAATAAACTGAGATGTAGCTTGAGACTATGCGTTATCACAATCATACCCAATAAACCAGGAGCTTATACTTCAAATGTCATACATTTTTCCTTTGCGCCCTGTGTACTTTCCCAGTTTGAGCAACAAAATCTTATCTGAAAAGCTTATTTTCATTCTCAGAGCTGAGTGCATGAGAACAAGCAACTTTAAAATAAGCAGAAGTAATGCAAAATATAAAAATAAATTTAAAAGGAGAGGGGCTATGGAAAGTAAAGTAAACACTAAGGAAAATAATGACCATTTGAACTAGGCTTACTCTTAGGCCCAAATAGCCTACTCCTACCCTCTGACAGATACAGACCAGTCATCCAAGACACATGATCCACGAAGAGTCGGCTTTCCAAAGGTCTTTGTATAGTGGAATCTGCACTGCCTCACTGGTGACACTGTTCAACTTTTCACCTTTGAACACCCAAGAAAGCCAGTGCCAAAAAGAGCCTCTGTGTTCTCTCCTAACACAGCAAACACTACGGCATTCCAAGTCAGCCTTCGAGAGGCTTCTGAGAAACCAAATTGTATCCATTCTCTCCATTCCTCTTTTCTCAGCCCTGGACTGTCAGAGAGTCAGAGTTATAGGAGGAAAACTTGAGCCTTGAAGGACTGAACCATCTTTACCAGCCTCAGGACCTAGTCAGGATCAGAACTGGCCTCTCATTTGAAAAATGAAGAAACCACAGTCTAGAGATGACGTGTCACACGCCCAAGGTCATACCACCAATGGTGGCCCATGTTTGGAGGTAAAATACTATTTGGCCCGACAATGTGTTTTTCCGTTTCCACCCTACTTCCATCCCTCCACCAAGCCAGAGAGCTGGAAGAAAGGCTGACTTATGCATCCTTGTGTTTTGCTTGTTTATTTGTTTAAAATTTTTAAAATAATATATGAGGGTTCAGAAGGAGAATAACCAGGGAGGAAGAGCAGCAGTGTGCAGCATTTTACAATTTCACAGAAGCCACTTCTCCTTGTAGGGTAGTCCAGCTACGAGCTTTCTGCTTCTCCATGTTTCCCAACCATGTTGGCGGCATATCATCTCTCCAGCCTTGAGAGTTACATATGGTGTAAGATCTCACTGTGTAAACTGACAGCAGAACCACTCCAAGTTCTCCCCCATAGAAAGGGACTGGTGGGATCCCCCTGTGTCAGAAAAACAGAAAGAATTTGTATTGCAAATAGCAACTTTTCTATAGGGGGAGAAAGGCTCCATGGTCCTTATTCTAAGCAAGAGGCCCTAACCTTTTGCACACAGACCTCTTTACAGTCAGGTGAAGTCTGTGATGGCTTCTCATAATTGTGTTTTTAAAAGCATAAAACAAAACACATAGGCATACAAAGGAAATGAATCATATTTAAATACTAATATCAAAATATTTTAAAAACAAATCACTGATATATTAATATACTTTTAATTAATGCATTAAATAATAAGATCTAGTTTCAGGTCTAATATCATATTCTTGCAGTATTGTTGAACATAAACAATATCTCATGATATAGGAAACAAATACAATGTGATACAAAAAAATCTGTGATTTCTAGTAATGACTAAGTCACAGTACTGCTAATACTACTATAATTAGTTGCCTATATTCATAGTGAAAGAAAATACTAAATTTCATTAGTGATTCATGAAAATAAAGCCGTAGTCTCTTTTTAATCCAATTACACAGAATTCCTGAGTTCTATCCATGAACCCCAGATGGAGAATCTCCACTCTAAAGAATCATTATAACTTATGAGAGCCGTTTGTCCCACCTAAGAAGTACATACCATGTGCACTTGAGCGTACTCAATTTAACATTTCTTAACATCATTACCTTTAAATTGAAGATTATCCAGGAGCCAGTAAGAATTAGATTACTCTGCCATCACTTTCACTAAACCAATAGCTAATATATTCTCATTAGCTCAATTAGTGCATGAGCATTATTTCCCAGAGCGAGATCATCACACCAGAAAATATTGATTATTCGCATGTATTATAGCAAGTCTTAGGTGCAGGTCTGTCTGTCCCTGCGGCTGTACATGCAGACCAGATATCAGCTGAGAATGTGGTGGTGAAACACTGGTTAAATGAGTGTAGAGATCTCCATTTATCAGAGGGAAGTAAAGAAAGATCCACTGTACAGCAAATGGGGAGTTTGCCTGCCTTCAGTTTATGGAGTTAGACAAAATCACGACACTGACAGAAATTCGATTTAGTCTACAAAATTGGCTTTGTCTTCTATTGTCTTTACTAATGTTCCTATCCCATTCTCTTACTCTTTCTCTAAGCCTCTCTAGGTAATAAATGCATTCCTGACTAAACTCTATCTCTAATCATCCTCTCTATGGCTGCATATTAGTTTCTGTTACTTGATTAAATTATGTCACGAGTAAGGCAGAATACATGCTTTACTTGGCGAAGCACTGAGCACAGTGCTAGGCACATTATAGCAATTTGTATACAAATATTTGCCCATTGATCAGAAGTAAATAAGAAATGTATTAAAATGAGGGAAGTACATTTACTAACTTCTTTGATGACCATTCTTTGTTTTCATGAGTGTTCTGTTCTGAAATAAATAAAGACATCAGAGGGGACTGGCGCTTTGGGATTCATTGGGTGGTAGTTGCTGAGTATAGGTAACATTTTCTTTGGGGCAGGCAGGTTGTATGAGTAAGAATGTTATTTAGCATGGAAGTGATGTGATGGTCCTTGGCAACAGCAACAGCATAACAGCCTAGTTTTCATTTCCTCGCTCATTCATTCATTCTACAAACCCATTGAGGGTTCACTAGGTGAGAAAGAGGAAAGAAACCTGGTGCAGACCTTAAGAAAACTTAAGCTTGGGAAGGTAACAATAATCTGATTGATGGCCTCCTTTTCTTTCCTTTACTGCTACTGAATTTAGGCTTTGAATCACTGAAATCTCTTCCAGTCTTTGGCTCTCATTTCCAATCATTTGCTATTTGTGCAACATAACCTTCTTCTCCAAATCAAACTGCTGCCAAGTGAATCTTAATAAAATAATTATAACACTATTGAATAATAGATAAATAGATAACCCAAATGTTCAACAATAGGGAAATGGCTGAGGAAATAATTGTATTTCCACAAAATATTGTACAACCAATAAAAGCTATATTCATGAAGGGTTTTTAATAATATGGGGCATTGATGTTGTTATATTAAGTACAAAAACAGAAAATAAATTGTATATTCAGTGTGATATCAACCATATAAATACACACACACACACACACACACACACACACAAAGAAACAAAACAAGGCCGGAGAGAAACATACCAATATATTAACCATACTTATGACTATAAGTAATGATAACATTTTTTGTTATATTTTAAGTTCTAGGATACGTTTAAAGAACGTGCAGGTTTGTTACATAGGTATACGTATGCCATGGTGGTTTGCTGCACCCATCAACCCATCATCTACATTAGGTATTTCCCCTAATGCTCTCCCTCCTCAGCTCCCCAGCCCATGGCAGTCCCCAGTGTGTGATGTTCCCCTCCCTGTGTCCATGTGTTCTCATTGTTCAACTCCCACTTATGAGTGAGGACATGTGGTGTTTGGTTTTCTGTTCCTGTGTTAGTTTGCTGAAAATCATGATTTCCAGCTTTATCCATGTCCCTGCAAAGGACATGAATTCATCCTTTTTTATGGCTGCACAGTATCCCATGGTGTATATGTGGGCCACATTTTCTTTATCCAGTCTATCATTGATGGGCATTTGGGTTGGTTCCAAATATTTGCTATTGTTAGTGCTGCAATAAACATACGTATGCATGCGTCTTTATCGTAGAATGACTTATAATCCTTTGGATATATAACCTAGTAAAGGGATTGCTGGGTCAAATGATATTTCTGGTTCTAGATCCTTGAGGAATTGCCAAACTGTCTTACACAATGTTGAACTAATTTACACTCCCATCAACAGTGTAAAAGCATTCCTAGTTCTCCACATCCTCTCCAGCATCTGTTGTGTCCTGACTTTTTAATGATCACCTTTCTAACCAGTATGAGATGGTATCTCATTGCGGTTTTGATTTGCATTTCTCTAATGACCAGTGATGATGAGCTTTTTTTCATATGTTTGTTGGCCACATAAATGTCTTCTTTCGAGAAGTATCTTTTCATATCCTTCACCCACTTTTTGATGGGGTTGTTCATTTTTTCCTTGTAAAGTTGTTTAAGTTCCTTATAGATTCTGGATATTAGCCTTTTGTCAGATGGATAGATTGCAAAACTTTCTCCCATTCTGTAGGTTGCCTGTTCACTCTGATGATAGTTTCTTTTGCTATGCAGAAGCTCTTTAGTTTAATTAGATCCATTTGTCAATTTTGGCTTTTGTTACCATTGCTTTTGGTGTTTTAGTCATGAAGTCTTTGCCCATGCCTATGTCCTGAATGGTATTGCCTAGGTTTTCTTCAAGGGTTCTTATGGTTTTAGGTCTTACATTTAAGTCTTTAATACGCTTTGAGTTAATTTTTGTATAAGGTGTAAGGAAGGGATCCAGTTTCAGTTTTCCGCATATGGCCAGCCAGTTTTCCCAACACCATTTGTTAAATAGGGAATCCTTTCGCCCTTTCTTGTTTTTGTCAGATTTGTCAAAGATCAGATGGTTGTAGACATATGGCATTATGTCTGAGGCCTCTGTTCTGTTCCATTGGTCTGTATATCTTTTTTGGTACCAGTACCATACTGTTTTGGTTACTGCAGCCTTGTAGTATAGCTTGAAGTCAGCTAGCATGATGCCTCCAGCTTTGTTCTTTTTGCTTAGGATTGCCTTGGCTATACAGGCTCTTTTTTGGTTCCATATGAAATTTAAAGTAGTTTTTTCTTATTCTGTGAAGAAAGTCAATGGTAGCTTGATGGGGACAGCATTGAATCTATAAGTTACTTTGGGCAGTATGGCCATTTTCACGATATTGATTCTTCCTATCCATGAGCGTGGAATGTTTTTCCATTTGTTTGTGTCCTCTCTTATTTCCTTGAGCAGTGGTTTGTAGTTCTCCTTCAAGAGGTCCTTCACGTCCCTTGTAAGTTGTATTCCTAGGTATTTTATTCTTTTTGTAGCAATTGTGAGTGGAAGTTCACGCATGATTTGGCTCTCTATTATTGGTGTATAGGAATGCTTGTGATTCTTGCATATTGATTTTGTATCCTGAGACTTTGCTGAAGCCGCTTATCAGCTTAAGAAGATTTTGGGCTGAGACAATGGGGTTTTCTAAATATACAATCATGTCATCTGCAACAGAGACAATTTGACTTCCTCTCTTCCTATTTGAATACCTTTTATTTCTTTATCTTGCTTGATTGCACTGGCCAGAACTTCCAATACTATGTTGAATAGGAGTGGTGAGAGAGGGCGTCCTTGTCTTGTGCCGGTTTTCAAACTTCCAGCTTTTGCCCATTCAGTATGATATTGGATGTGGGTTTGTCAGAAATAGCTCTTATTATTTTCAGATGTGTTCCATCAATACCTAGTTTATTGACAGTTTTTAGCATGAAGCAGTGTTAAATTTTATTGAAGGCCTTTTCTGCATCTATTGAGATAATCATGTGGTTTTCATTGTTGCTTCTGTTTATGTAATGGATTACATTTATTGATTTGCTTATGTTGAACCAGCCTTGCATCACAGGGATGAACCCAACTTGATCATGGTGGATATGATCTACCTTTTTGATGTGCTGCTGGATTCAGCTTGCCAGTATCTTACTGAGGATTTTCACATCAATGTTCACCAGGAATATTGGCCTGAAATTTTCTTTTTTTGTTGTGTCTCTGTCAGGTTTTGGTATCAAGATGATGCTGGACTCCTAAAATGAGTTAGGGAGGAAACCCTCTTTTTCTATTGTTTGGAATAGTTTCAGAAGGAAAGGTACCAGCTCCTCTTTGTATCTCTGGTAGAATTCAGCTGTGAATCCCTCTGGTCCCAGGCTCTTTTTAGTTAGTAGTCTATTAATTACTGCCTCAATTTCAGAACTTGTTATTGGTCTATTCAGGGATTCAGCTTCTTCCTGGTTTAGTCTTGGGAGGGTGTATGTGTCCAGAAATTTATCCATTTCTTCTACATTTTCTACTTTATTTGTGTAGAGGTGTTTATAGTATTCTCTGATGGTAGGTTGTATTTTTGTGGGATCAATGGTGATATCCCCTTTATCATTTTTTATTGTGTCTATTTGATTATTCTCTCTTTTCTTCTTTATTAGTCTAGTCAGTGGTCTATCCATTTTGTTAATCTTTTCAAAAAACCAGCTCCTGGATTCATTGATTATTTGAAGGGTTTTTCATGTCTCTATCTCCTTCAGTTCTGCTCTAATCTTAGTTATTTCTTGTCTCCTGATAGCTTTTAAATTTGTTTGCTCTTGCTTCTCTAGTTCTTTCAATTGTGATGTTAGAGTGTTGATTTTCTATCTTTTCCACTATCTCCTGTGGGCATTTAGTGCTATAAATTTCCTTTAAACACTGCTTTAGATGTGTCCTGGAGATTCTGTTACGTTGTGTCTTTCTTCTCATTGGTTTCAAAGAACTTATACATTTCTGACTTAATTTCATTATTTACCCAGTTATTCAGGAGCAGGTCGGTCAGTTTCCGTGCAGTTGTGTGGTTTTGAGTAAGTTTCTTAACCCTGAGTTCCAATTTGATTGCACTGTGGTCTGAGAGACTGTTATGATTTCCATTCTTTTGCATTTGCTAAACAGTGTTTTACTTCCAATTATATGGTCAGTTTTAGAATAAGTGTGATGTGGTGCTGAGAAGAACGTATATTCTGTTGATTTCGGGTGGAGGGTTCTGTAGATGTCTATTAGGTCCGCTTGTCCAGAGCTGAGTTCAAGTCCTGAGTATCCTTGTTAAATTTCTGTCTCATTGATCTGTCTAATATTGACAGTCAGGTGTTAAAATCTCCCACTATTATTGTGTAAGAGTCGAAGTCTCTTAGTAGGTCTCCAACATCTTGCTTTATGAATCTGGGTACTCCTGTTTTGGGTGCATATATATTTAGGATAGTTAGCTCTTCTTGTTGCATTGATCCCTTTACCATTACATAATGCTCTTCTTTGTCTTTTTTGATCTTTGCTGGTTTAAAGTCTGTTTTATCAGAGACTAGGAT
This sequence comes from Homo sapiens, assembly GCF_000001405.40. Classification (NCBI taxonomy): domain Eukaryota; kingdom Metazoa; phylum Chordata; class Mammalia; order Primates; family Hominidae; genus Homo; species Homo sapiens. Next base: position 147,584,260 of record NC_000002.12, read on the forward strand.
TGCAACCCCTGCTTTTATTGCTTTCCATTTGCTTGGTAAATATTCCTTTATCCTTTTATTTTGAGCCTATGTGTGTTTTTGCACAAGATGGGTTTCCTGAATACAGCACACCATGGGTCTTGACTCTTCATCCAATTTGCCAGTCTGTGTCTTTTAATTTGGGGCATTTAGCCCATTAACATTTAAGGTTAATATTGTTATGTGTGAATTTGATCCTGTCATTATGATGCTAGCTGGTTATTTTGCCCATTAGTTGATGCAGTTTCTTCATAGTGTAAATGGTCTTTTCTTCATAGCATCGATGGTCTTTACAATTTGGTATGTTTTTGCAATGGCTGGTACTGATTTTTCCTTTCCATATTTAGTGCGTCCTTCAGGAGCTCTTGTAAGGCAGACCTTCTGGTGACAAAATCTCTCAGTATTTGCTTGTCTGTAAAGGATTTTCTTTCTCCTTCACTTATGAAGCTTTGTTTGTTTGGATATAAAATTCTGGGTTGAAAATTCTTTTAAGAAAGTTGAATATTGGCTCCTACTCCCTTCTGGCTTGTAGGGGTTCTGCCAAGAGATCTGCTGTTAGTCTGACGGGCTTCCCTTTGTGGGTAATCCGACCTTTCTCTCTGGCTACCCTTAACATTTTTTCCTTCAATTCAACCTTGGTGAATCTGACAATTATATGTCTTGGGGTTGCTCTTCTTGAGGAGTATCTTTGTGGTGTTCTCTGTATTTCCCAAATCTGAATGTTGGCCTGTCTTGCTAGGTTGGAAAGTTCTGGTTAATATCCTGAAGTGTGTTTTCCAGCTTGGTTCCATTCTCCCCATCACTTTCAGGTACACCAATCAAACATAGGTTTGGTCTTTTCACATAGTCCCATATTTCTTGGAGGACTTGTTCATTCCTTTGCATTCTTTTTTCTCTAATCTTGTCTTCGTGCTTTATTTCATTAAGTTGATCTTCAATCTCTGATATCTTTTCTTCCATTTGATCGATTTGGCTATTGATACTTGTGTATGCTTCACGAAGTTCTCATGCTGTGTTTTTCAGCTCCATCAGGTCATTTATGTTCTTCTCTAAACTGCTTATTCTAGTTAGCAATTGGTCTAACCTTTTTTCAAGATTCTTAGCTTCCTTGTGTTGTGTTAGAACATGCTCCTTTAGCTTGAAGGAGTTTGTTATTACCCACCTTCTGAAGCCTACTTCTATCAATTCATCAAACTCATTCTCCATCCAGTTTTGTTCCCTTGCTGGTAAGGAATTGTGATCCTTTGGAGGAGAAGAGGCATTCTGGATTTTGGAATTTTCAGCCTTTTGCACTGGTTTTTCCTCATCTTCGTGGATTTATCTACCTTTGATCTTTGATGTTGGTGACCTTCCGATGGGGTTTCTGTGGATGTCCTTTTTGTTGATGTTGATGCTATTCCTTTCTGTTTGTTAGTTTTCTTTCTAACAGTCAGGCCCCTCTGCTGCAGGTCTGCTGGAGTTTGCTGGTGGCCCACTCCAGACCCTGTTTGCCTGTGTTAACACCAGCAGAGGCTGCAGAACAGCAAAGATTGCTGCCTGTTCATTACTGTGGAAGCTTCATCCCAGAGGGGCACCCGCCAGATGCCAGCCAGAGCTCTCCTGTATAAGGAGTCTATCAACCCCTGCTGGGAGGTGTCTACCAGTCAGGAGGCATGGTGGTCAGGGACCCACTTGAGGAGGCAGTCTGTCCCTTAGAAGAGCTCAAGCACTGTGCTGAGAGATCCACTGCTCTCTTCAGAACCAGCAGGCAGGAACGTTTAAGTCTGCTGATGTTGTGCCCACAGCCACCCCTTCCCCCAGGTGCTTTGTCCCAGGGAGATGGAAGTTTTATCTATAAGCCCGATTAGGGCTGCTGCCTTTCTTTCAGAGATGCCCTGCCCAGAGAGGAGGAATCTAGAGAGGCAGTCTGGCTACAGTGGCTTTGTGGTGCTGCGGTGGGCTCCATCCAGTTCAAATTTCTCCATGGCTTTGTTTACACTGTGAGGGGAAAACCACCTACTCAAGCCTCAGTAATGGTGGACGCCCCTCCCCTCAACAAGCTCAAGCATCCCAGGTCAACTTCAGACTGCTGTGCTGACAGTGAGAATTTCAAGCCAGTAGATCTTAGCTTGCTGGGCTCCACGGGGCTGGGATCCACTGAGCTAGACCACTTGGCTCCCTGGCTTCAACCCCCTTTCCAGGGGAGTGAACGGTTCTGTCTTGCTGGCATTCCAGGTGCCACTGGGGTATTAAAAATACTCCTGCAGCTAGCTGGGTGTCTGCCCAAATGGCCGCCCAGTTTTGTGCTGGAAACCCAGGGCCCTGGTGGTGTAGGCACCTAAGGGAACCTCCTGGACTGTGGGTTGTGAAGACCATGGGAAAAGCATAGTATCTGGGCCAGATAGCTCAGTCCCTCATGGCAGGGTCCCTCATGGCTTCCCTTGGCTAGGGGAGGGAGTTCCCTGACCCCTTGCGCTTCCGGGGTGAGGCAATGCCCCACCCTGCTTTGGCTTGCCCTCCGTGGGCTTCCCCCACTATCTAACCAGTACCAGTGAGATGAACCAGGTACCTCAGTTGGAAATGCAGAAATCACCCACCTTCTGCATTGATCTCACTGGGAGCTACAGATCGGAGCTGTTCCTATTCTGATAAAAACATTCTAAAGTAAAAGTTTATAGAGAAAAATTATGAGAATACATAATTTTTATACATTTTTAAATCCATTATTTCCTGGTATTAACCAAAAAATAATTTGAAAAATGTAAATCTGATTATGTAAATCATAATCCCGGCTCATAATCTTTCAGTGCCTTACTCTGCCTTAGTGATCTGACACCAATTCTCTTAGATACACTAGCCTTCAAAGACCTCTCTGAGCTGATGGTGTTTGCAGCATTTCTTCCTTCTCTCTTCTCACATTCTGATCTGATACCCCCAAGCTGTCCAGCCTCTGAACCTTTGTTCAGGCTGTTACTTCTTCCCAGAACTAGATTAAGGAAAGAGCCAGATGGCAAATACCCCAGCAATGCTTAAAGCTGTAATGAAATGGAACAAACTGTGTTTACTAGGACTCCCTTCAGATACAGGACTGTAGGTGTTAGGAAGGAATAATTTAATAAAGACACTTAGGGATGGGGAATATTGGCAGGGGTAAGTGTGAATAACCACAGATGGTAGGTAGCTACACTGCCTTCCAAGGAGAGTAGGTCCAGGTAACTGCAGGGCTTTTCTCCTGCTAAGTAGGGTATACAAGCTTGAGGCCAGGTCTGAATGACTTCAAGCAATAAAGAAGAGGCTTCTGTTGGGCTTCTCTCTCTCTGCTAAACAAATGCTGAGCAAATGGATTTGATGGCAAAGGCCATCAGTCTGAAGGAACACCAAATCACAAACTGGTCAGAGCACTTACAGCTCTGCCCTGTTTCTTCTGCAATGCTCTCAATTATCTCCTCCTCCAGGGCCTTCTACCACACACCACCATCTGAACATCTCCCTTCTCTGAACTCCTTTAGCTCTTAGTTGATACAGCACTTCTCATTCCACTCTGCCTTAAGACTATCTGAGGATGTGCCTTATCTCCTTCAGTAGATGAAAAACTTCTAGAGGACAAGATTTATTTTTAATTGTACCTCATATACTAGTCAATGTATATTAAATAAATGAATGACTGAATTAATTGGAGAACAAGTAAACTATCTCAGTGCTAAACCAAGAAGACAGAGATTAATGAGTAATAAGAAAAGGTCCTTCAGATACATTACAAAAGGCAACTTACTTGGACCAGTTTGACATAGGGCGGAGTGAGTAAAGGACAGAGGCTTACTGAAGATTCTACCTTGGCCTGGCCATAAACCTAGAGAAATAAAACCCTGAAGTGTCTAGGGCCCTGCTCAGAGCACATTTCAGTGTCATTATCTGTCTGACAGCTGGCTCTAAGCAGTCCTATATCGTTCATGAAAAAATGTCATTGAAATGTGAATAATTTGAAGCTCCTTTGGCATTCCCTAAGTAATTTCACCTAGACAAGCAGCTCTCCCCAGCCTGATGTCACATTGAGTTCTTTGGTTGGAGGTAGGAGTTGAACAAATGCTCAGACCCGCATGCTATATATAGGAGAAGACTGCCTCACACATTCTAATAACAATAACCATCCCTGAACTATTTAGCCATTGCCTGCCATATTTCACACTCCTATTTCCTGACTCATTTGCAAGAGTCAGGCCTCTGCTGTGAATCACCCTCCACTGCTAGCTCAATCCATTATTCCAGAATTAACCTTCAGACTCAGCAGAAAATCCCAAATCCCAGAGTAAGTAATCCCTTACACAGGTAAATTGGACCATCTCCCCTTCAATCCTCTGGGGACACATCTCCCCTGGGATGCTGTTCCCAACCAAGTGCCTGGCCAGCTCCTCACACAGTCTTTCCACAATGACTTCACTGCTCTCTCCAGTCATCACTGCCAAGGCACAAGTTTTTCACTTCCTACACAGTTTCTTTGGTGGGAATTTCACTTGTACAGGATCTGGCTGTCCACATAGACCAGAATTTTCTTAACCCTAGTCAGGTGGTCTTTTTTCCCCCTCCACATCAGAGATCCACAAATAGCATCTTCTTATAAGAATGAACTGCTTATGTATTGTATCATTCATTTTTTACTTTGTAAGGTTCTCACTAAAAGCTCTACTTTAAAAGTAATTCAAAAATGGCAAAAATAAGAATACAACTCAAAGAAGATGCTTCAGTATACATTAGGTTACATGCTGCCCCTTAGTACAATTTAAACATTTTAAGTCCATTTTGTCTGTGACTAATTGACCATTCTAACTTTCACAGTGCTGGTGAAAAATATCCAAATGGATCCTGTTAAACTAGACAGTCAGTATTTCTCAGAAGTCAGTATTTTCAGCTCTTCTAAGTGAAGATTCTGCTACAAAAAATCTTCCTTTTCCAAATACCAGAAGTCAGCCTATTAGGGACCTAATTATGTACTGAGATTTATAGGGGCTCTAAAGAAATCCGTCATCCCTGTGACTCCTCCCCACACAACAGGCTGCCATGGGACCTGAAGCTGCTGGAAACAACAGCTTTACCCCTTTGAGTAAAGGCCATGAGTTTTCTGGCCATCTCCCCAGTGGACAGTTTAATGTCTCTTCCCACATGCTAGACCCAGCAAGTAAAGTGAAGCATGCTGCCTCTTAAGTCATTTCATCCTCTTTTGGACAATTCTAGTTTCTTTTAAAAAGATTCCTTAATATATAATAGTAAAACCAACGTCCAATATCTACCATTTAGAATTTACAACTTTGGCATTTTGTCATTTTATTCATTTTTATAAAAGAAAATAAATGTTATAGATTAAGTTGAAGTCTATTCTCATTAGTTTAGGCCCATCTTCCCCACAGGAATTTGGTGTGATTACTTCAAGGCTATTTCTTAAACTTTTCTATATTTAATTTGAATAATATGAATTTGCTTATATTCAACTATTTTTTGACCTAAGGAATCTAATTTTGGCCAGGCATGATGGCTCATGCCTGTAAGCCCAACATTTGAGAGGCTGAAGCAGGAGGATCACTTAAGGCCAGGAGTTCAAGACCAGCCTGGGCAACATGACAAGACCTTGTCTTCTACTAAAAAAAAAGTTTTTCTAATTAGCCAGGTGTGGTGGTGCACGCCTGTGGCCCCACCTACTCAAGAGGCTGAGATGGGAGGATCGCTTGAGCCTGAGAGGTTAAGGGTGCAGTGAACCATGATCCCACCACTGCACTGCAGCCTAGGTGAAGGAGCAAGACCCTGTCACACACACAAAATAAATTTATGTGGTTCAACCGAACATGTATCAATATATTCTTCAAGTGTTGGCTTTTAAAATATATATAAATTATATCGTACAATACCTATCACTCTGCAATTTTCTGTTTTTACTCAATGTTATGGTTTTAAGGTCTATATATACATTTTGAGAGCAAGTACATTCACAGCTATATGGGACCTATTATATCAAGGTGCCACTTTGTATTGATCCATTATGCAGGGCTTGGTTTGCTTGTTTTGCAATTACAAAAAAAAAAAAAAGGTTAACAGTGTATATTCTTGCCAATTTGTCTTCAAAGCATATGAGTCAGTTAAAAAAAAAAGATCGCCAATGGGCTCTTACCAATGATCATACCACTCAGACTTCACCAACATTAAGTGAGAGTTCTTACTTTTACCTACTCTCACCAAACTTAACACTATCAGATTTTTTAAATATTTTGCCAATGTGAGGGGCAAAAAATTGTTTCTGTCTGGGTTGTTTAAATTTCACTTTTCTGATTACTAGCGTGATTGAGACAGCTCTAGTTTTCAGATAGTACTTCCTTACCTGTGAGCCACAATCTGCAACTTCCACCCATTGATTTCCTATATCAGCAGTTCTCAACCTTTTGTCTTCAGGGAGCCTTTAAAATCTTTACAAATTATTGGGTACCCCAAAGAGCTTTTGTGTATGTGAGTTTTCTCTGTTAATGTGCACTGTATTCAAAATTTTAATTGAGAATTAAACATTTAATTAATGTAAAATGTAATAAATCATTAACATACTTTAAATTAAAATAACCATATTTTTCAAAACAAAAAATTTAATGAGAAGAGTGACATTATTTTGCATCTTTGCAAACTGCCTTAATGTCTGACTTAGTAATAAAAGACAGCTGGAATCTCATACCTGTTTCTGCACTCAATCTGTTGTGGTATATTGAGTGAAATAGGTGAAGAAAATTCAACCTCATACAGATACATTCTTGGAAAAGGAATGAGAATTTTAATAGCCTTTGCAGATAACTGTGGAAATTCTTTGGTACTAGGCAGAACTCAACAAGTGGTAGTGTCTTAAAGGTTAGCTGCAATATGGAATCTGAAACCATATCAAAGAACATTTTACCTTCTGTTACATTAAAATTCACTGGCCTATCTTACACTTTAAATAGATCTTTGGCCCACGAATGATTCTCGGACTGCATACATTGGTCATTTAAAAAATATTAATTCACTGGGGTATCAGATTTTCTAAATACTGATACATTTTACACAATATCAAAAAATCATGTTTGTAATATCGTCATCAATCTAGAAAAGTTTTTAAGGATTGGGAAGCTGGCAAGCTCATGGTGACAGATACAAGTTTTCCAAAATTCTAATCTCCACTTGAAAGCTTGAATTTTATCACTGGTAACAAATGCTCAGTTTTTCCTTAGAGTGACAGGCTCATTTTGTTGTTAATTTTAAAGAAATGTCTACCAAATACCCAAGTCTGCATAACCATAGTCTGTCAGTCATGCATTCAACTTAAAATGCCATCCTATGAAAAAAGCAGCTAGTTCAGCTTGCAATTCAAATAACTGCACACTTGCTTTTCCTCAAAACAATTATATTTGGATAGGCAGCAGAATTACTTTATGCATTCTTCCCATTTTGCCACACAGAATAATAAAGAGATGTGTATTCAAGGTTTGAAATTTCATAAAATTAATAATTCCTACAGCTTCATCAGGGATTCTCAAGAGAAACTGATCATTTATTATATATGGAGGTGAATAATACAACAACAACTAGTACAGTTTGGTGTCACTGCTTTGTTTTCTGCTTTGTTTGTTGCCAGAAGTTTTACCACCACTGCTTTTGCACCATGAGTGCAAATGTCAACACAATAAATAGGCAAATAAAATTGTAATATTATCATGAAAATAGTCTTGACCTCACAGACCCCCAGGAAGAATTCCAGGATGCCCAGTCATCCACAGATCACTTTTTTGAGAATCACCACCTTACTTGCTAGTTTTCAATTATTGCCTCTTAGCTCAAAATTCACCCTTCATTGCCTGCTCTGTGAATAGAGTTGAGCCTTATAAATATATTTCCTTTGCCACCTAGAACGATGTCAAGCTTTGTCAGCAGCAGGTGCTGGAATGACACTGCAGGAAGAAGGGGCCTTCCTCCCTATTTCTGAATCTGGCATGCATGGCTTCTCTAGTGCCCAGATCCTACAGCACATACACCTTCTCCAGCATCTGGCTCCTGTAGTGCATAGAAGCTAGTACCAGTCAGTGACCAGCCATTTCTCCTGGCATCTCCCTTTGGGTAGTTTCACAGCAAAGAGCCTCCAGCAATATACCTTCCTGTGAAAAGCTTTCCCTGGCATCCTAGTGGGTGGAATTCTAACAAGTTCTAGAGAACACAGTTTCAGCAAGTTCCACCAGCACTGCATTACAATTAATTCCCCACTACCCAGGGAACCACGGTCATGCCCTCCAACAAGGTCTGTATCACAGCTGTGGGCAGTCAGGGGGCTCTTCCTTGGGTGCTCTAGCTCAGCCCTAGGGATAGGGCTGCTCTTTTATACCTGCTCTTTCCATACTCTCTCTCTCTTTTTAACTTTTATTTTAGGTTCACAGGTACATATGCAGGTTTCTTTCTTATACAGGTAAACTTGTGTCATGGTGGTTTGTTGTACAGATTATTCCATCATCCAAATACTAAGCCTAGGTCCCAAAGTTATTTTTTCTGATCCTCTCCCTCCTCCCACCCTTCAACCTCAAGTAAGCCATAGCGTCTGTTGTTCCCCTCTATGTTTCCATGTGTTCTCATCATTTAGTTCCCACTTACAAGTGAGAACATGTGGTATTTGGTTTTCTGTTCCCGCATTAGTTTGCTAAGGATAATGGCATCCAGTTCTATCCATGTTCCTGCAAAATATATGATCTTGCTCTTTTTCATGGCTGCATAGTATTCCATTGTACATGTATACCACATTATCTTTATCCAATCTGTCACTGATGGGCATTTACATTGATTCCATGTCTTTGCTATTGTAAATAGTGCTGCAATGAACATTTGTGTGCATGTATCTTTATGGTAGAATAATTTATTATATATTCCACTAGGTATATAGCCAGTAATCGAATTGCTGGGTCTCCATACTCTTTTAAAGTTCTTTTTAGTCTTATTATCCAATGCCTCAAACCTTTAATCTCCTGCTATAGTTAATAATTCCTTATATTCATATTTCTTTGTTCAAATAACTATGTGATTTCTGTCTTCTGATTAGATCATGATTGATATGGACCATATAGAACAAAACTCATTTCTCCCATATCAAAAATATCATCTTTGATACCTATTATCAGAATTTTTCCATCAATAGAAAGAAGCCCTAAACAAGAAGACAGAACAAGTAGGTTTTGGAGAGGAAAATATAAGATATAGACAAATGAAAAGTCCATGGAATGAAGCTTGAAATGAGGAGGATATGAATGAGGACTTAGAATGGAAATGGTTTTAGGAAATTCAGATGGACAATTGGAAGGCCCTGATCAGCCAAAAGAGAAATTAACTGGGTAATCTGTTAAGGTGACCTGTTCTGTATTTACCTTGTGTATTAATTTCCTATTGCTACTGTAGCATCTTAACACAAACTTAGTGGCTTACAACAATATAAATGTATTGTTTGTAACAATGTTATACAAATGTAATAATACACTTGTTATTTATAATGTATTACAATATATTTATTATATAAATGTAACATACCATTTGTTACATTTGTGTTGTTTTAAGCCACTAAGTTTGTGTTAAGATGTTACTTAAAATTCTGCAGGTCAGAAGTTCAAAATGGGTCTCACCAGGCTAAAATCAAGGTATCAGCAGGGCTGCATTTCTTCCTGGAGGCTGTAGGGGAGAGTCCATTTCCCTGTCTTTTTAGCTTCTAGAGGCTGCCTACCTTTCTTGGCTTGTGGTCCTTTCCTCCATCTTCGAAGCCCAAAGTGGAGGGTTACATCCTCATCTCACATCTCTAGGACTGCTCTGCTGCCTCCCTCTTTTGCTTTTAAGAACCCTTGTGATTACTTTGGGCGTGCCCAGATAAAACAAGATAATCTCCCTATTATAAGGCCAGCCGACTGGCAGCCTTGATTCCATCTGCAACCTTAATTACCCTTTCCAGTAAGGTAACAGTTACAGATTCCAAGGATTAGAAAGCAGATACCTTTGAGGGACCATTCTATTGCCTACCACACCTTAGGACAGATTGCTTTGTGGAGTTCACTCAACCAGGATCAAAGAAAGAAATGTTGAAGGGAGATTAATGATAGCCAAGAAATTTACCATTTTTGAAGACTTATAAGCCTTTCTGGCATTGTATTGTGTTGAATTCAAGTGTATCTATGCATAGGATGCCTCTTTTGACTTTCAAAGAGGTTAAAATCTAACATAGAAAAACAAAATGAACCAAATGTTTCTCCAACAGAAGAGAATCTTGTTATTAAAGACAGAGAATATTTTATTCTTCTTTGTTTTTCTGAGCCCAAAACACACTGTCTTGTAGATAGGAGCAAATGCTTGTTTAGTAGAGAGGAGGTAGAGAGAGGGTTGATATACAGAATAATATATTTTATACACACACGCACACACACATTCTGGAAGGCAAAGAAGAGGATGTAAATTAAGACAATATTTAAAAATAAAAGGGAGCTGTGGAAATAGAAAAAAGTTGAATTCCAAGTCCATATTATATTATCTTATTTCAAAGGTCTCTCAAAAATAGCTAAATGAAGTAGGCTTTCTATGTTTCTCTTCTAATTTTAACACAGAGAGAAAATGTATTCTTCTACCTCTTCAAAAATTGCAAAATATCAGCAGAATAAGTTCCAAGGTGATAACTTTCCATTCAGAGGGTAAATTTTTACAGTTACATTAAATTATAGCCCCCTGAGGTTTCAGTAATGGAAATGCCGGCAGACCCTGAAATACAGCAGCCGCACCCAGAGACTCCCACCCTTTCTCTCTCACCCTCTCCCACCTGCCCCATCACTACTCTCATTTCTACCACTGAGAGAACTGAGCTATTTTTTTTTACCAGCTTTTGATTCTGCACTCAAAGTAAACCCTGCCTTATATCAGGAAAATGTATGAAAATATTATTACATATTTGTCAAAAGCCATGGTATCTTTGGCTGACATATCTGTCCTGTTGCCTAACATTGCCTACTTTGTGTGACTCCAGACACTCCCAATTAGGGATTCAAAGGGCAAAAACAGAAGAATGACTGCCAACGCTTTATTACTGAGTCCCTTGCTAGCTGTGTAAGAGGCTCTGAAAGTTGACAGGGGTGGTGGGGCGGGACACAGTTGGGAGGTGTCATGGGACACATTGCCTCTGACTGTTGCCAGAGCTTCCTTTCTCTTTGGAGAGCTCTATGATTGTTACGGTCTCCCGGGATCACCCTCTAGGCTTACATCCTGCTGTTTTTGGAGGATTTTTAAGGCAGTGAGTAATTTTTGTGAATTTATCCTAGGTACAGGGATCTAGGAGAGGATGAATGTGCTCCTGTGTTATTGCTCACCTGGCAAGATTACAGCTGTCTACAGTTCTGCTAAGTGTCATCATTGGGGTTGTGCACAGAAGCAGGTGAGCACTTAGGGGTTAATATTGTGCATTGGCAGTTCTGAATGCAGGCCTCAGACGGCATTGCAAAACCTAAGGGCAGGATTTTTTAATTGCCTATTGTCTTCAAAATCTCCATATCTCATGCTGGGAACCTTATGAAAGATGCAGCATATACCTCTTTTGATACTGCCTTACTGCCTTTCAGCAGCTTTTCCCCCCAGGTACCCCTGCCTGGGACTGTCCACACCAGCAGCCTCACAACTTCCATCCTTCCTTCCAATCTTCTCCATTCAAAATGCATCCACCTGTGTCCCATGCCTTCAAAGCTCTATTTCCAGATAAAACTTTGCTTTAACAGATGCTTTCTGGAAAAAAATAAATAAATAACCTTAAGACAATGAAAATGAAATGAACAAAATTTCAAATCTGAGAAGGGACATGGGTTTGGTATCCCTCAAATCAAACCATATAATTTATTAGTAGGGTGGGTGTACATGATTTTTCCCTTCTATGTTTCTCATTTATTAAATAAATATTTATTAGCCAGCATTAATAGTGAAGCACAGCTGAAGATGTGGAGATGACAGAGAGTTGCTGCCTTTACGGAATTTACAATATAGTAGATAAGAAACAGACATAAATAAATGTAACACTAGGCACAAATACATAAACCGAGTATTGCAGGACTCCTAACACTACTGCCTCCCAAAAAATGGGGTGTCTGCATATATTTAGAGCTAAATTCTGACACTATATATATATATATATACAGTTATGATTATACTTTTTTCAGTTATACACACGAGCCTCACTAAACCTCGCCAGCCTTAACTCTTTTCTGTTTATGATTTAGTGGAAGTAACAGCAAATGGAAGAAAAAGTAACCTGATGAGAGAAGAAAAGCAATTACACAGCTTATAAAAATACCAAGGATGACTTTTTTTCCTTCCTAGCTGTCACTGATTTCAAAAACAAAAAGAAAATTTATAACCTGAAAAAGAAAGCACAGAAGTAGGTGCTGATTTGATTTTGTAGCAGATTAGGAACACTGTTAAATGCACTGCAGTCCTTTATACTTAGAGTAGCATGGGCAGGGAAGGACATCAGATGATCATTTTCCTAGCTCTGTTTATCTATATGTTGCTAGGAGAAAATTTAAAATATTCATCAAAAGTGCATTTGGAAATATTACTGGTACTGGTAAAGGAATAGCATCCCAGGCTTCTGTATATTTCATTGTCACCATTTCAGAAATCTCACCTGCCTGGCAGATTGCTTTGCTTAAAGTGGAAAAAAAATAGTGGTATCTATTTTAAGCATCATGATTCTTAATTTCTTAATCTTCTGTTCTTGAGTTCTATAATAAATCCTTTCAAAGTTGTACATATGCATTAAGAAGCACACAAAAGTCACCTTTTCTTTTCTCCTCAAAACATGAAAGCTTTTTTATTCTGTTTAAAAAGGCTCTTAAAACAAGTTCTCTAAGCCAACTTTCTAATCCACGCATCATGTAACACTAGGACCCAGTTTTTCTGGATGCAGAAACTGTTGTATCTGGTAAAGTTATTTCACCCCTTGTCATCCCATGGAAAATTAGTGCTAGGGTTTGAATGTTTGTGTTACCCCAAAATTCATAGGTTGAAATTTTAATCCCCAAAGTGATGATATCAGGAGGTGGGGACTTTGGGATTGATTAGAGCCCTCCTGAATGCCATGATGAAAGAGACCCACAGAGACTTCTCACCATTTCCACCATGTGAAGACACAGTGAAAAGGCACCATCTGTGAACCAAGAAGTGGTCCCTCACCACATACTGAATCTGCTGGCGCCTTGATCTTGGACTTCCCAGCCTCTAGAACTGAGAGGAATAAATCTCTCTTGCTTATAAGCCACCTGGATTATGGTTTTTTGTTATAGCAGCCGAAATGGACTAAGACTAGTAGCTTCAAGCAGGGCCAGTTCTAGGAAAACGAAAGGGGAATGTTGTGTTCAGGGGCTCTCTCTCTTTCTCTCTCTCTCTCTCTCTCTCGCTTAAACACAGCTCAGTTTTCACCAAATCCCCTAAATAGTAGTTAATAGTAACTAGTAAGAACTAATTAGGAAGTACCTTAAGACTGATAAATATTTCAAGATATATTCCAGAGACATCCCTAATCCATAGGCTCCTTTACATGCCCAAACCAAAGGATGCCAGCCATGGCCCCAGAAGGTTCTGAGACGGAGGTGTTTGTCCCAAGTTATTCATCAGGATATGAAAGTTAACCCTCTGGATCTCTAAATTTTATATATATATATATATATATATATATATATATATATATATATGTGTGTGTGTGTGTATATATATATATATGTATATATATATATGTATGTGTGTGTGTGTGTGTGTGTGTGTGTATATATATATATATATATATATATATATATATATATATGTATATGTATATATCTCCCCTCACCTCTCTTTCTGGAATGAATTAATAGGTGAATGAATGAATGAATGAGAAAATAAGAAAAGCTTGAGCTGTTTTGCTCAAGTACTGCATCTTCTATACATTCTTCCCTAACTAGTGGTCTCTCCTGCCTCTTAACAACTGCGTATTGATTTTATCTTGCTTTGTGAGAGGTCTTGGGTAATTAGAACATCTCATATAACCCTGCCCTTTATCCACTCAAGGATATTTTCAAGCTGCCTCTCTACACTAGGTTTCTCTAGCACTGCTGACATAACTTGGTGACCTCAACATTCACACAATGATTCTTTCAACATTCTCATTCCTCACTGACAAACTCCAATCATTTCCCCGGGCCATTTTCAGTCATATATAAGTCCTGCTGCAGGACCTCTCAGTTTCCAAACTCACCATTCTAATGGTGTTTGCCCCCCATCTGATACCAACCTTTTCCATCTCCCAATCTCCTAGCCCATCAGCTTCATTTATCTCTACATCCAACCCCAAGGTCAACAAGGTCAAGCATTGCAACTTGATTCTTGCCAGCACTGTGGGATTCCTCAAAATGTTTCTCTTTTTCACCTATGTAACTCATGTTGCCAACTCCTGTAAAGTGGGTCATGCCACTCTGTTCCTGCCCTAGACCTGCTGACCCTGGCAAGCAAAACCAGAAGCCAGGGGTCTGGCTCCTCTATAAATGCACACCTGAGTCCCACCAAGAAAGGACACTGACTTGCCTCCTGCCCTGGACAGATATAAAATGCCCTGAAATGTTGTGCTGCCATGGTGGGCCCTGGAAAAGTCTCAGGTTATTCCAGCTCCCTCAGCCTTTTCGCACCCTCTCCTTCAATGCTGGCATTTCCTGAGGGTTACAGCTTTCACTTCCTCTGCCCTGGAATATCAGCAGGGACTTTTTCTGCAGAAGCCTGGAGGGACAAGAGAGCACAAAAGTGTGAGCACATTCCTCAAATGGCTTCCTAAGATAAGGGACAGGGCTGAGTGCAGACACCCCACAGGAAGACTCTTGAGCTTCAGATCCTGGATCTACTGCTTCTTTGCCATGTGACATGGAGCAATTAAATACACTTCTCTGTGCCTCAATTTTCTCGTGTGGAAAATGGAACAGGTAATAATACCTAACTCATTGTGTTGCTGTGAGGATAAAAGAAAGTTAACACTTGTAAGCTGTAGAGAGTGCCCATTGAAAGTGCTCAGTAAATGTTATTTTTAGCTCACAGAAAGCTTATTTTATTGCATGGACCTTCAGTAAAAGCTGTGTCCCCGTCAGTGAGCATCCTTGTCCACCTCTACTCACCTTACCCTCTCCTCCAGGATTCTCAGTTACACATTTAAATGCCCCCCATGCAAGAGGATGTTCTCCATACTCTGCTCCCAAAGGGCAGACACTCTCAGGTTTTACCTATTTTATCTTTTATCCTGTGGGTTACCTTGGTAAGTCTTAGGACCACTGCTAAATGGAAGGCAAGAGCTTACCTTAGACTCTCTCATCCTCTAAAGGGCTATGACCACTGTGCTCAGTAAATACTTTTTTATCAGAGTTTGACTTGATCTTTGTATTCAAATTAATAAAATTTCCTTAAGTGGCCTGAGATATTCATCCCTCGTACCTAAAGAAGCCCAGTAAATCACCCATAAGCCCCAGCAGACCCAAACTCGAAGAGTTTGTTCTTCCAGGTCTCAGGATTCGTCAGAGTTTGTTTCCAAGCCTGGACACACAAGTGTCCCTCCACTTCTAAGAGGAGATCTAATGTTCTCTCACTTGCCTTCCTTCAAACTTTGGGGAGATTAACACTGGAGGCTTGTTTCAATAGAAGATCCCTGGGCCTGCATCCCAGAGATGATAATTTGGCAGGTTTGGAGTGAAGATCAGGTGTCTAAATGGTATCAAGTCTCCAGGTGATGCTGATGAAGGTGACGACCTTTTGGAAGACAGAGGAATGGGTGTTATCCTTGAGTGCTTTTTTCCAAAACCTAGCACAATGTCTGGCACATGCTTGCTGGTCTGACCCCAAAGTAGCCACTACTATCTAGGGACAAACCAGTATGGAATTGAATTAAAGTTAGGGCATTAGACATGACACCGGAAATCCCACTGATCCCATGCTTTATCTGCACCGTTCTTTTCCCTGCTCAGAGCCATTCTCAGCCTCACTTTGCACCTTGTTGACAACTATCTGGCTGGTTCTGGGAGCATCCGGCTCTCTTACATCACCATCTTGGCCCCTGCAGTTATACATGGGCACGTGGTTCTGTGTTCCACCATCCGTACCAGCCTCAAAAATAAGCTCAGGTGACTAGAGACTACAAGCAATCTGGAGGAAAGTGAAGAAACTTGGGCCAAATTCCAAGAGGAAACCAAGCCAAGAGTGTTCAGCCCTCCTCTCTGTTTCCCCTTGGCTTTACAGGAACTGGTGGCTTCGGGAAAATTGAGGCTGTGGCTGCCGGCATTTGTACTTGTTGTCTGATGGGGAATAAGAGGATGATTAGGTGGGCAGGGAGTGAAGCCAATGCAAATGTTGTGGGCTGAAAAAAAAATGCTGAGGAGTTTTGAAATCTTTTTTGAATCTGACACGGCTCAGTCCCATTGCATCCTGACTGCTGCCCACCCCCATCCCTTACATACCCTAGCTCCATCCAGAAAGCAAAGCAGAGACAAGGAGAGCAGCTTCCCAGAAAATGGAGCGCCTGGGGTGGCTCAGCATGTGGCACTTGAGTGTTGAATGAAACCAAGCTTGAAGAAACAAGCAATCTGGGTCTGAGTTACAGGTCCTTCACCCATAATGTATTCATTTAGGCTCGGTTGTCTCCTTTGAAAAATGAGGCGATAGGAGGCAGTGGACTAAAAGGGTTTTTGTACTGTAGTATGTCGTCACCTGAGCTTATTTTTAAGGCTGGCACGGGGAGTAGAACACAGAACCATGTGCCCACATGTAACTGCAGGACCAAAATAAACCAACGACCCAAGTTATTTTACCCACTCCTTTCTCAAAGTATACTATCGTAGGAAGCTCACCTATGTGAGCTGCAGAATTCCTGAATCTGTTAAATATGAATAATTTTGATAGCCTCCATTTTACAGATATTGATGAAGAGAAAACTAATAAACAAGAGTAAGCAAGTAAGCACCTAGAAATGGTAAATTATTATAAATGTGTACAATCATCTTGAGAATGATAGTGTTCTGCTGTCTTCTTCATTATTAATGAACTAGACAACCTTATTTAAAACAGACAATAGTGAATAGCAAGAAGATAAATATCACATTTTGCATTCAAGACTTCCTCTCTACAAAGAGAAATTTCATCTTATAAATATCTCATGTTATTTATTCAATTACTTCATTGTACACTGCTCTTTCCCACCTCAATTTATATGGGGATAAGAGCCTAGATTGTTTTTCCTTTGTACTTGAAACTCAGGGTGATTCCTGTATTTTGCACTACATAATCATCTTACCCCATTTTCCTTTGCCTGTGTTAGATTTTAATATTTGAAAATAGGCAATTGCTTACCTTCTAGAGAGGTGGTGATTTACTACTCATATAGCTCAACTCCAAAAGTATGAGACAGCACAGAATTTATGCAGGTTAATGACACTTTTTGCTGTACCAATTTCAGCTAGCCCTACTACTTATTCTCCAGTTCTCAAGAAATAACACAGGGGCACTAGGTTGAAATCCCATCATCACCTAAACTCTGCAAACATTCAGTCTTAGTAAAATGCATTGAACATAACCAGCACTCTTAATTAACATGAGTTAACCTGACTACTTGTCTTAGTTGCTTCGGGCTGCTGTAACAAAATACCTCAGAATGAGCAGCTTACAAACAACAGAACTTTATTGCTCACAGGTCTGGAGGCTGGCCAGTCCAAGATCAAAGTGCCAGCAGATATGGTATCTGGTAAGGGCTTGCTCTCTGCTTCATAGATGACATCTTGTTGCTGGGTGCTAACATGGCAGAAGAGACAAATTCCCTCAGGCCTCCTTCATGAGGGCACTAGTCCCATTCATGAGCACAGAGCCCTCATGACCTAATCACTTCCCAAATGACCTATCTCTTCATACCATCACCTTGGGGGTTAGATTTGAACATATGAATTCTGGGAGGGGGGACACAAACATTTAACTCACAGTACCACTTGAAGCAGATTCTAGATGAGGTGAGGGCATAATATCTTGTACTTAAACTGTACTTCCTACTTTAAGAAATGCTTAAACATATCTCATTTGCCCTCCACATTAATTTAGCTATTAGCCCATTTTACAGATTAGATGCTAAACAAAGGCAAGAGGTCATTTGACTGCTTTGCAGAAAAGCATAAAACCATCCCATATGAGAAGTGGGAGATATTTGTAGCCCCCTCACTTCAAGTACTGTTAATAGAGATAAGGCAAAGCAGAATACACAGAGTGCTGGAAGCCAACATATCTGAATCCAAGTTCTGCTTCTGCCACTTATTAGCTGTGTAGCCTTGGGCATTTCACCCACAAATACTGAGCTAATAATAAGCTACCTCTCTGGGTTGCTGTGATGGTTAAATAAAATAAGTCAAGGAACAGGCCTTGCTTTGATGCCTGTCACCCAGTAACCACTCAAAAAAGAATGCTTTATAACCAAAGTACACAGTGCCACCTGTTCTTCCTAATTAACGCCCCTCATAAACACACCCAAACGAAATATCAAACCACGTAAAATTCTATCCATGTCCCTAGGAAGATATAAAAAACATGCCACCTTATAATCAGTAACACTGTTCCTATATCTCTTGTAATAATTAGGTCTTTCTTCCAAGCTTACAGAACCAGATATTACTTAGACCAGACACAAACAGTATCTCCTCCTATGGCAATTTCTTTTTTTTTTTTTTTTTTTTTGAGACGGAGTTTCGCTGTGTCGCCCAGGCTGGAGTGCAGTGGCGTGATCTTGACTCACTGCAAGCTCTGCCTCCCGGGTTCACGCCATTCTCCTGCCTCAGCCTCCCGTGTAGCTGGGACTACAGGCGCGCGCCACCATGCCCGGCTAATTTTTGTATTTTTAGTAGAGACGGGGTTTCACCGTGTTAGCCAGGATGGTCTCGATCTCCTGACCTCGTGATCCGCCCGTCTTGGCCTCCCAAAGTGCTGGGATTACAGGCGTGAGCCACCGCGCCCGGCTGGCAATTTCTTTTACTATCTTTGACCTACACAGACAGACTTCCTTATTCCTCTTTACCCTTGATTAATGGCATATTTCACAGGTGATTTACAAGCTTGTAACTCATGATGTCCTAAGAAGCCTGACGGAACCATAATCTTTGGTTTATCCATCCATCACATTTTAGTAACCTAACCTGAGAAACAGGTATCATTCTTTGTCCAAAGGAATTGCTTCATGCTCTCAGGCAGTCCATGTTCCAGGATTCTTTCCTCCCTTCCTGTCCCAGCACAGACACCAAGAAAATGGGATTCCTTCAGGGAGGGCTTGGATGGAATCCAATTCAAAGACATATAATTGGCAGTTTTTTCATTTTTCAAAGTCCTTTACAATAGTCATGATGTTACAGTCAGACTTGCTTTGATTCACACAAAGCATTGCCTCACCTCCAAGACTGTTGCTAGGATATAGGGGATATCACAACTCCTGAATACATGGGCGGAAGGAAAAGATTTTCCTCCTCCTTACAAATGCCATTCCAATTCTTGCTCTGCTTTTCTTCAAGGCCAAACTGAGAACAAAAGAATGGGGTTACCAGTATGAAGTATTCAACATAAAAGTCAGAAACCAGAGGCACCAGTGCCTGACTGGGAATGGGGATGGGGAGGTCCTGTGGGAGAGAAAGTTTTGCTTGTAACAGTTGTGAGGTGATCACTATGTGGACCAGATCCAGAGCCGGAAGGGTGACTGTGTGCCTGTGTGCACGTCCACCTGCATGAGCACGTGCATTGCAGGGAGGAGAGGGTATTACAAATCAACAAGACTGAAACACCCCATTCTTCTCTGTCTAAAGTCAATAAGTCAGGGAAGGGAGCTCTAGAATCTATTAAGCTTTGAGCAGCTTGAGGCCCTATTAATATGTAAATATGGGATCTGGAAAGGCTAGCATATTAAAGGGTTATCCACTGTGGTAGGTTTTCAATACATCCACAAAGTTTTCGATACTCCCCCCTTCAAAAGGTGGAGCCCAATTCCTCTTTTCTTAAGTGTGGATTGTATTTAGTGACTCACTTCTAGCTGAAAAAAAAAAGTGGGGGGAAGGTGGGTAGACCATGTAACAAACCTGCATATGTACCTTCTGAACCTAAAACTTAAAAATAATAAATTTTAAAACAAATAAATAAAAAAGAAAAATAACAAAATTACAGATCAACATGAATAAATGTAAGTATAGCTTTCTTTTTTATCTTAATCACTGTACATGCTGTTCCTAGATTAATCATAGAAAAGCTTCTACTTAAAGCCACTTTCCTGCACTTGGCCAATTTTAAATAGGCCAGGATTCTACAGAAAGTCTTTATAATTATATTATTTTTAAAGAAAACAGAATGATTTGAAGTAAAATATTGGGGACTGGTAAAAGGGGCGTATTTTTAAGGGTGCATGCAAATCCCAATCACTTATTTTTACCCTTGTAGTTTTGGAGCAGATTGTTTTTGCATCTGTGTAGAAAGTGCTACTAAATTTTCTTGCTTGGATTGTATAATTTCTATTTAGAAACTCAAACCACTGATATTAGCTACATTATGTTTCTCTGTATTCCAAAAGGAAAGTTACAATATAGTGAAATATAAAAGATTGTTTTGGGGAAAAAAAAAAGAATGTGGTAGAGTGACAGCAACACTGTCATGAGATTAGGACACAAAAGGCTGAGTGGCTCCCATCTTATTTCTCTTTCATATCAGCCATTCTAGGGAGAGCCATGCCATCGGGATACTCAAGCAGCCCCATGGGGCCACTTACAAGGAAAGGAACTGAGGTGTCCTGACAGCAGTAGCCCACCAGGAACTGAGGACTCCAGCCAACAGCCACATGAGTGAGCCATCTTAGAAGCTGATCCCCCAGCTGCTGCCAAGGGCTCAAGGATGACTGAAGCCCCAGCCAATATCTCGAAAGACCCATGTCAGAGCCATTTGACTAAACTCCTCCCAAATTCCTGACCCAAATAAACTACAAAGTAACAAATACTTGCTGCTTTAAGCAAAGCAACTCAGTATTGGGTTAATTTGTTTTGCAGCAGTAGAATCTAATACATCCATTTTTCTCCAGCAACGTATTAGTTCAGATTAGCTAACCACACAGGCACCAAAGAAATTAGGCCTAGGACTAAGGTGTTTTAAAGAGAGAAGGAGAGTCAGATATTTTTTATATCCTTTTCTTATTAATGTATGCTGACAGAGAAGACAAGCTGGGGTAGAGCACAGTGGGAAATCTATGACACCAGAGCCAGCAGGCCCAAGAGGAGATAGGAGGGATCCAGAGAGGAACTGTGACCTTTTCCCAATGTTACCGAGAACTTGTGTCTTGGTCATCACAGGTCTGGACCTACCTTCTGCTTCCCAATGATGAGAGTGACCTACACCCAATGGAGCAAGACGACAAGTACAGAAAACCAGAAGCAGGAAGACCAATCACGGACAAGAAGGCCTGAATATCTCCAGTTTGACTACCCTAAGATGGAATAACTGACAGTTCAAAGTGTCCCAATATTTTATAAAGACCAGCCTGTGCCATGCACCACATGGGTTTACATTACCAGGCCAGTGACTGTGAACATAACAAGGTTCCTACAGCAACAGTTCCTAGACCTAGCTATACATTAACACGTGAGAAGCTTTGGGGAAGTGCCTCATCTCAGAACCTATGGAATCAGAATCTCTGGAAGTGGGCCCAGGGCTACAACTGAGAAGCTTCTCAGAGTCAGAAAGCATCAGAAAATGTTGGATCAGTGGTTTTGGTCACATGGTTGCCTCACTGGCCCCAGATTTCCCATCTACAAGAAGAAATAAAAACAACTTCCCCACAATAAGTTAGATACTGCCAGAACACCCTGAGCTCATCTGAAGAAAGTTACCACCCAAATACAGGGTTTGTTGTTGATGTTATTCTGCTCAAGGAACACAGTTGCTTGTAGACCACTTTGAGTTGCTACAGAAGCCTACTTTCCTTTGGAAATAAACCTTTGAAGCTGTTCAGTATCCACCTGCAGTGAAAAACATGCAAAATGGGGCTTCTTCCAAGGACATTTACTCTGAAAGTGGCCTTCAAGGCAACTGGGTTTTGAAGTGTGTGTGTGTGTGTGTGTGTGCGCGCGTATGTGTGCATGGTAGAGAGTCAGTCTCATATCCATGGCTTGCTGTTTTTTGGCATTTGTGCGCATTATCCTAGGAACTGGCCTGACATTCTCTGGTAGCACAGGCTCCTATCACAGAAGCTCACCCACAAATTATAGCCCTGAGAAGCCACTAGTAGCATCTAAATGTTTCCCAAAACACAGAAAGGAAATACACGAATATGTTGATTATGGATATTGCTGGATAGTGGGATTTCAGGTAATTCAATGCTTTTCTTTTTATAGTTTTATGTTGTTTACATTCTTTTACAATGGTCATACATTATGTATAATCAGAAAATAATGTGTTGGGGTTTTGTTACTACAAGTGGGAGGAGGTAGCAGGAGGAGATAGGTAGTATCAGAACCCAGACAGAGTAGCATGAAGAAAGCTGGATCTAACAAGCTTGTGAGGGCGGGGTGTGGGGGCACAATGGCAGAGCCTGTTTGGGAGTTAGAGACACTGCTGGAGATGCTACCTGATGCAGAGAGTTGGCAGAGTAGCCAGTATCTCCCCTCCTCCCTCTATGCAATTTCCTGCCTGTGCATCTCTATGGCTGACCCTGACTATGCAGGGCAGAGGCTGAGAACAAGGAATCAGTCTGAGAGCAAACAGAGAAATGACTGGCACCATCACTTTTCATAATTATTTTCCATCTTATCTTTTGATGTTTGGGAGCATGGGGAGAGATAAGCCCACACTCTCCTACAGCACTCCTGGCACCATGACACCAAAAAGAGAATGCATTTTTAAAGCACTGTGAAAAGCACCTAGCTAGATTGCATAAGTTCATTTTTTTTAAGGAAAGGCCCTAAGGCACCAAAACCAGAGTGGGAGGAAGGAATACAATTCACAAAATGAACTGTATCGCTCATTGGAAATGTCTTCTACACAGGTTTAGATATTTAGGCCTATTCATAAAATTTATAAACAGATGGATAAGGTTTCATCACTTATTTGCAAGAGGCAGAAAATAGTTTTTCTAGGCTAGGTTTTCTAGGTAAGTCAAAACAAGGCTAGGTTTTCTAGGTAAGTCACCCCTTTCCTCATCTTCTTTGTTCTATGTGTAACCAGGCACAGCTCTGAACCATGGTGACTCCATTGCAACAGCAACAACAATAATAATCCACTTGAAAATGAGAGAAACAAATACTCACCAAACCACCTAAGAATGTGCAGACTTTTTGTGGTTATACTAGTTCTGGAAGACAAGCATCATCTACTCCTCCAGTACCTAGTCATGCACTTCACGTTTTAAACAACATCAGATTCGATCGTGGTTTATGGAATATCCTGTAAGTATGGGTTAACTAGGTTTCCGTTTTAATTCTCTTTATACACACCTCCCATTCATTTATTAGAATATTTAAAACTGCAGTCTTTGCTAAAAGCCAGTCCACAAACACAATAAAAATTTTCATTAAAATATTTAAAACCCAGAACAGCAGCAATAACATCAAAACTAAATGCTAGCAGCCTGCAACGGCAAATCTCAAGTGGCCTTTCCACTATGTGGCCCTGTTAAAAGAGCCAGCGTTTCACACTTTGTCCTAAAAGCTATGAAGCCCAGATTTTTGAAGGCCAGGGAAGGTAAGCAGAGCCCTTCATGCCCTTCCCTCTTTCTCTTTATAATGAACAGTTAGATGATTGTTAGATTAGATGGATGGATGGATGGATGGATGCATGGATAGATAGATAGATAGATAGATAGATAGATAGATAGATAGATAGATAGACAGACAGACAGACAGACAGACAGACAGACAGACAGAATTACTGCATGGAGTCGAGCCAGCTATAAATGTGCTTAGCAAACTACAACACCCTAACTATGAATGACTGAAAAGGATCAGGAACTGTTGCTACCCCCAGGAAGGGCAGAGGATCAATTTACGACCAGCAGATAGAGGCACTTATATACCCTGCCATCTAGCAAACCCATAAAAATAAGAAATAAGTGACTACTATGCACCAGACATAATTACATTTCCCAAACAGAACCCAGGAAACAACCCAAAAAATGGTGTGATGTACAGACCAGAATATCTGAAATGAGGACTGCCCTGGAAACATCGGCCTTGAGGTTTATGGGACAGGCCCAGGGAACCGCCAGGGCATGAATGTGTGGCTTTCTTCCAGGATTCTGTCTGTAAGACCTACCCACATAGGCCCTTTTTCAGAAAGTTCTGGAATTGTCTGAAATCCCTTTAAGAGGGGCAGAGTTCCACAACTGGCAAAAAAAAAAAAAAAAAAAAAAAAAACCTCAAATTGCAAACACACCTGGGAAAGGTAATGTTACCTTGATTTCACACAAGTTCTAAATGGCTGCTTTCTTGAAAGTGGTTTCAGTGTAAGGGTGAGGATTGAGTGATAACAGGGAGGAGATACAAGACAACAATCTTGTGTACCTGAGAAGTTGTCCTGTGGAAGAAGAAAATAAGGTCAAAAAGGAACACCTGAAATAACCTCAGTTATGCCAGTTTAGCCCAGGGAAGAACTTCTGTAGCTCATTTTTACACCCCCCTACACACAACAAATACATCATAGCACCTGTCTCAAAAACCTCACTCCAGCTTGGCTTAGGCTCATGGTCACTCCCCCAGATGGAGGTCAGAGCATGGAGGTCAGAGCAGACTCTGGAGCATGGTGCCATGAGCTCGCCTCAGTAGCAGCAAGCTGCCTGTTCTGCAGCCAGGAAGAGAGTATCACCAACATGAAATGCAGAAGGCTGCAGAGGGAAGGGGTCACATTCTGAGGAAAAGAATGAGAAACTCACATTCCTTTAGAATATGTTAGTTTTTTGTTTTTGTTTTTTTTTAAGATCTTGTTTCCTGTTTGTTTTGGGGGTCTGGTGATTCCAGCTCTACAATGCACTTGTTAGCTGTTTTGTAATAGAGTCCCTATTTTCTCATAATAACCAAATATTATTTAATACTACCAGCAATCCTGGAAGGCAAATACTATCATTGCATATTAGAGATAGGGGGACTGAGGTTTAGCAAAGTTACAGGGCTTGCCCAAGGTAACAAAGCTAATGGCGGGTACTAGAACTGCAGTCCAGGTCTGCCTCCTCTTTTGAAACTCTGAGTCCCTGAGAGCAACACTATCAGGATATAAATCTATCCATATTTCAACATACTTAAAAATAGTTTCCTTATCAACACATATTCTGCAAACAAACATATTAATTCACAGAATGTTTTTACGTTGTTTTACGTAGTTTCTCTCCCTCTGCTCTTGTTGGATAACTTTCTTTCACTTTCTCTCCCTCCCTACCACTTTGTACACTCACTCCCTTCTCTTCACCCTCCACCCTTTTCTTTCCCACCTCTCCCTGATATTTCTTCACCCTCTTTGCATTACCGAATGTTCTCAAAGCAAAGATAATTAAGCTAAATTGGTTGAACTTAACAAAAACAACTTCGAAACCTTTCTCATGCAGCGGTTCCTCATCTCAACCACAGAACATAGAGGGATCATTTTCCAAATCTTCCCAAAATGGTACGTTGATTGTATTATTCTAAAAGCATACACGAAAGGTTCATTCGTTAAATACAGTGGACACTTAACGCTGCTGAAGATCCCTCAGAAAAATATATTCCCGTACCTAGAAAGTTAGTGAGAAATTTAAAGAAAATTATGGTTTTTACCATTCATAATCATATAATATAGGAGTAGTGAGAAATCAAACTAGTCATAGGTAATTCCAGCAAAAATATAGAAAGTGAAAACAATGGTTAAATTTAGGAATAAACCCAAGTAGTAAGGGAATTCTGTCATTCTCATAAATCAATTTTTTGATATTTACACACACTGCCTGGGCTATTGTTTACTTAATATTTTTCTATAAGTATTTACATTTTTTTCTACCTAAATTTATTATAAAACAAACCTTATATCATTATGAAAAATGGACAACTAGCATGCTTTACACCAAAAACTAAACAATTAAAGACATATCAATACCCAAATAAGGCTATCCCCATTAAATAATCAGAAAAAAAAAATGTAGAGAGAATTGGAAAATGAATAACTTTCTATGTGATGGGTCCCAGCCCCACCTAAAATCATCTTGACCATCACCAAAGCTACTCCTATCCCTGTGGGAAACCCTACATTTAAAAAAAATCAGTCAACAAATGTTTACTGAGCCCAGGAATGTTCATTGCACTGTACTTGGAATTACAAAGTCTCTTTGAATGAAGAGCTGATATTCTAATTTTAGAAGATCTACTCCACCACAATATGGCAGATGCTCAAAGTCAACTCCATCTGCCTCTTTAAAGGATACATAAAACCTTGCTACATGGAACACATTTCAAGTCCCTAGGACCCCAGAAAAAGAAAGCAGTTGCCTAGACAAAACCCAGCTCCACAATAAACAATCAAGTCTTTGTCAACCAAGTGGTATGATAGGAGAGCCTTAAGCAAGGGCAGAAACAGCCCAGGGTGCACAGATTTAAAGATTACGTTCATACAACTTATCAGTCTCCGATGACATGGATCATTTGCATGATCCTCATTATTAACCAAAATTTCTAAAATCCCATCCCAGTACATTTCTTCTTCATGTTTAAAGACTCTTGTTTTAAGAGCTCCTCTATGAAATGATATCCTAATTGCTATGAAAATAATCAAGCTACCACTTAACACTCTTGTCACAAGATATTTATTTTTAGCCTCTTACCCTTCGCCATGCTGTAGAAACTTCTACTTCCCCAGTCCGTTATTATTCAAAGATTACACAAATTAGAGAAAAACAAGAAAATGCCCATAAATAAAAAAGTAAAATTTACTCACTCTCCTCACAATTATTCCTATAATAACCAGAAACACAAACACAGGGATCATTATATTTCAGCAACTGTCACGGGGACAAAGTAATACCAGACAGCTGCATATGATTTTTTTTAATGTTTTCATTTGTTAAAATATTTTAAACATTGTTTGGATCCTTATACCAGCTGGCCAGAAATGGATTTCAGTTCACTTTATGTTACAGCTTCTCTAAGGCCACAGAGCCTCAGACTTTTTGAAGTCCCCACATTTAACAGGGTGCACATGTGTAAATAAGGAAAGCCAGCTTACAGCTTGGAGATTTGTAGGCCTGGATCTCACTCCCACAATGGCTGAAAAATTCCCAACTTGATTAACTTTCAGAGCCCATAAAGTACTTTGAGTTCCTCCAAGAAAGACGCTATATAAATACAAAGTATTATTATTAGGTGGCACTGGAATTTATTAACGGTTTAGTTATTCCATCAGTTTCTTGGCATGTAGATTTTGTTCTGGCTTGCACAAATCCACCTGTAGGGGTAAAACAAAATTCAGCTCCATGACTCAAAAAGCCACTCTCTCTGAGACAGTAAAGGAAGCAAAGATGTTCTCATTAGCCCGAAACAGTAACCTTGCAGCCTCATGTCTCAACTACCCATAAGTAAAATCATGCTAAGCCATTCCCAGAGTCAGCCAAACCATGTTATTCTGTTTTGGATGGCACTTTTGATGAGCCATCACAATTACCTTTCATGATATCATCTACCACAAAAATAAATGCATCCAAAATATTCTTACATTTTCTTTATTTTTTTCTCAAGGCAGTGTCTCATTCTATCACCCTGGCTGGAGTACAGTGGCACAATCATGGCCCACCACAGCTCCACCTCAGCTTCCTGAGTAGCTGGGACTACAGGAGCATGCCCATCTAATTTTTGTATTTTTAGTAGAGACTGGTTTTGCCATGTTGCCTAGGCTGGTCTCGAACTCCTGGGCTCAAGTGATCTGTGCGCCTCAGCCTCCCAAAGTGCTGGGATTACAGGTGTGAGCCACCAAGCCCAGCCATATTTTCTTAACTTGTTTTCTCACTCAATAATTTAGCCAAACATCAGTGCTCTCCCTTTTTAAATATACATTTCTGGATATAATGATTTTTATAAGTTTAGTATCAACTATCAAAATTTCACAACTTGTTTGCCAATTATATAAGAAATATATACTGATATACACATGCCATGGTGGTTTGCTGTACCCATCAACCTGTCTTCTACATTAGGCATTTCTCCTAATGCTACATGTATATCTATGTAACAAAGCTGCACGTTCTGCACATGTATTCCAGAACTTAAAGTATAATAAAAAAAGAAATATGTATTGATTCTCTGTAATGATTTAAAGAAAAACTCATGCTATTCTATGGGTAAGTATTTTAGTAGGTTTTAGAGAGGAAGGAATATGGAATATAAAACACATTCAAAGGATTTAGGATTCAACTGAAATTATTAGACATACACACCCTGAAGGATGATTAATGACATAGAGCAGATAGTTGTTTTTTGTGGAGTGAATTATATCAGACATATTAATTACAAATGAATGTCCCAGCAGGAAGTCAGAGGAACAAGTGAAAGTGAGGAATACGTCACCGAAGTCTAGTTAGAGCTAAACTGGTGGCCCAGGTCTATTAAAACCACATGGAGAGCTTTGAAATAATTCTGATGCTTGGATCCCACCCTGGATCAATTAAATTAGAACCTCTGGAAGTGGCGCCCACACATAGTATTTTAAAAAGCTACCTAGGTAATTCTAATATGTAGCCAGGGGTGAAAAACACTGGGCAAGACTTAGAAGGATTCATTAGGAAAGAAATGCAGTACAGACAAGAGTAAAGGGGAGGAGAGGCCCCCCTGTGACTAGGAAGTTGCATTTGGAGAACCGTGAACCAACCCAGGGCGGATGGACGGAGAATTCTGATAAGGTAGCAGTGAAGAGCAGCATGAGGGAGAAGGGCTGGGGCAACCTACTAAGGGCCTTAAAGTCTAGAACCACAGCTTGACTGATCATCTCTTCCTAGGCCACAGCCATTCTAAGCCTAAACTCTTCTCCAGATTATAACGCTTTTTAATATTTCAAAAATTGGTTTTTTAATTTAAAAAAATGGTTTAAAGACATAGTCTCACTCTCGCCCAGGCTGGAGGGCAGTGGCACGATGACGACGTCTTACTGCAACCTTAAACTCCTGGGCTCAAGAAATCCTCCTGCTTCAGCCTCCTGTGTAGCTAGGACTACACCACATCCAGCTAATTTTTAAATTTTTTGTAGAGACAGGGCAGGGTCTTGCTATGTTACCCAGGCTGGTCTCAAACTCCTGGCCTCAAGCAATCCTCCTGTCTCGGCCTCCCAAAGCATTGGGATTACAGGCCTGACCCACCATGCCTGGACTTTAATTTAAAATATTTTAAAACGACCATCATATTTCTAGAAACTTCACTTTTTTTTTTTAGGCTAAATCCCTCTCAGTTCAACCATTCCTAAGACACTCAAGTTTTCTTAAAACCTAAAGCCCAGAAAAACTTGGTTTTGAGAAGTGGTCTCTGCAAGCCTGAGGAGCCCTCCTTCAGCCTTGGTGCTGGACACCTGCCACATAGACGCCTCAATGCCTGAGCACTTTGCATTCAGGTCATATCACTGCACGTATATAGAGCTTTTAGTCAACAAAAGCCTCTAAATTTGGGTGGATGCTGTTTTGTCTTGCTTTGTTTTGATTTGTTTTGCTTTAATAAACTGCATAGTTATTCTATGGATATGCAGTCAAAAAAATTTTTTTTAACTGCAGGACTTTGCATTCAGCCCTGTTCTATTTCAGCATATTTGTTTTGGCCCACTCTCCCAGCCTCCTTCCTTGAAAGTTAATTATGTTTGATTAACATGATCTGAATGTGTCTATTTCCAATTGCCAAAGTGAAGTGTTCATTAGCCCTTCAGTGAGATGCACAAATTACTCCACCAAACAGTAAAAAACCAATTTGGACCCTTGGGAACAATTTAACTCAATTCCAAGACACTTCCCTGGTATTCCTCCTACCTAAACAATTTATGTGAAGGAAAGGCAGTAAGGAATCCATGAGCTAAACAAAGAAATAAGGTATCATGAGCCAGGAGTTTCCTACTGACTTTCCATGACCTTGGATCACTCAAAGGTGATGTGCACTTCCTTCATAGAAGTCTAGAGCCAGAAGGCAATGCAGGCTCTCAACTCTCCCTCTGCCCCTGTGTCTCCACCAACACAGACTGACTTATTTCATTCCAAGATCTCAGACTTTAACCTATTGTTCATTATAAGACTCTTCAAAATTGAATCTATGAGGAAAGTAATTTCTGTTTGGAAGACGGGTGGAGGAAGGCATTGCCTCCAATTAGCATTCCTTTCCAAAGAGCATCTCCACCCTCACCTGGACTTAGCTCCGGTCAGGGTCCCCTTTCCTCCTGTGTAAATCAGAAATTATATTGACCTACTTTCCTCAGCATAGCTAGTAAAAAGTTGTGTGTAGCACTGTCCAGATATAATGTGGCCTATAAACGTTCTGCAAGTGGCATGGGACAGCCATGTATTTCTAAAGCTTAGGAGCCATATGCCTCCAAAGTGTGCATCTTAATTACAACTAAGAGAATTCCATGTGTTTGCAAGTAAGAGAGTCTACTTTTTACTTGGCAGGTTCATTTTTCTTAAATAAATTAGATATTCCAACTTGGGTTCTTTTTGTTCTTGTTATTTTCTACTGTTTTCCTCTGAGAAAGAAAGATGAAAGAAAATACAAAGAGTGGGAGCCTAAGGAATGTCTGAGTTCAGAAATAAACATGAGTCTGAGCTCACATTGATGGTTGATCTTTCTGTGTGTGAACACATATGCATATGAGAGTATGTTCTCCAGTACATCTATCTGGGAGGAATTGACTCGTTCAACTCTTTGAGCAGTGACAGCATATGACAGGGAAGGAGAAAGGGAGCTCTGGACACCCAAACAATGAAGACAAAAGGCTGCTTCACATTTCATCAGGAGGAATTGAGATGGTGGAACTGACGAGTCACGTGGCACCAAGCACTACATGTTCAAATTCCGCAGTTTCTAAAAGTGTTTGGCATGCTTAATTTTTCCCCTTTGCTGATATTAATAATGATAGCACTTAGCATTTCTAAAACACTTTTCATCTTCAAAGTACTATATGAACATTACCTAATTAACTGACATTAACTAATTATAATTAAACTTGCCCTGGGCTCACAAATCAGGAGAACTTTGAGAAGGGAGGGGAAAGGGAGGAGAAAAAAAGAAAAGCTTCCTCACCAGACAGGTTTCCCAAGTTTTCTCAGACTGAATTTTGATTCGAATTATCACAGATTTTTAAGCAATCCTTGAGATAACCTAATGGGCCTCCCCTGCTTCTCAGTGGTTAAATATTGATGAGAATGATGGTAAACGGTCTCCAGAAAAGAAATTTGTCATTCTTATACCAACTTCTATTAATAAAAGAATTTAAGTGCCACTTATAGGGATTTCTCTGAAGCAACATGCTCTAAAATATTGACCCAAAGAAATTTCTTTTCCTAAAGCAACCTCCTCACTTTACACACACACACATACACACACACACACACACACACACACTGTTGAGTGGCGTCGAATCCTGACTTCCAGGCTTTAAGTGCAGTGAGCTCACTGCTTTAACTCATGAGCCTATTTCAGACATTTTAATGCATCTATTAAATTTCCTTTTTATTAACCTTAGCAAAAACTTTCAGTAATATTATATCCCAACATCAAATAAAACATCCTGTTTCCATAATTCCTAGACAGAAGAGCCATATAATCAAATGAGCCTATTTGGATGCTTATGTTCTGTACATTACACTTATCTAAATTTATACTTGAAGGAGAGGGTGGGAAGATAGGGTTTAAGGCTTCTTAAAAGTTCCCTCTTGTTTTCATTCTCGAAATGTCCACATGAAATATGTAGCTATGCTTCACTGGAAGCTGTTGCTAAGACTTTGTTCTAGTCAGTACTTGCTCAGACTTCGTTCTAAAGTATTCGCTTTAGTAACCTGCAAGTTCAGTATGGTATCAAAATATAATAAGTCCTCCTTTATTTAAACTCTTCAAATGGCAGTATTTAGTAGGGTGGCTATGGAAAAGCCTAGCAATATGGCATAATTTCTCTTGGTTTTGGTTTTTGTTTTAATTCATGCTGCTTGCATTGGTAAAATTATTCTATTTCCCTCAATAAACCAGATGTTACAGAAAAATCATTGCAACATGCCTGTATCCCTATAGGTTTGCTTACTTTAAAGGCTTCCAGGCTTGAAAGAATCTTTGCTTCTCTGTGCGTCTTGGAGAGAGACTGATACAGCTGGCTGACAGTGGTTACACTCAGAAGCTGGTTATCGATCAGCTAAGAGGATGATGTGTGTCGTTTATCTCTGCTGAATTTGATCTTTTTATTCTGCCCCTCTAGCCTCTGTGTAATGAGAACCTGTGAGCCAGGGCCATCCACTGAAGTCACTTCCACCTTCTTATTACCCGTGTGTCTCCCTATGAAGACGTACTTCATCTTTCTCCTCTGAAGACTGAGTATCAGAGATAATAGAGGGTATGGGCATCATGAAGGCTGGAAGCAGCATTAAAACATCAACCAATAAGAGGTCAGAGTCTCTCTCCAGAGCTAACATTTTTAGTTTTTCCAATATGATACTTAGGCTTCTGCTTTGCAAAGACACACAGGCATATTTGAGTTCTTTGCTCTCTTAAGAGAACTGGTGTTGCTTTTGGAGTTTTGTGGAGTTTTTTTGTTTTGTTTTTAGCAGCACAATTAATTCAATGCTTAGAAAGTATCCAATATCAAAGAAAAACGGTGTGGATATTACAGAATTCAACATGTCACATTACGAAAAGGATAATCCCTTGGGCAACCCAGTCACAGGTTTCTTTCAGAAATGTGAGACAAATAAATAAAAAGGGCCACAGAATAAATCAAAGGAGGACATAATTTTGAAGAAAGATATTTAAAATCCTCTCCCAGTAAGGCTAATGGCATGTGCCATTTTTATTTGATGGCCTGAAGCAAAGTCACCTAACAACCCATAATGCTCACAGAATTGCGTCTTTATTTTTAGCTTCTGCCTGGGAAGTTATATGGATCCTTAAAGTATCTTATAAAATCTCAGTATACAGTATATACAAATCTGCAAATGCTTGCTCTGCTACCTTAATCCTTTAGAGAAATTTATTCACTACTGATGAAAACCTAATTTCTGAGCCCCACCTATTTGCTGAATCCAAAATCTCTGTTACACTCTTGATAAATGCTCTACATAATTCTAGTTTCAAATGGCATAAAATCTGCCCAAGCAACAAACAGCTTTATACAGTGAGACCTTCCTCAAACATTGTTCTCAGGATAGAAAAAAGGAAATAGTTTGTACACCATGTGTACTAAGCTTGGCAATACATAAAAAGCAACAAAGATTTGGTGTGCAAAGGTAATGCAAACACAATACAAATATTTGGAGGTGAGAACTTGCTGTGCCTAGGCTCAATACGCAGCCTATTACACAATACTTTTAAATTATTTAAATGTATATGCTCAACACTGTAATTCCTGCTGAAAACTCATGAGGCTGTGATATGCAGAATCTCCACCTTCGTTTCTTTGATCTGTTCTACTTGAGAGAGAATGAGGATTCTAATTAGAACTTGAGTTTTTAATACTTTTTCTGAATAAAGGTAAAATAACTTCAAAAGCTGAAACCATTATCTTCGAAAAAAGAAAGGTCTCAAGATCAAGGCTGTTTATTTTGGAGTTTTGAAGCACAGAAGTGTTTCACATGTGAAGGGGTTGGGAATGAAGGAAGGATCATTTAGAAATTTAATTTTTCAGAGGGAACTATCTAAAATATTCAGAATATCTGAATAACATACCTATGCCATATGCCAAGATCATCCGCATTTCTCCCTGCACCCCCCCACAAGGAGCCTCATGTGTCCTTCAACCTGAAATTTGCATCAAAGTAGGGGAGAGAAGCCAAGCCAGGAAGCCATGAGCAGAAGAAGAGAAACTGAGGACATGAATTCATGTTTAGTAAATGAACTAAGACAATCTCTGTAATGACTGTTACATTTCATTTGTGTACCCCAAGCAAAATCTGTTAAAAATAAATTATATATGTTTAAACTGGAAGTGTTCCTAGCATAATGGTATAAGGTACTCAGGGCTAAATTGAAATGATCATTCTAAAACTACAAAAATCTCAGTAACATAAATTATAATTTCACGGTATGCCTTGAAATGGTGGTTTTGCAATAAAATTAAAATATATATTCTCAGTGTTTGTCTGGCAAATGCAAATACATGAAACAAACATGGTTAGTAAATGAACCAACAATTTGCTACATTTGAAGAAATCTGTTTTTACACTGAATACTTCAATTGGCAAAAAAAATGTAGAAATTTTGTCTTTCCAAAGGAATTACCACTGGTATAATTCATATGATAGCCCCTGAATAATCAGAGATGATAATAACAAAGATTTACCGTTATTTTTTTAAAAAACTTTAAAAGGAAAAGCTTAAGCAACAGAAGAAATATTCTTGCTACATTAAATCTGTTTTTTTTTTTCTATGTACATTGACTCCAAATAAGGGCAAACACAAACCAATTCAAGTACCCTTACTAAAAATCAAGTAGTGGTAAAACTAGAAGTTAGAATTACAAAATAAACAAAAACCAACCTACAATGAAGATACATTACCCAGATGGTTTTTGCTTGCTTCTACCTACATTGCTTGCAAGTGTAAGTAGGCAGCCCAGGGCTAAGAAACCTCAAAATGGAACTGCTGGAGTTTTCACTCACTCACCCATTCAACAAACCTGCCACCAAAGAGCTTATTGAATGCTCATCAATTCTATTTTTTTAATGTAAACAAACATTCTTGATTTACTAATTTTCAGAGTAATGACACAAATTTAGCATTCTCCTTCAATGGGAAACTTGCTTAGAAGTTACTGCATTCTTTTTCTCTTTTTCAGAAGCACATCTTGTAGCACCAGCTGCTTTTCTCTGAAGGAAAGCTTATTTTTTGACCGGACATACTAGCTATACCGCACCATCATCAATTCTATTTTTTAAAAAAAGATACGAATTTATTTGAAAGATGCCAGTTTGTTGTTAGTGTTGATATTTACTGAGTTTTGCACCAAGCAAGTACAGATGCTGTAAAACAGACACTCTAGGAATCTATACTATTTGATCATGCAGCTCTGTATCTTCACAGATAAATAACAGATCTGAATTACCATACCTGTTTAATCTTTTCTGTGAAACATCTTCAGAACATTGTGTTTAAAACTCTATTTAATCCTACCAATTGAAGCCCTTTTGTCAGGGGGCAATAATGCAGAGTGTAGAGACCAGAAAGCTGCTAATTTAGAGACCAACGTTCACTCTGGTCCTAGCTCTTCACCTGACCACCAGTGGAGCTTTGGCCAATAAGCTGCTAAAGCTGCCATCCTTTTAACCTTGGGATCCTCACCTATAAATGGAAGCTTTTGAGTTCAGTATGAATTCTGAAGGCAGTATCAGAGCCTTTGATCATACAGTGGAGTCCGTCAAGTGACTAAATCAGCATTCTTTAAGAAGGTTTGTTGATTTTTTTCAGAGCTCATGAATGTTCTAGCCTATGTAGAAATGCCAGTGGGTAATATGTTAAGTGGTGCCCTAACAGTCTGGAAGATTTTATGCCATCAGATGGGGAGTGGTTTACTCCTCGGGAGAACCATATTATTCAACATACGCTACATTTGCAAACTCAAATTTTGTAGTAGTGAGAGAGAACGACTTTCTGTTTTCATTCAATAGATCTTTCCTTGGGTTTCTACTGTTTGAATTAAATTTTAGCTTATTTAATAATAACATAATTTGCATTTTGTTGTGGTTTGAAGAAGAGAGGAGAGGTGTCATCCAGGACAACGTACCAAAGCACCTACTCTCTCCTCTCCCCTTACTGTGACCTATTTTTCTGTATAGCACTTATTCCCATCTGGCATGATTTTATTTATTTATTTACAATTTGGTAATTTTCCACTTCTCCCAGTAGAATGAAAGCTCCATGAGTTGGGATTTGTGTTTGTCCTGTTTACCTTTATATGTTCGGTATGTAGAAAAATATCTAGCATATTTGTGAATGATATCATTTGATTTTAAAGAAACTGTTATATGGAATATCATCAAACTAATAAGAGTAACATTAAGTATGCCATAAGGGGTGTGTGTGTGTGTGTGTGTGTGTGTATAAATATATACATATATATACATATATATATAAGCTTCATCTCAGGAAAAAGAAAGTCAAGAAGAGTCAAGGAAGAAGAATTAGAAGAATAGAATCTTCTAGACTCTTGCTACTCAAATCTAGGAACCAACAACATTAGAGTAGCATTACATGGGCGGCTGTTAAAAATGTAGGACCTCAGGCCCTACCCCAAATCTACAAAATTGGAATAAATATTTTAACAAGATGTCATGTAATTCAAATGCATATTAAATTTGAGAAGTACTACCCTGGGGACCCATATAGGAGACCTATATTTTGTGGAAGACACCAAAACATGTCTTTCCTCTCCTGGTGCAGGCTTCCAGCATCCATATCTGAGTGGGGGATGATTCCTAATGATTCTCTTTTGGATCTTTCCAGTGTGATTAAGTCAGGTTCACCTCCAGAGACTTACAAGAAAGTCTAGAATGAGATCAGAAGACTGTCTTACCCAGTTCCAGAAAGACTCCCTTCCTGTTTAACGATGCTTGAAATTCCTTGAATAAGGGAGAAAACTCCATATCTCAGCCAGAAATAAAAAGCCTAAACTGCAAATACCCAGAAAAGGTAAAATAGAGACAGAAACTTAATCATACTAAGGTAAAATCTAACAACAGAATAAAAGACTGAGATCATATTTCTGCAAGTTTTATTAGGGAAGGAGTTGTCGAGGGAGGAGGAAGGTATTCAGTGCTTGTAGGTTATTTGCTAGGGAGATAATATATGATGGAAAGAGAATGTGAGAATCAGAAAGTAGAATTTAAAGTCATGAGAAATTTTGTGGGGCAAACTTCATCTATTTTGAATTGCAAGAAAATAACATATTCTTGTCCACATAAACTTACGAAGGTTTTTAAAATTCTAACTTCTTTATGTTTAAAGTGCTTTATTCCACAGCTTTGATAATCCAATATTATCCGATAATCCAAAATAAATTTACAGCCCAGTGAACTACAATCTTAGTATCAGCAATTCTACCTGTAGAAGCACATCCAACAAAAGGAAGAGGGGGCCCCAGGAGGCCACGTTGAAGAGGAGTACCCTACCAGGTTTGCCATTTGGAGAAACGAGGACAATGAAAGTGTACTTTTTCTGGGAACTCAACCTGCTACCAGCTGATAGTCATCTTAAGAGGCACTTTTCTATAAATCACTATAATTTAAAAACCAAATGCTTTGAAACTCCTTTTGCCAGATCAAATCAAACTGACTCTCAGTTGGTGGAAGGCTCAGATGTGAATTTCATAACACACATCAATTACTATCTAATCCATCACTTGTAATGGCTGAATGTGCTCAGCGCCATTCCCAGAACCAGTGTCATGGAAACAAATAACAGCATCTAGATAAGAGTAGAATTTTAAAATGCTCTCATCACTATCTGCAAAGCATGAGTTGAGCATGTGTAAGCACATGCTTGATTTGGCCTTTCAATCTCAAGCCATATCATCTCTTGAGCTTTCTAGAGCTCAAGCTTTTAGGGGCAAGAGATATTGCCATGTAAAGATGTCGGTTTCTCTAATGGCTCCTAGGACACTTTTTTGGTGATAGCCAAAACTTTTCAGGTAATGGTATGTCCCCTAACATGTTCATTAACCTCTGTGATAGGCACATGGGTGTCTTTCCACATAGAAAATATTGGTTAATTTTTGTCCTTTACACTGTCATAAGTTGCTTTCAACAGAAAATAACATTGCTAGTCTACACAATGTAAATAAGCTGACATAAATATGAAATAGTACACAGTCTATTTGAACAACCAAACCATCTTTACAGCTAAATTTCTAATCCATTATCTCCCTAGAGGGGTTGTGGCAGTCATAACTTTATTTTCTACTTGAACTGGCCGACTGGACCATGGTCAATTATCACAGTGAGAGATTATCATCATCATCATCATTACCACCATCATCATCAGCATCACTAAAATTTATCTAGTGCTTAGTATATGTCAGATAGTGCTCTGTACATGTTATATGTACTAATTTATTTTACCCTCTTAAAAATCATTATGTGGTAGATATTATTATTATCCACATTTTACAAATGAGGAAACTGAGGCCAGAGTGGTTAAGGAACTTGTGCAGGGTCATACAAATAACCTTGGATGTGTTGAGCGCTTGACAGAATACAAAACCTGTCCTCTGTTGCTTGTTCCATAATTCCAAATTTTTACATGCACAAACACACTGCCCCCTAGTCTTTCTGACTAGCTAGAATATTATCCAAAAGAAAGACAGATAGGTAGAGGAGATGTGAAGGTACCACTAGGGAGATTTCCTTGCACCAGTCATGTTAGCTGTTTAAAGAGAGCATCCACAGGGTTGATATTGTGGATGCCTGGTGTGTGGCTTTGGAGGTCCAATGTGTAACCTGGAACCTAGGAACTCCTTGAATATGCTGCTTGGGAGCATGGCCCAGGTGGCACAATCACATGGAAATCATCCCAATGTGAGTATTGGGATCTCAGGTGTTACTCCTTTTGTCTGCTCACTCTGGGCACCAGAACCTTAACTGTACCACCATAAGGGATCCGCCAGGTTAAAGATTTCATGGAGGCTACAGATGAGTAACTACAAAGACAGATTTTTTTTTTCCTATGGAATGAGAGCTAGAAGCAATTTTCTATGCTTTTAAGCAAAAACCATACAAAAGAAAATGTAAAATTCACTGGACCTTAGAGTACTTAACATTATATGTGGCCAATAGTACTCACTCTACAAATATTTTTCTTTCACTTCAATTCCACTCCTTAAAGAATTGGTGAAGACTCAGCCATATAGGGCTAAGGGAAATGTCCCTATTCTAAAGTTCCTTTCTAGGTCTCTCCTTACACTGTCCATCATATTCTGTGTATCCCACACTACCCTTGTCATGTCTGTGCCCTGTGCTTTGATGTGTCATTTCCTCATGCACATTTCTTCATTACTAAGTCTAGGTAAATTTTAGTCTTTGCTTTTACCCTTGCACAGGATGTGGTTTAAGTATAGCATTTATAGCAGTAGTATTTCTAAGGACATTTGCTTTCTCCAGTACATTTTGCAGTGCTTCAACCCAGGCAAGACTCCTCTTTCAATACACATGGACCCGCATGCTGCTGTCACCTGTATGGCCCTGCTTCAGGTCACTCCCAGTCTTGCCCCACATTTGGCCACTGTAAGATCATTGGAGAATTTTTTTTTTTTTTTTTGAGATAGAGTCTTGCTGTATCCCCCAGGCTGGAGTGCAATGATGCAATCTCAGCTCACTGCAACCTCTGCCTCCCGGGTTCAAGCGATTCTCCTGCCTCAGCCTCCCAAGTAACTGGGACTACAGGTGCACCACCACGCCCAGCTAATTTTTTTATTTTTAGTACAGACAGAGTTTCGCCATGTTGGCCAGGCTGGTCTCAAACTCCTGACTTCAGGTGATCTGCCCGCCTCGGCCTCCCAAAGTGTTGGGATTACTGGCGTGAGCCACCACGCCCAGCTGAAATTTTTTATTTTGTTTTGCTCCTTTTGTTGACAAAAATATTTCCTAGATTGGAGTCTCAACAAAGGATGACTGGCCTTCCCCCAACTCTTTGGGGGACAATACGCTGTGTTTCCCTACCCATCCTTATATTTTATTGCTGAAATAATTGTTCTCATTGACTTTTTTTTTTTTTTTTTTTTAGACGGAGTCTCGCTCTGTCGCCCAGGCTGGAGTGCAGTGGCGCCATCTCAGCTCACTGCAAGCTCCGCCTCCCGGGTTCACGCCATTCTCCTGCCTCAGCATCTGGAGTAGCTGGGACCACAGGCGCCTGCCACGACGCCCAGCTAATTTTTAGTATTTTTAGTAGAGAAAGGGCTTCACCGTGTTAGCTAGGATGGTCTCTATCTCCTGACCTCATGATCTGCCCGCCTCGGCTTCCCAAAGTACTGTGATTACAGGCGTGAGCCACCGCGCCTGGCCCTTATTGACTCTTCTAAGAGAGTTAGTACATGATCTAGCTTGGCTCAGAGGAAAGAAAATTAATTCCCCAAATCTGTTTTAGGTGCCTGAAACAGGACACAATAAAGGGGAAGCTGAGAAATCATTTGTGATTTGCACATGGTGCCCCAAAGAAGGATTCTGGTCTCAGTTGGTGCTGTCAGTAGCTCTTGCTGTATTCTCAGCCCCTAAAGCAATAATTAATGTACCAGGGTAATAAGTTTCCATATGCTATTATCTAAAGAACTAAAAACATTTTAAAATCCCATAAACATGTGACCTAAAAACATACTCAACAAACTCAGTCAAAAAACAAAAGACTAACTTTTTTGTTGTTGTTGTTGTTATTTTTTGAGGGAGTCTTGGTCTGTCGCCCAGGCTGGAGTGCAATGCCACGATGTCAGCCCACTGCAACCTCCACCTCCCAGGTACAAGCAATTTCTCCTGCCTCAGCCTGCTGAGTAGCTGGAACTACAGTTATGCGCCACATACCCAGCTAATTTTTGTATTTTTAGTAGAGACAGGGTTTCACCATTTTTGCCAGGCGGGTCTAGAACTCCTGACCTCAGGTGATCCACCTGCCTTGAACTCCCAAAGTGCTGGGATTACAGGCATGAGCCACCATGCCCAGCCAAGAGTAATCTTTTATATTTGTTGAACTGCCAAAGAGAAGTTCATCCTTCAGCTCCTACGTTTGTTTATTTGTTTGTTTTATATCTAATCAATACTTTGTATTAGAAATAGTCTTAAAAATAACTTTGAGTCCTTCAGTGAAACAAGCCCTTGAAAATATCATACAAATAGTAATACAATAGAAAAATCAAAGCAATTTAAAACTTAAGGTATCATCTGGATGCAAGTAAAAAATGTTCAATTCAACATGGATGGAGTTAATAATAAGGAGAGGGAGAAAAATGATTGGCTCACAGAATAAAAAGTTCAGAGAAACCTGAACCAGGGGTTCAAATGGTACCATCTGGACTCGGTTTCTCTCCACCTCTTGGCTCTGCAAATTTCTAGGTTGACTTCATTCCCAGATGTACCCCATCTTTATGGTGACCTTATAGCTCATGCTTAACTCAACCCAGAGCTAGCAATTACTGCAGAAAGGGATAGTCTCTTGCCCATAATTCTGATAAATGTGCAAGAATTGAGCACCATTGTCTTAGACTAGGTTATATGCCCATCCCTGAACCAACCATATGCCAAGGGAATATAATATAGCAGAATCAGGGTTGGAGGGAGGTGCTGCATGCAAGGCTCGTCTAAACCTCATTTACTGAGGGCCGGTTCCCAAAAGTAAAATCAAGGTGTCATTACCAGAACAAAAAGGGAAATGGATGCTACACAAGCTAAATAAATAAATAAATAAATAAAATGCACAAACCACTTCTCAAATGAATTAACTTCCCAACCTGAGCTTGTAAAATATTGATAAGAATTTTTTAAAGGAATTAAGCACAGTAATACAGTGCCACAAATCCAACTCTTGACTAATTGGCAAAGGCAAGAATACATACATAAATGTATTAGAACAGTAGCCCTTCCATTTCAACAACAAAAAAATATGTGGGTCACTCAGATGGAAATTAAAATCTGAATCTAGTCCGAAACAATTGTTAACTCGGTTCTAAAGTTATGAGCATCCAAGTACATACTAATACGCTCCCATGTCAAAGAGGTCCTATTCCTCTTCACTTCAGTTTGCATCCTATTCTGACATTATACCATGTCATGAGGGCCCACTGCTCTTGTATGCAAAGCAGGTTCAGAGTAAATGAGCTAAAAATGTCTTATATACATAATGGCTCTTGTCTCAACTTAGCTGTGAATACTAGATTGCTGCAAACACCAAAATAATAGTGCTGCTAATGAGGAGATTTGTTCATAACTTACTACACTGTCAAATTTAATGTTCAACCATAATGGTTATTATTTATTGATATGTTGTGTGTATACAAAGCAGTGGCTGAGGCCAAAAGCAGACTCTTAAGAGAGTTCAAGCCTAATAGATTATGAAAAATCTCCTAAAGAGAACTATTTTTTTAATTTGGGGGCCCAAAATGTTTGTTGTTTATCATATCTTGATTGAAAAGACAGAGGTCTAGAAATAAAGTCAGAATACTAGGGATCATTCTATAGGAGACTAGAATAAATTTACAAGTGACAACCTCCAGTGCTGGTGAGGATGCAGACAAACAAGCACTTTCATACCTCATCAGCGGAAATGCCTTTGATCCAGCCTTTTAGAAAGGAAGCTCACATATATATTAAAATTTTAAAAGCATTTTAAAGTTTTATAAAATTTTAAAAGTCATATTAAAATTTGACTCAGCAATTTTACTTCTGGGAATCAATCCTGTAAAAATTGAAGTATCAGTACATAAATACATATATAATAAGGAAGTTTATTGCAGTTGTGTTTGTAATGGCAAAAACTTGAAACAACCTACCTGTCTACAAAGGGTGGAAAGTTTGAATAGATAGCAATGGATCCATATGGTGCAGCTTATCATGCAACTATCAAAAGAAAGAGTCTGGCCAGGCTCAGTGGCTCACACCTGTAATCCCAGCACTTTGGGAGGCTGAGACAGGCAGATCACCTGAAGTCAGGAATTTGAGACCAGCCTGGCCAACATGGCAAAACCCCATCTCTACTAAAAATACAAAAATTAGCCAGGCATGGTGGCGTGCCTGTAATCCCAGCTACTTGGGAGGCTGAGGCAAAAGAATCACTTGAACCAGGGAAGTGAAGGTTGCAGTGAGCCAAGATCACACCACGGCACTCCAACCTGGGCAATAGAGTGAGACTCTATCTCAAAAAAAAAAAAAAAAAAAAGAAGTCAGATTTACATATTAACTTCAAGAGATGTCCATGATATAGTATTGAGAAAAGCAAACTGCAGGGAAGAAGAGAGAGAGATATATAAATAGTATGATCACATCTTTGTTTAAAAGAACAGAATAGTAGAGTTTGAATTTGAGCTTTGCAATTTAAGTGATCTTTGAACCTTAATTCTTTTTTTCTTCTTGCTTTTTTTCATTGTTTTGCTGCGTTCAAGGTTTGCCTAGAAGAACCTTAATTCTTCATCTGCAAAATAAAGGCAATCTTTTTGTAAGATGATGATGAAAATGACTTCTGAACTGTAAATAACAACTAAATGTCATATAATATTCTTATAAAATGGTCTTGTGTGAGTCTGAAGTGTAGGCTCCACAATGTCCTCAAAGGGTAGTATCAACTTGCAAAGTTTTATTTGGGTGTATCCATGCCAATATCAGGCACCTCCTCTGGTTTCCAATTGTGTGCAACCAGATTCACAAGGGAGAAGACAAATGGTAAATTATACTTAAGACCACTGCAGATCACTCTTAAAATGCCAAGAAAACAACTGCCCATGTTCCTCCAAGGAGTCACACAATCCATTCAGTACTTTCAGGACTGACAAGATCATGTTTATTTCAGTGGCTGGGTAAGTAGAGCATCATAGAAGATAACAGCTTTGTAGAAATATGGTTGTATATAAAAAGTGTTTTCACCTTTTAAAGTCAATACATTCTCTCTCCACCTTATCCTAATAGATAGTTTTAATCATACAATAAACATAATTTTATATCCCATCTCTGGGCCAGATGGCCTGCATTCCAATCCTGGGCTCTACTTCCAGCTGTGTAACCTTGGAAAATTACTTAACCTCTGTCTCAGTTCCTTCATTTGCAAAATGGGAGTAATAATAATACGTACCATGTACGATTGTGATAATTAAATGAGTTAAAACATGTAAAGAATGTAAAATTGAGATATTAGCTAATAGGTACTAAATAAATGTTAGTTTATTATTAAATGCTATTATCTTAATCTTTCCATTTAACACAAATATATACACTTTTCCCATATTTATTATATAGTCTTCATAGCCAACATTTTATTGGTGCATAATAGTATATAAATAGCATACTCTGTTAAGTGGGTGTGCTATAATTTATTTCAACATTATTCAAGACATGGGAATAATGCTTGCTTCTTATTTTTCAAAATTTTTTATATTTTACATTTATTAATAATATCTTAATGTCTTTGTACAGTGACTTTTTCCATATTCTGGATTATTACTGTAAGCTCGATCCCTAGAAAGAGTTTAGAGGAATAATTGGTATAGAAATCTTTAGGTATTTTGATACATCTTGAAAGTTGGACTTTTGATTATAAAGATTCTATCTTTGCTTATTCC
Organism: Homo sapiens; assembly: GCF_000001405.40. NCBI lineage: Eukaryota > Metazoa > Chordata > Mammalia > Primates > Hominidae > Homo > Homo sapiens. Next base: position 147,628,786 of record NC_000002.12, read on the forward strand.
TTTCTGAACCTCTACTCAGAACTTGACACAAGGCTCTTCATCCAGCCATTCAACACCTGCTGATATTTGTTCTCAAGGTACATTTAAGAAAGGTCATTATAAGAAATTACCATATTAAAATTCATCTACAAAATTATTTGAGTTTCATCTTTAAAAGATAGTTTTCTAAGTATATAATCACTTCATATTAGAGCTTTGTTGCTAATAAGGGAAATTTGAACTCCAAAAAAAACCACCAGAAAAACCCACTTACTCAATGATATTTTTAGCACGTAAAATTCCCCCTATGAATCATATGCTCACAAACCATGCACCCCTAAATATTTAGCTCCTTCTGACTCATTCTGAAACATTCTGACAACTTCTCCATTGAAATTTAAAATTTCCCAATACTGTAAGATCCTCCTTTCCTCTAATTAATTAGTTCCCTTTCCCATTGGCAAAATGCAGTAGTGATAATCTCTACACTTACAGACTGTGGAATGGAGCACACAGCTGGAATCTTTCACTGCCCACAAGTCTACATTTTCCCATCTTCCTGGTATGTCTCTCTCACCTAATACTGGATTTTCATTGCCCTCTTTTCCTGCCACTGACAACCACCACCCACAGGTAAAATCTTATCCTTCAAAATCTTGGATGTGTCCTAAAACCCCATTTTCAACTGTATTAATGAGAGTTCTCCAGAGAAACAGAACCAATAGACTATATATATGCATATGTATGTGTGTATAAAATAGAATATATATGTGTATACATATAGAAAAAGAGAGAGAGAGATTTAAAACGAATTGACTTATATGATTATAGAGGCTAAAATGCCCCAAGATTTGCAGTTGGCAATCAGCAAACTAGAGAACCAGGGTAGCCAATGGCATAAGTTCCAGTCAGAAAGCTTGCAAGCTGAAGAACCAAGAAGAACCAATGTTTGAGTCTGAAGGCGGGAAAAGACCAATGTTCCAGCTCAGGCAGTGAGGTGGGAGGCATCCCCCCTTACTCAAGGGAGGTTTAGCCTTTTTGTTCTATTCGGGCCTTCATGTGATTGGATGAGGCCCACCCATATAAGGGAGGAAAATCTGCTTTGCTCAATCTATGGATTCAAATGTGGATCTCATCCAAAGCACCCCAACAGATACACCCAGAAATAATGTTTGACCAAATATCAGGGCACCCCATGGTCCAGTAAAGTTGACCCATAAAATTAACTATCACACCATCTGCAGACTCTGGTTTCTGCGCTCTCTCTGCACCGTTTGCTTAAGAAATCACACCCTCTTCACTAATATCTGCGGATTGATGCAGTCTTTCTCTCCCATAACACTCTGCTTACTTCCTACTCTACTAGCAACACACTTCCGAGTGCTCTGTCTTATGCGGGGGTCACTCCACACAGAAAGCTCCCACCACACATGAGAAAAATTGAATTCATAATGTTTGTTCTCAATGGCCCCTTCTCTTATTGTCAATGATTATAGTACCCAAAAAATAAACATGGAACTCATTCCTCAGGTATTTTTCTATTCTGTTGCTACAAATCACACCAGGTTGCTGGTCTGGCCAGCTTTCAAGTTTCTTTGCCACCAATTATTGAATTAATTAGTTTTCCAGCAAGCTTGCTCTTTGTTCTGTGTAGTACATAAATGGCACTCGGGGTGGAAAGTTTACAGTAAGAAAGCAAGACAAGTGCTCATTTAAGTCACCATGAAAAGCACTTAAAACCCCCACACCTTCCAAGTAGACCCTCACTGACCATTATCTACCTCTCAGGCAGGACCAAGTGAGTGGCTTTAGAGACCTGAAAATTTCACCTCAGCGGCCTTGCATGAACCCAAACTAAATTTGAAATATAAAGTCATTCTTTGAAACCTCACTGGAAATGCTAGCAATATGTCTGGGTGATGCTTCTGGCTGGCAAAATGGCAAGTCATTTATCCTTTCTGCCCTTGTTTCCTCATATGTGAAATGAGGAACACTGACTCACTTCACAGGAAGGCTGCATGCGTTTAATTAGTTAACAACACACATCAAAAATACAAACTGCAGAATACCTTTGCTCAGCCGGAAGCTCAGTAAACCTGCCAGGAGCATTCATTGCTTAGTTGATCTAACCTAGATCTTTCCTTACGTCGTGGCTCTGGTTCTGCTCTGACCCATAAACACGTTTTTGTCTACATGTACAGATTCTTACAGACACATGGATTTTAGATTTCTATTTTAATGTTTTCTTTTTATGACTGCAATTGTTGAGGTTTTATGTTTTCTTTATCAAATGTTCACTAAGATCCCTATTTACTACAGAAAACTTTAGACACCCATGCCAAAAAATTGCATGTCCGACTAGCATATCCTAGCCAAATGAGCCCACATCAAACTCAGCTTTACTTTCCTTACTCCAAAGTACCTTCTGTGACTAGACAAAAGATGATGGAAACTTCATCCTAGAACATCAGACCCTGCCAGGCACATTTCCATCTGTCCTATTGAAGATTGCCAAAAGCATTTTCTGAAGATTTTTTTCTCATAAAATTCATCAATCAAAAATTCTTTCAGGCAGAAGTTATTTAAGGACTAGGAAATGTAGTGATTCCTTCCCTGACTGACCTCTTGGACTGCAGGAGACACACCTAACCACAATGGAAGGAGGAAAACAACTGATGCACCGTCAGGATCTGTTTACTTCCTTTCAGCCACACACTCCCCACTGCCACCAGCACACATACAGACATTCAGCCTAAGTGATCAACAATCATAGCCTTACAAAAAAAGAGGAAATCAGGTGTCTTGAACTCTAAAGGAAGTGGGAAACTTCACAGCTAGAGCCTGGAACCCAGAAGTTAGGAGATAAATCAAATTGATGCCAAGGAGGAAAGGTTGAGGCCAACAGCTTGGGTTTGAATGGATCAATGGCTGGCCAACCAAGTCAAAAAGTAGCCTGACTATGTTGACATTGGAGCAAGGGAAAGTCTTGCTGATAAGCAGTGGCAGGGATAGAAAACATTCATATTAAATGTGTTTGTTCTCTTCTGCAGTGAAGACTAAATAGTTGAAGGGGAAAGCCTTCTTAGATTCCTCTCCTTGAACTAGCACTGTTAATTTGCTAACCTGTGCCAAATTACCAGTCACCTCTCATCAGTCCTCTCTTGTCAGTCCTACTTCTCAACTTTTCCCAAAGATTCTTAGGACCACTAAATCTTCCCACATCCAGTTCTCTTCCTTTTAGGCCCTTATTGCTTCAGGCTCTTCTTTTTTCATTTTTCTCCTAAATAGCCATGGCAGAATTATGCTGGGACATTGTAGTTTCTAGGTGCATTAGTATGTGAATTAGTCTTTATTTAAAGAAACTATGGCATGCCGATCACCATGTTGGGTATATAAGAATGCTTTTAAAAAATGAAGTCATTTCTTCTACCAATAAAATTTTCTTTCTAATTAAAGAGTTCATACCACCACAAATACAATAGCACTGAAAAAATGCATTAACAAAATGAGGTATAGGCAAACAGAAGTCAAGATACTACCAAATAAGCAGAATCCAGAGGTCCTAAAGGAGCACTCTCCAACCACAACCCCAGGAAATGAGGTCAGAGCTAACTGGGGAAAGTGATCACTCCAGCTGCCTTCACTTCTTACTTCCTATTCACTCCTTCACCCTCTGGCATCTGGCTTCCTTTCGCCATATGTTTGCTATCTAGCAGCTGATGGTTCTCAAATTTAGCATGCATGAGAATCACCTAGAGGGCTTGTTCAAACAGATTTCTGAGGCCCACTCCTAGTGCATCCAATTCAGGAGGTCTGAGATGTGGCCCCAAAATTTGCATTTCTGAAAAGTTCCCAGGTGATGATGATGATGTTGCTCTCGTCCTAAATCTTTCCTCCTTGTGAAGCTGCTTAAAATATTGCTTTGGTCAAATCCCTTCAAACTCTAAAATCCACCCTGATTTTTGTGGCCTAAATAATGAATTCCCAAAGCTGACTCAGGTATTAGGGTCTCTGCAATCTGCCCTGACCTTCAGACAGAGGCCAGATGGACACCTGTTGAGTCAGTGGTAGAATAGACTCCCGCACTGAGCAAACTTCCCTTCCAACTCTCCAATTGTATCAGGTATATCCAAGTTTTAGTTTTATGATTTCTCTGATAAAATCATGGCTTCAACCAATCCATCCTACTAATTTTTTGCGCCAAGATTCCATCTTAACTATCACATACGCACCTTTGTTAATGAGATTCACATTGATTTCTGTCTTCACAAATCCTAATCACCCATCGAAGTCAAACCCAGTGCCTTCTTTTCTACTGGTGTTCATAATTCCATGGCTCTCGGGTACTTTGTATTTAGTCTTCCCCTTCTTCTTCTTCCTCTTCTTCTTTTACTCCTCCTCCTTCTTCCTCCCTCCCTCTCTTCCTCTCTCCCTTGAATTATTCCTATCACTATAAAACATGATTTAGAACCTCTTACCCTATAAAAAATGGTTAACAATCACAACTTAAACATATGAATCACATGCCTACCATCTACCAATCGGTCCATTCCTTTGTTTGCTTTTACAATTTCTCTACACATAGCTTCTTTACTTTTTCACTCGGCATTCATTCCTTCTTCAATCCTCTGCAATTTAGCATCTAGCTCCACTAATTTGCTCATTTTAACTCACCAACAATCTTCTCTGTGCCAAAGTCAACAAAAATCTTCTCACCTCATTCACCTCTCAATAGTAGTCAACATATTTACCAATTTCTCTCTTCTTAACTCTCTTCCTTCTCTTGGCTTCCAGCACTCCACACTCTTTTGCTTTTGTTCTTACCTCATTGGTCACTCATTCTCAGTCCTCTTCCATAACCTCTCTTTTACTCAGCCTCCAAATTATGGAGTGCCCAGGAGCTCAGTGCTGGACTCTCCTCTTACTATCTACACCCATTCCCTACATGATCTCATCTATTCTCATTGCTTTAAATATTGTCTGTCCACCAATGACTCCTTGTTTTACCTCCAGGCTTAACATCTACTTGGGGCCCAAGACTCTGTCTTGATATCTTAATTTTGAAATATAATATGAACACTAAACTTACATATACTGAACTACTAGTTGTCCTCCAATTCCCTCTCTTCATTCTACTCCAATCCTCCCTCTCTCAGTGAATGGCACTATCCATTAAACTTAGGCCAAAAATGTAGACATCATTTTAATATCCACCCACATTCAATCTGTCAGTAAATTCTCTACATTATATGAGCAAAACATATCTCAAATACATCCAATTCTCTCCACCACCATTGCTGCCACCCTAAACCAAGCCACCGAAATCTCTTTCCTAGAATATTGCACTAGCTCCTAAGTGGCCTTCCTGCATCCAAGCTTGGCCTTCTTTCATAGCAAACAGTTATCTTTTAAAAACATAAATAACATCACATCACTCTCCTCCTTAAAATATTGCAATGACCTCCTATTTTACCTAATATAAAAATCAAGCTTCTTACTATAGCTATAACATCAGGCTGTTGCCTCTCTCATCTCAGTCAGTACCACAGCTGACTCCCTGCAAGCACCTTCCTCAGGCCACTTTGGTTTCATTTTGTTCCTCACACAAGCCAAGCTCCTTGATCTTAGGGCTTTTACTATTCCCTCTTTCAGGATCACTGTCTCCTAGATTTTAATCTGGTTGACTCTTCCTCATGCTTCAGCTTTTTAACTACAAATGTTATCTTCTCAGAGATGTCTTTTTTGACCACCCTGTCTAAAACACCCTGAATAAAAAGGCACTCTCTATCTTACCACTTTGGTAAGAATTATCATAATCTAAAATCTTCCTAATTTTGTTTTCATTTGTTTACTTGTTTGTTATCTGTCTCCAGCTTCACCTCCTAATGTTCCCTCAACTAGAACAGAAACTTTAAAAGAATAAGAAACGTATCTGTATTTTTCTGTGATTTATTCCTAGCATCTAAGACTAATGCTTAGCATTCTGCAAAAAACATTTGTCAAAAAAATTAAATGAATGGGAAACCCATCTATGAGACTGCATGGGTTACAGAAACATACAACTCCAAAATCTCAGTGGGATAAAGCCACATTGATGTGCATCTTATAAATGCTATAGGGCTCAGTTCATCGTGATTCTTCAGGGAAAGTGACTGACAGAAGCTTTCTCACAACATTTGTGTCCATGAAGATCACCACACCAGTCAGAAGACAAGATGTGGCTAAGTGGATGCAGCTGTTATGGTTCCCAGCAAGAAGTGATGCATATCAAGTTTGCTTGCTTCAACCAAAACAAATTATTTGGCCAGGCCTAACTTGAAAGAGGGTTGGAAAGTATTATCCTACATGAACCCAGAAGAAGGAAGAATGGAAGTACTTGGTTAGCAGCATTTAGGACTTTCACATTTACTTTCAACTGGAAGATTTCTTCCATTAGCGGAAAAAAAAAAACAATGGAAATATTTGGTCATATGCACTTTTGGCTTCTACATGCTGTATAGTAGATGCACCTGACAGCAATAACTTAACTTAAGCACACCCTGAGAATGACCCTGTATGGCAGAAACACCTGACAGCTATAACTTAAGCATACCCTGAGAATGACCCTATGGTCTAAGAAGAACATGTGTTTGGAGTTCCAAGCTAAGGAATCTGAGAGTGGCCAACCCAGAGACTCGCTTCTTATCCATGAGGAACATCAGAACTCCCAGGCCATCCCATGGAATGCAGGCCATACAGGGGATGAAGGCCCTTTGTTTTTGGTTAAATGAAGGTTGCCAGGTGGAGGTTGCTAGGGGGAGGGTGCTAAGTAAATATTCTATATAAATTGCATGCTTTTTACAAGTGATTGCAGTTCTTCTCTCCAGCCTGCTGCCACTACACCGCCCTGTATGTAAATTCCCTCAATTAACCCCATGTCTTGTTCGCTGACTCCAGGTTTCTTCTTCAGCCTCTTGAACATGGTGCCATCCCTATTGAAGTAAATAGGGATTCAGCCTGACACATTCACCTTGTACTTCACATTTTCTTCTACTGAGTCAGTCTAATGTAACCTCTCTGAATACCTCTAGCACTTGTTTCTATAATCCTCACTTCATGTAATTGTTCAGTCATCTGTCTCCCTGTCTACATTCAAATAAGGAAGGCAGAGACCAGATCTATTTTTTCCATTGTATTCTGAAAACCTAGCACAGTACCTTTCAGTTTTATTTTTATTTTGAGACAGAGTCTCGCTCTGTTGCCCAGGCTGGAGTGCAGTGGTACAATCTCGGCTCACTGCAACCTCACCTCCCAGGCTCAGCTATTCTTTTGCCTCAGCCTCCTGAGTAGCTGGGACTACAGGCATGTGCCACCACACCCAGCTAATTTTTTTGTGTGTGTTTTTAGTAGAGATGGGGTTTCATAATTTTGACCAGGCTGATCTTCAACTCCTGACCTCAGGTGATCCACCTGCCTCTGACTCCCAAAGTGCTGGGATTATAGGTGTGAGCCACCGCACCCAGCCTCAGTACCTTTCACATAGCAGATTCTGAACAAACATTTGTGGTAGGAATGTCTTGTAGCTTTTCGTGTGTGTGTGTGTGTGTGTTTATCTGCACAATTAGACTGGATATTCCTCTAACACAGTACATAAAGACAAGAATTTATATTCCACATATCTTCCAGCTGACTCATCCGGGAGATATTCACATATTGGCAGGAATATGGGAAGGAATTGTTGAACTAAACCGATTAGTTGTATTGGGGCTACTCGTCTAGGTGTGAAATGCAAAACACCCCTATTAAAAAGGTGCTCTCAAAGCCCCCAGCACCAACATCTTATGAACACAAACAGAAGACGCACATTGCCGTCCCTGGCCTCCTGCAATAGATCACTGTCAGTTTTCTTTAGTAGGGAAAAACCAACAGATGATTGTGTGGATTTTCTTGGTTCTTTTGCTGGTCAGTCTGTGTCTGGAAGTGAAACTCCCCTTTCCACAGGATTTCATCATAGCAGTAACCACAAGGCTCGAATTTTGGTCATTGACAGTGCTGCAGCTCAGCTGTGTATCCTAATGTGGAAAAAAAAAAAAAAAACAAACCTGTGTTCCACTCCCTTATGCTCCCTTTTCTTATAGCGCCAAATCCTAAAATGATGTTAAGATTAAAATTGGTTCCTTCTTGAGCAGAGTCATCCTGTGTGATGACAGATCTTTCTCTAAGACCTTTACTGCATGAGAGAATACTACAATGTCATTGAGATTTTTACATTCAGGAAATATCCTTTGGCTACCAGGTGGTTTCTTTTTCTACTGACAAGTTCAAAGTACAGATATTCGGACATCTTCCCTGCTGCAATGCTGTCGAGCTCACTTTAGACAAAATGCAGTTTCAGTTGACTGAGTACTTCCTTAATCTTCCAAATCACACAAGTAATATAAGAAATCAGTGTGGCATACTAGAAAGAGAGAGGCCTTCTTGAATTCCACAGCCTATTATGGGCAAGTTACTTAACCTGAATTTCAGCTTCCTCGTCAAAAAAATGAGGATAATAATACCTGCCTCACAGCATAGGAAGTGTTCATCTGTGTTCCTGGCACACAAGGGATATTCAATAAATGTTTGTTGTTTTCTAACAGCTGCTTTAACTGTTAAACAAGGTACCAATTTAAAGTCCCTTCAAATAAAATCACCTCACAATCACAGAGTTGTTTGAGCTAATGAACACAAGCTCCCACAGCAGGGATGGGCAACATTCATTCTGTGCATGAATGTTGGCCAACAGCATCTATGCTGGGACGTGCAACTGTGCTATACTCTGATTTTTTCAACTTCCCCATGTTTTCATCTCAGATATATAGCTTTTCTAAAATGTATCATGGTTTTACATTGTGATTGGGAGTGTATATAGGTATAACTTGTTTCTATAAAGAACAATTTAGCAATATCTATCAAAATATTTAATGCACAATTCTTTGAACCAGCAATTCTACTTCTAGGAATTTAGTCTATAGATATGCTACCACATACACAATATGAAATATGTAGGAAAACACACATTCTATTATTGTTCATAAATAGCAAAAGATGGAGAACAATCTAATTAATGCCCATTAATAGAGGAGTAGTCAAACAAATGATGGTATGCACATATAGAGGAATACTGTGAATGAAGCAACTATAAATACTGCCAGAAAACAGTCTCCAAGGTGTCATTCAGCAAAAAGAACAAGATGCAGAGCAAAGTCTATGATATGCTGTCATTTGAAGTAAAAAATGATGTGCACATATATGGTGTAAACATACAACATCCCTAGAAGGACACAGAGGAGACTGATAATGTTGGTTGTGTCTGGGATGGAGAAACAGGTAGCTTTGGCAAAGGGTATAAGAATAGTTATTTTTCACAGAATAACACCTTATAACACTTTGAATTTTGTACTACGCACATGTTGTTTATTTTCAAAAATTATGTTACCTAAAGTTCTCTTTAATCCTATGATAAAGCAATGATTAATCCGGAAAGCGGAAGATAGAGAAAACTCTATAATGCTTTATTTTTTAAAGCAAGATATTCATGATACTTGCAATTATTTTAAAATAACAGAAAAAAAGAAAAATGATGGGAGGAGTAAAAAGAAAGCAACTACAAAGGAAAAGATAGTTGGTTAAATCATTGTCACTTCCACACCACACTGACTGTCCATCAATCAACAAACATTTATTGAGTAGTATTGAGTCCTTGATGTTCTGTTGGACACAGTGAGAGGGAAAAATGCAGAATAGATAGAGGGTCCCTGGGTCTCCCCTCAAGGGGTTCGTAGTCTGATTGGATGAATGAGACTGACAGGTGAAATAGTGAACAGTGTCCAACAGCAAAGAAGTATCATGAAACAGGAAGGCTGATCTGCTGGAAGAGGCTTGATAAGGAGAAATTTGCTGAGTCTCTGCAACTGAGATAATGATGACTGTGGGGACAAGTTATGGCTCCTCTTCTCTCCATTTCCTTGTCTCTAAAATGGAATCTCCTCTCACAGGGATGCTGTCAGGATGAATGAGGCAAAGTTTGTGCTTATGTAACGTCTTTCTTCTGGGAACTCAGAGTGCTTTGTAAAGTATTCTTATTAATATTCATAGGATGGTTTATATATTTTCCTACCTTCACTTTGGAAGTGGCACATCTATACCTAAACACTCCAGTTCTTCTCTCACTCTTTCTCAACATCACTCTCTTTTTTTGCACCAAAATAGTGCAGGTTCAAGCTTTAAAGTCTTGATGGTTTTATATATAGCTCAGGGCTAATGACATCACACAGCTTGCCTGCCAGAGAACCCACCTGTACATTCTAAAATTTCTACAGTATCCATTGTATCCATATGCATGATAAACCTGAGCACATGGTAAGAGATCAAACAAATATGTAACCAGGGGAAAAACCGTAACCGAGACTGTTCTCCAAGAAGGGTGACTCCCAATATTACTAAGGGGCTTGCAAGTCTAGAACAGAGGCTGAGCCCCATCTCCCTCTGCTGCCCTATTCTGCATAACAGGGATAATTTGGGGTTGGGGTGGAAGACAGGGAATATGGGAAGAGAGAGGAGGTGCTAGCAGAGAAAATGGGAAGGAGAATGGAGCCAGGAGAGAGCAGGAGGTCATGCAGAGTAGGAGAAAACTCTTTCCCAGATTCCTCCTCCCCAGGTACGGCAAAGTCCTGCTACAGCTTACAAAACACCAGGAGTGCATGGATTTCATAGGAAACTGGGCTGAGTTTGCACCCAGAGAGATGGGAGTGGTAAAGCAGACAAGCTGTGTAGTCTGGGAAATTACAGAAATCATGGGAGGTTTCTGGACTTTCCATGTCTTGGGACTGACTAGGATCCAAGTTAATCAGACCAAATCTCTGACAGAGAAAGGGATTTGGCTGACAAGTGGATATACAGTAGATATAGGATGTCTATTTATGCCTGTTATTTAAGCATGTATGCAAAAATTAAAGTTTTTAAAAAGTAAACTTTTTGCTTTGGAAAAATGGCCCCGTTCAGCTCTTTTCTTGGACCAAGTGGAGAATGTGAGGCAGAGAAGTGAACAGACATCCTCCCAATACCACAACCAAGGTTGGAACCCAGTCTCCTACCTTCCAGGCAGGTGCTGGCTCTGTGTAACTAACTCAAGCAGCCTCACAATGCAACTTTCTTATGTCTGCTCTGTTTGGATGTGGAGAACAGTGCTGGCTGAAGCCTTCCACTGGAGAGGTAGTAGGAGGGCTGCCTACTCATATCACACTACCTGTTTGGCCCTAGGCCAGTATCACAAAACAAAACTTCTTGCAGCAACTGAGAAGAAACAATTTGCATAACTTAAAACTATGTTGGAGTGTTGTGCTTCACGTCTGAGCAGCATAAGTCTTGAGCTTTAAATAGCCCGACCCTAACATATATTTAAGAGAAATGTTCTAAAGGCTGTGTTACATAAAGTAGAGCACTTAGTGACACCAAAGCAAAGTGCAAGGTCCCCTTTCTTGCAAATTGACAGAAGGCAGTATCAGTGAGGCAGCTGGGAGGAAAACCTTCCTGTGATATGAAATGCAATAGAGGTCAACCCTCCTTATAATTTGAAGAGTCCTACAGTATTCTATCAGCTCCAAATATCTCCTACCCTGGTCTGTGCTGGTCTTACCAGCCCTCTGACAGAGCCACCATAAGGTCACTCCTTTGGATTAGACAACAAAAGAAGAGTCATAATTCCTGGAAGGACACTTAGGAATGCCTAAATGTGCCACAGGTACAAAGGAAGAGCCTTAGTTGGTGGAGGGAAGTGGTAGACAACACTTTTCTCCTTTCAACCTTCTCCCCCTTAACATACAGGCCCAGCTGAGTTTCCATTACTCTCTTTGATTTCCTATTAGTTGCTTCACAGTTTAGAAAGCATGGAAGACCAAGTTGTGCACCAGAATTATCTATGGAACTTTTATAAAATATGCATTCCTAAAGTCCACTCCAAACTTATCCAGTCAGAATTTAGAAAGGGGTGGAGGTTTGAACAGGTATTTTTGAAAATGCTCCCAAAGGCATCCTGATACAAACCCCTGTCTACCAACTACTGGAGGAAGGGTGGGATGTAGGTCAAGGTCAGGGTTGGGAACGCGGTATCCTGAAGACCTGGTGACTGGAGAAATAAGGCAGCTGGGAAGAATAGGGCCCAACCACTGCTCCCCAGGGCAAGTCCCTGATATGAATGAGCACAGTGCTGAAAGACAACCCCTGTAAAAAGAGGCTGAGAATTCCAGACCATGCTAAGAATCAGTGCCCCAGCGTGGACTGCCTGAAACAAATAAGAAATTTAATCAGTGCATACTGCCTTATGTGTCTGCATTTGTTTCTGTATTCAATTTAATATTTATTAGATACTGAATACTAGGCACAAAGTCAGCTGCTGGGGATAGAATATTGAGCAAAACCAGACACAATTCCTGCCCTCATGGAGCTTCCATTCTAATAGGGAAGGCAAAGGATTAAATAACTAATTACAACTAAATGCAATGAGTAGTTTGTTAGGGGAAGTAGAGCATGTATAGGAACACGTAATGAGCAAACTAAACTTGTCTAAGGGTAATCAAGGAGGGCTTCTGGAGCAAGTCTTCCTTAAGTGGAGACCAGAGGGATAATTGAATATTGACCCCATCTACAGAATAGAGGATGAATCCAGAAGCCTCAGTGGTTCTCAGCCTACTCTGGACATTAGAATCACCTGGGAAAATTTCTAAACTCCCAGCTGCATCCCACACAAGTTAAATAATAATCTCTAGGGTGGGACCCAAACATCAATAATTTTTAAAGTTCTCCAGGTGACTCTAATGTGCAGCCAAGGAAGAGAACTACTGGTTTAGAAAGAGGAATTTCCATAAAAGGGACTAAGAGAAATTCAGAGCACTGAATGCAGGTGAGAGAATGACAAGGGATGAAGTGGAGAGACCAGATCATGTAAGCCATACTAAAGCATTCATATTTTATCTTAAAGTTGTCAGACTCTTTTCAGCAGGGGAATATGAAGTGACTCATACTTAGTATGGTCACTCTGGCTATGGTCATGAGAAAGGAATAAAGGAGGAGAGATGAAGGTAGTGACGTCATTAGGAGGCTGTTGCAAGAATCTAGGCAAGAGATGGTGGCAGCTTGGACTAGGGTGCTGACGGAGAGTTGGAAAGATGTGGAGAAATGTGCATCCACCTGCAAAAGGAAGAATCAATAGGATATGGTGATTGGTTGGATATGAGGGGTGAGGGAGAATGAAGAGTCAAGAGTGACGTCCAGGTTTTCACTTGAACAGCTGGGTGAACTTGGAACTCTACCAAGATAGGGATTCATAGTCCTGCAAAGACCACTCTCCTGCAAAGAGACCACCTGTGCTCTTCCAAGCACATGGGTATTCCAACTGGATTTCACCAGGCCCTAAGGAAGTCTCACCTACTTCCAAGGTAACCCCAAATTGAAAAGATCTGAGGGTGAAGAAATTATGAAAAAGGGCTGGAAAGTCAAATAAACGGAGAATAAATGTGTTTGCACTGAAGGGAAACTGATCCTAAAACTTTGTCTTTAGAAACACAAAATGTGCTCTTTTGTTTCTGATCATAAAGCTGTGGTTCTATTTAGTAGCAAGCTGAAGGACTTTTGGACCACACCCAGGCATTAGTGGCAATAGGATGCTTTTGCCTAGAAATGCCACTCTGGGAGACGCAGCCAGCTTGGTTACCCACAAATCATGTCTTCTAACGCAGAGGCCTCCGTCAGTTAGCCAGCAAGCCCTCTCATCTCCAGAATAACCTTCTATTTAGATGCTCTACAGCCCCTCCCCTGCCTCCAACAAGGAGCATGGTCTTTCCAAGTGTAGAGAGCAAGACCACACCCATCAGCTCCATCATTCTTCCACATGAGGGGTAGCGTAGGGTTAGTTACTGACACGGGTGCAGGGGCACTGTACAATTGGGAAACACTGTGGGCCCTGGGCCATATTTTAGCCACAGAAAACCTAGAAGTACCAGGCCCTCCTTTGCAAAACTCTTTTTGTAGGAGGTTCCCCTATATTCAAGTTCAACAGCGGCTTGAATGATTAACCTCAGTAAACAGCTGTGTTTGGTATCATAAAGCACCTAAAGCTACAGTTATTAACTACTAGAATGAAATTGTTAAGCAATTGTGTTCATTTCCTAGGGTTGCCATAATAAATTACCACAAACTTGGAAGCTAAAAATAACAAATGTATTTCCTCACAGAAATACATTCTGTGAGGCCAAAAGTCCGAAATCAAGGTGCCAGCAGGGTTAGTTCCTTCTGGAGACTCTAAGAGAGAATCTGACCATGACGCTCCCAGAGTCTGATGGTTGCAGGCAATCCTTGGGCTTCCTTGGTTTGAAGATGGATTATTCCAATCTCTGACTCTGTCTTCACATGGCATACTTCTCTGTGTATCTGTGTCCCCTCCTCTTCTAGAAGGATATCAATTATTGGACTTGGGGCCAACTCTAATCCAGTAAGATCTTAGCTCAATTCTTAACTAATTACATCAGAAAAGACTCAATTTCCAAATAAATGCTCAGTTTGAGGTTCCAGATGCACATAAATTTTGAGGGGACACTATTCAACCTGCTAGGGCAATATATCAAATTTTGATGTTACTGAATGGACAGTAACCAACTACAATGTAGTTTAACTAATGGCTAAACCCAACTACATATGCAAGGTCTAAACTTTTTTCTAAATATATGTCATTCCTTCTCATGCCAGGAATCAAACATGGAATTTCAAATGTTCCTGTAGTGTTTACTTCTGGGGCTGGGGCAACCCCCACCCCTCCCCTGGCCTCCTGTCCTTTTCCCAGTTAGTCCTTTTTAATGAATTACCCCAGCCATCATCACTTTTCTTTCCTTGCCCTAAATCCCAACCTCAAATAAACAAAACACAGCTAAGCTTAGGGCCTAAACATTTCTGAACTAATCAAATGAAATAGATTGCCTTGGTCTTCCACTTCTCATATTATTTAAAGAATATTAACATCTTTTTTTTTTTTTTTTTTTTTTAGTAAAGGGATTTGAAGACTTGTAGGGGTCATGGGACCTCTTGGGTAAGAAGAGTATTCAGGGTTAAAAAGTTTGGGAATCTGCTTTAGAAATTGTGACCCCACTGTGGTAAGATCTTTGGATACAGGTAACAATATTATCTGAAGCTATTCTGGTTTAAGATGTTTAAGTAGCCTAATATATCACAGTCTGTATTAAATGTAATACATTAAAACACACCTCAACACAAGACTATAAATGAAACAAAGATGTCTTAGAGGAATCGTTTAGCTGTGCTTCTTACAGCCTAAATGTAAACTCCGCTTTAGTCTAAAAGCATTAAAATCATAATAATGAAATTTTGCCATTAAGAGCCAGAAAGCACTTTTCTTTTTAAAAAGACAGATGCATTAAAATTTAATTATTGTCTCCCTACCTGATTATCAGACAAGAATAAAGCACATTTGAGGGGAAAATATATATATGTTCACCCAGCACAGGAATATTTTTAAAGACTCTTCAAAGAGATGTTCCCCAATACCCACCCCAAGTGGAAAAAAAACGTAAATGACTAGATATAGATGGGCAGAAACAGGAGAGCCAGTGTACCAAGTGCATAAGCAAACAGATGCAAATCAGGTGCTTAGGAAAGGATTGTGGGTTTTTAATCCTGTGTCTGTGCCCACTGTCTGAACAGCCTGAATCATGTATGTGCATTTCACTCAGTACTGCCCCATCAGAGGGTTCCTTAATCCACATTTTTAACTTCTTCAACATAGGTAAGTGGAGATTCCTTCCTGGAGTGTGAAAGCTCGCAGCAGCAGGAACACAGCATATCTCATCTCTAATTTATGACTGACTAACTGAAACTCCTCACTGTCAGCAAACTCTGCCGTGTTTACTGGTTTGACAGCATACACACATATGGCAGAAGCCAGATGGACCTTCTCCCCCAGCTTCGAGCTAAGGGTGCTTCATTAGGAAAGAGATGCAGCCAGTCTTTGAGATCTTTGAACAAGGCTTTCCAGCATGACAAGAAAGAAGTCAGTCAGCAATCAGGAAAGAAAAGACCCTCCCCTAGGCGAGAGATTTGGACAGAAGAGAATTTATAGTTGCCCAGTTGAAGCCTATCAAGTTTTAAAGAACAAATGGCCTGTCCTCCCATCCACAGAAGTTGGGCAGCTGCTTCCAAAGAAATAGTTGTTATGAAATTTGCATTTTATCTACCCAGACAAGGATATATAGGACAATAAATCTACTTCCTAAGCTCTGATTAATAGTTTACAGTGTCAAAAAGTTCTGGAAACTCCAAGAAAACAGCAGTGTCTTTTACAGTTTCCTAATACAACAAAATATTATTCATAAGTTATAAAATAAAATACAACCTACTGAACCCAGCTGCTTTATTCTAAAACTTCAAGAAAAAACAACAACAACAACAACAACAACAACAAACCCACCCATTTTCTTTAGTTTCTCAAACTGTTTTGTTTTTGTTTTCTTTTTTCCTGGCATGTGATGTCCTCTGTACCTTTTCTTATTTCTCAGCCTGAGTCCTTTTTCTCACTATTCTCTGGACTCCAAATTTTAGGATGTGTCTCAGGAGTGTGGTTCTAGATTCACATCAGAGTCTTTATTATTCACATTTAAACCATCTGGAACAGAGATCTCTGCAAAGTGAGATCTTTCCCTTCCCCAAACCCAGAAACAAGGATTTCTTGGGTGGTAAAGGATAATAAGAAGAATTGAGGGAGAATGAATCCTTACCAAGGGAACACATTGCCTTCGTCTCTAAACTGTCAAACTAAGATGGGCATAGCAGCACAACTTTGTAATCCCAGCTACTCAGGAGGCTGAGGTGGGAGGATCACTTGAGACCAGAAGTTCAATACTACCCTGGGCAACATAGTGAGACCCCTCTCTGTAAAAAAGAAAGAAAGTTTAAAAATGTAAAAAAAAAAATTAATAAACTATCAAACTTCTGATTCCAATAAATCCATTAATTCCACTTGTCTCAGGACATAGTTCTAAACTGAAAAATGTCTGTCCCAGGGGTGTGAGGGAGGTTCATGGCTTAGGGAAATAGCCCTTTCTCCAATACATGGTAGATTTTTTTGGAAATCTAGAAGCCCCTCCACCACCTCCAAGGCCTTTCTGGTGATTAAGCTCTAATGAATGGAAGCAGTAAGAAGAAATTGGCAGACTGTTGAGAACTACCTCTATATACACCCTACAATTAGTTCAAACTGACTCAAAATTTTCCTTCCTCTCAGAGCGGCAAAAAATTACATATTGCTACAGAATGGGCTATAGAAGCAACTAACAATTTTCTCAACATTCTACAATGTAGAAAAAAAAAGTTTATTTCTCAAGAACAGTCTTGTAACTGAATGCCAGAATATATAGGGCCACATCTGACCTCTGCCATTCTAGGAAGAGTGATTAGATCTAATGCTTTTTGTAGGCACATCAGGACTCCAGGTTGAGTGTAAGGCATTAACCTCCTTTTTGAATGTTATTTCACAGCACTAAAGAGAAGCACCAAACTGTGAGTGGATTTCAGCCTGGTTCTCTTCCCCTTGCTAATGGGAAACTTTGATATGATTTGAAACACCGTGGTCATTGTTGGTGAAACTCCATGGAACCAAAGCACCTTCAACAATGAAGCAGCAGCTGAACAGAGTGCTCCAGGACAGGACTGCCTGGGGTCCTCAGGGCACTGTATTTTACACTGGGCCAGAATACCATACTTCTCAAAGGGTTCCACAGCCAGACATTTGTACCTCAGAAAAAATGGTGAAATAGCCATTTTTTTAAAGTTATTATTAGTCCCCTTTTACAGATTAAAAACACTGAGGACCAGAGAGTTACATGATGATATGCACCCACCTGGTTAGTGGTAGGCACAGAATAAATTCTACGGTTTTTATACCCAAAAATCTAATATCCTTTTACAGAGGATTTCTCCTGATTAAGTGAATACCACATTGTTTAAAGGCCTAATATTCACTGAATGGGATTAAGAAACCAATGGATTGGAAAACATAGGCTACGTTTGATTACGGTTTAGAGCATCTAAATGTAATAAAAACATCTCAGAGTAAGGGGAGGGGAAAATAAAATAAAGCCAGAAGAGCCAAGTTTACCACTCAGCAAACATACTCCTGAATCTCTCCATGGTTTGCACCTCAGACAGCCCCAGTCCATGAGAATGGAAGTGAAAAGAAAATGCAAATTCAGCTGCATGTTACATCCACAGTAAATGCAAAGACAAATTAAGAATTAAAGACAAATGCAAATTACCCTGCTCATAAAAGAAACCTATACAAAAGACAGGGAATGAAAAGGCTCTGACAGTTATGGATGAATCTCTGAAGAGGCGCACAGCGACCGTATTTCGAAATTCAAGTCTTTTAAAAACTGGTTAGAAGAATGAGAACAGCTGCTGCAAAGAAGGGAGGGAAACTGCTGCTAACAGTAAACCAAGCTACAGAGTAAAACTGAGAATTGTGTCCTTATTGTCAAGGTGAGGATAAAAAGCAACAAAGGGCTGAAGCCAAAAGAATTCTCTCACCAGAAACTCAATGGCAGACTTTAAAAGCTAAGCCCCTGGCAAGCCTTAGGCTGGGGGAGATGGAGACGGGAAGAGAACAAAATAAAGAGGCAAGGTAGAAAAAGAGGCGAGTGTTGGAAGAGAGAGAAAAACCACGGGATGTCAGATGGCGGAAAGGGCTATAGAAGTCAGGGGTCATTTATGAACTCAAATGACTGACAGGTCAGGCAGGTAATGGAGATCTTGATGACTCGGCTTGGGGAGACAGGAGCTGTGGGAAACTGCCTAAAGGCACTCAAATTCACTCCTTTTAAAAAAGATTTAGACATCGGCATAGAGTGTGTCTACACATCATCAGTTTATGTCCTTTATAATTGAGTCCTTTGGTGCATCTTCTGTTTTAAATGTTAGTTGAATGAGTCAATTGAATAAACAAACCCCTCATTTTACAGATGAAGAAACTGAGACTCCAAAAGATTAAGTGGCTTTTCTGAATTCACTCAATTAGATAAAAGGAGTTATCACTCAGGACTAGTCCCTGACCCTCATTTCAGGGATCCTTCACTGATGCTACAATGTCTCCACAAGAAGAAAAAGAATGTCTCCACCAGAGAGCAGAAGACAGAGATTAACAGCTGCCACAGGTAGCACCTGGGAGACTTCATGGGCAGCCTGCCACCCCTGTGCTGGAGTGAAGCATTCAGACTTTGGTTTTTCGTCAAAGGCCTGCAGGGACCAAGGAGACAACATATATGAACAAAGTGGTCCTCAGCAAACCTATGGTAAACTAGAGAGTACATGTTCCACCCGAGGGTCAACTCTACCAGTCCCCGCCAATCAAGAACAAGTGGGAATATGCACTAATCCTTTCTAGAACCTATTTTTCAAGAAAGTCCAGAAATCTGTATTTTTATTTGAAACATTCTCATTTTAAAATGTGGCAACTAATTCATTTTTAAACACATGAGAGCCAAACAAAATATCACTTTCAGGTCAAAGGTGGCCTGATCACTGCCATGCTGACAAACTCTGACTTTAGTCATGGCTGCCATTTTACAACAAGATGTAGCATATTTGTTCTAAAACACTCCACCCCTTCAGCTGTTTAGAACCTTGAGATCTAAAAATGTTATTTTTATTAAAGGATCAAATATATAAAGCCTGTGTTATTGTTGAAACAAGTGCCTTCAATGAGGCCACAGCATTTATATGCTTGTGTATCACATTTCCTGAAGGTTCATGTTCTCTTGATCTCTGGATGGCATTAACTTGTGTTTATTTTTCTTATCTACCTGCGGTTAGGAAGGTTGTCAAAATGAGACGTTATGACTTTTTCCTTTCTAGAATTTATAAAATATTTACCGACTTCACATGGCAACTTATTCAGTCAGGTTTAGGCCTTGAGTAGTTACACAAGCAAGACAATGAAACCTTGAGCCCAGTCTTTGTAAAAGTACACTTTTATGTAATAAGATTGGATTAGAAAATGAAAACTTGTAGCATTTACTATGACCCAGACTGAAAGAATTTCAAAGTTTCCATCCAACAGATAGCAACTTGTCTTTTAGAACAGCTTATTTATTTAATTTCGGGAAAAAAACATTCTCTTATGAAGCTATTAGAAAACTACTTTCATGAATTATCTAAGAAGTAGAATTCAAGTTGTTTATAAGGCAAAATCAGCCCCTGAAGAATGATGTCCATACAATGAGCTTAGCCCTCAGAGAGGAAAAGCTGTAATTTAAACCTGTAGGAATGCAGTTTAGCTTAAGGTGCCTGCCCCTTTCTCCTCACAAAATCCTAGGCTGTGGAAAATAAAAGTGGTAAATGTTATATAAATAGTGCATGACATTTGCAAAGGTTAAGAAGAGTCTCTTTACCCCTTTTCTTCTTTTACCAAGTATTATATGTGAGCAGTGAACCCCAAGGTTTCAGTATTCAGGTACAAGCCTGCAGGTCAGATTACTGGTGATACAGAGCTAGATCAGGAATTTCCACCCTGTTTGTTCCTTGGAAGAAAGCAAGGAAGATTGTGCACAAACACAGCCCAAGCAAGGGCGAGGTGGCATTCTGCCAAGGGGTCCTAGCGCTGCTGAATTTGCACAAAGCAAACTTGGCTTTGCCTGTAGTTTCCATAAGGAATACGGGCACAATTTAGAGGCACTGCTTTACAAAACAAGCTCCACGCCATCTATTTGTGGCTAGTCTCTGATTCTTTTTTTCTTTAATCCTCCTTTTCAAGTGGCTAAACAAAGAACTAGGGTATCCTCCTACCAAATCTGTGACAAAACATTGCATGTCTAGGATATTTGAGCAGTGAAGGTGTTGGGTTTTCCAATCCATAAACAGAACAAAACTTGGGGCTGGAAGGCCATACCAGGAGGCCATCTGAGTCCTGCCCTATCTCCAGGCCAAGCAGAATAGAAGCCTGAAAGAAAACTTCGAAATTTGCAGAGAATAAGGTTTTGAAGTTCTTTCCTAAGTGAAATGATCAGAGGCTCCTCAAATCTGGGGGAGGAAATTCTCCCGCATGCCTAATTTACCTAAATTTGCTCCTTTCTTACTGCCTGTAAAGAACAAATGTCCCTCTCATTGGTAATATGAACACTGGACATTCTAAAGTGCATCTTTGACCGTCCAGCAGTGTCCACATGGAGTTTTAGTGGACTGCTTGACCAAGGCATAACAATTGTCCATCTATAAATCGCTCATGGGTCTTTGGGGTGAAGTGGTTTTGTCGGTTGTCTAGGGACTCAGTGTCTGGTTCCAGGAAAACAGCAGGGCCTCTGCAAGCCAGGTTTCTTCTCTGACTCACAGGCATTTACACAAGTCGTTCATCCCCGACACCCCCTGCCACATGACACACACCCAGTTTAGGATTGGGAGGTAGTAAACAGACAGCGAAAAGCTGCATATTCATTAATTAATGACTGTTGACAGGGTAGCCTCATGGGAACCCATCTTGGCCCTTTTAAGCCCTTAGCTAAACTTTAACAGTCTCTCATCCCCTGCCTTCAATCACCTTGCCCAATTAACGCACCCTTACTGTACCATCTTTAGATCCTAACCAACCAGGCAGTTTGGCACTAAACCAAAACCAGGCTAGCCACACCCTCCATTGTGGTTCATGCTGGATTCCCAATTGCTTTGGTTGGTACTACTTGCTGCCCTGATTGTCTGCACAAGGTCCTTTTTCAATTGTGCCCCAAGCTAGGTATTCTCCTACCTGGCTTCCTCACCTGTGGAAACCTATCAAGAGCTGAGCCAGAGCCAATTGCCAGACCTAGTCAGGGCCACTGAGGGCTGAAGACTGTAGATCCACAGAAACTGAATTGATGGCAAGAGAAAGTGCATCTGTCTAAAGAGAGGAGATGACAGCCAACACTATCTTTGTTTTGGTAATTTAGATTTGGTCTTTTAGGGTACAGGCTTTCTACTCTAGATCTTGCTACTCGTAGTGTGAAAACCAGCAGCAAGAGCCACACCTGAAGCCAGTTAGAAATGCAGCATCTAGAGCCCCACCTGGAACCTACTGAGTTGGAATTTTCATTATAGAAGATCCTTAGGTGAGTTACAGGCACATTAAAGTTTAAGAAGTACTGAGCTGGAGCACTGCTTCTTAATTCTGGCTGTATGTTAGAATCTTCTGGGGATATTTGAAAAAATCCTGATGTCCGGGTACCACCCCACACCAATGCAAAAACAACACACAAGTAGTTTATAAAGGCTTTGCAGGTAAGTCTAATGTGTAACCAGGGTGTGAGTAATACTTTCTTAGAGTTGAATTTGCTTTACAGAAGTCATGACTTTAATTAGTTAAATGAACTGCTTTAGGTCCCATGGCTTATAAGTAGCAGACAAAGGTTTTAGATTCACACAGATTCTGTAGTTAAAAGAACATTGACATTAGAGACAGGTTCAAATCCTAGTTGTCACTTTCTAGAAGCATGTTTTGGGGCAAGTTTTTTGACCTCTCTGAGATACAGTTCCTCATTTGTAAAGTAGGATGGATGATAAAAATCTCATGGGGCTGTTGAGGGATTAAAGGAAATAATGTCTGTAAAGACTCTTTTATAGTATATCCTCTGCTTTTTCCTTTTACTCTAATCCACTGTACCTTCCGATAGGCAACATTTGCAGGAGTCTCAAGTTGAAATTATTCATTTAAGAAACATTTGTTGAGCACCTAGTAGGTAGAAATAACTGAGATGGAAGCAAAGGAAACAGTTCTTGTCCTCAAGGAGCTAGTTCCTCCCTCTGCTCTAGGAGGAGAGAGAGGCCTGTAAGCAAATTATGGTGCAGCTTTGTAGAAGCAAAGCTGGGGTGCTTCAAGATACAACGGTACACACAGAATAAAGTTTCCATTTGAGATTTCAAAGAAATCTGCCCAAAGGATGTGACATCTGAGCAGTAGAAAGGAAGGGAAGGTATCCAAGCGGACAAGGGAGAAGAGCATCGCGAAGGAAGGAGCAGCATGTACAAATGCAAGGAAGTGTGAAATGCCATGGTGTGTTACAGAACTGCAAGCAATACTGTAGCATGAAGTGGAAGGGGAGAGGGGCAGGGATGAGCCAGCAAGCAGGTGGAGCCGGGGTACAGAGGGCTTTCTCTCCTATGCTAGGTGGCATGGGCTCGATCCAGTGAGTGCCAGGAGCCAGAGAAAGGCTCTAAGAAGTTTGTTTAGGTGGTGTCTTGTGGAAAGAAAGGAACCTACAAAATTCACTCTGATGTTTCCCAGAGTGGGGCAAGTCAGGGAATAGACTGAACTCAGGGCCTCAACTTTATATGTGGGATGCTGTAGGACCAATTGAATCTCACGTAACACAGTTGATAGTTGCACAAGTAAGGCAAGAGGGAACTGGAGAGAAAATCCAGAGATCTAATGAGCATCAGTAATCATTGTTGACAAATTCCATTCCTGTGATGGTACTGACAGCTATCTGAGAGGGTTTTCTTGAAAACAAATACATTTAGAAATAAAGAGCCAGCCGCTCTGGGTGTGTGTGTGAAGTCTCTCCTGCCATCTTCCCTAGTGCAGTTTAAGCCCTCCCTCCCTGTACCCAAGACCTGGCACCTAGCTGCTCCATTCTTGGGTTTAGTCCTAGACTACTGGGATTTACCATATGTATTTTACCTTTACTTTTTCTTCAATAATTTTTTCACAATTACAAATATAGTATATGCTAATGATGGAAAAGTACATATATACTCAAATAAAAACATTTAAATCACCCATAATCCCATCACTTAGAGATAACTATTAAAAACACTTTAGTGCATTTTGCTCTAGATTTTTTCCTACGCATACATACACATATTGAAATTGTTTATAGAGGAGGATTATACTATGTATATTTATTTATAATCTGCTTTTCACACATATTTATTCATTGAGCAGGACTAGTTCTAGTGAGTCTCTTTTTAAGAATGAACAAGGAAGTAATGTAAAGACAGAAGCAGCAGTAACCCTGTGCTCAGAAAAATCTAGAAAGCCACTCTCCGGAGACACACAAATGAAGAGGATAAGCAGAGAGAGGCAGAAACAAGAGACCACAAGATTCCAGAGATCTGGAGAAAATAACTCCCTTCTTTATGACTTTCTAGTTAAAGCTACAGCATCCTGTGAGCCCCAACTGACTTCCCTCCCTTGAGTTTAATGTTATTGCCTTGTATCTTCCTAATAAATTTCTCCAGTTTTTCTTAAGAAGAGGTTCTCTTTCTTGCAGACAAATAATTCCTAATCGAGGCAAAATTCTGAAATATACTAAAGAAGATATGGGCATAAGAAGATAGCCTGGGCAACAGAGCGAGACTCCATCTCAGAAAAAAAAAAAAAAAAAAAGATGGATAATGACTTAGGTATACAAGTAATTTCTGTCCTGAAGGTAAAACTTCCCCCCAAATAGCCTAGCCTGTTCTTGCTGAAGTTTCTGTCCCATGTTATTTCTCACCCTCAGATGTTAGATGAGGAATTTTATTTAACACACCATGACAACCTGTCAAAAAGAATGACTACTGTGCATTGTATGGTCCAAGCATCTTGATTTGTTTTTCCCTGGAGTTGGATAATTGCCTTGCTTATTCCTGTTGTCACTGGGGACAAGGTACAATAATAAACTGAATCAGTGTCCAAACTGGACTTGTTCAGTGGTCCTTACCATCACAGATTTATTTATATTACTAGCAAAACTGGAACTCTACATAGTTTCAAGCCAAGGGAATAACTTTCTGGCAATGAGACCCTGTGAAAGCTCAAGATCTTTTTCTAAATATTAGTTTAATGGTATAGCCAAAGGAATTATGAAATTCCAAAGGAATTCTGGTGAACTGTCTCTCTTAGTCACCCTATGCCCTAGGCTTATAGTACATTGTACTTGCTATTTTTTGCTTCATTGAATTTTGGTACAAACTAGTCTTTTTGTTCAAGCGGTATGATCTGAGAGTGTCCTTTCCAAATCACTCTGTATACAAAAGCATCCCTTCCATCAAAATCTATCACCCCCTACCTCTTTTTTTAAAAAAAATATCACTCAGCACCTTCTGACATAGTACTATATTTACTTGTTGGTTGTCAGTCTATCTTACAAGAATGTCAGTTTCTTGAGGACAAAGATTCTGCTTGATTCATCACTGAATGCCCACTGTGAAACATAGAGCCTGGTATATAATAGATCCTTAATAAATATTAATATTTATTGAATGAATGAACTCCTAGGCATAACGTCCTAAAACTTGGGCAGGGATTAAATTCCTGATAGAATAGGATGCCATAGTCATTTCCTTTCTTGCAATGACAACACTAATTCCTACTTAGACTTGGGCGAGAAAGTCAAAGCCTACTCTTTTCACCTCTTTTCCAACCAGTCCATCGGAACACTGAGTTTCCTTTCTTTATTGACTCAGCTCTTAAACACTACGTCCAACTGTTCCTTCTGAATTAAAAATGGAAGGAGGTAGCACATGGGTTTCATTTCCATAATGCCATAATTCCCAGCCCTGGGACGCTTCCCACCACAAAGTGCCTCTAATTACCTCAAGGGAGCATCATTAAAACTTCACAGAAAGAATCATTATAATTCATTTGAAGTTTTAAATAAATATAGACCACATACGACAAAATCAAGCAAACAACGATGCAAGTATTAAAGTGGTAAAAATGTTAAGAAGCGCTGTTTTAATGGATTTCAGGAGTGAGGCTCACAATTCTGAGCTGCAGTTAGTGTGATATATGCCTACTATACATTTCCAAAATGACTCACCTTTGAATTTTCTCTAATTTACACACTTCACCTACTCTCCTTCCAAATTACCAGGTCAAGAAATGCCTTGCGTTTTCCTCCGTTAATCTGCTACTTTGCCCATTAAGTTTCACATATTAAGTTTTAACTTATTGGCTTCAGTGACACTCAATGATCCCAAAGGGGAGTGGGATAAAATACATGTTTTTCCAAGGTGCCTTCATGCCTGGATTGCAATTTCTAATCTCTGAACTATTGCTTGCTCTATATCTATGTGTCCTGTGGAAGAGCTATTGATCTGTAATCTCATCAGTGTGTTTTTCCCTCCTCATAAAATCCCAGGGATGTTCTAATTAAGGATAGATTCCGGCTACAAATTATAGAGAAAGAGGCACTCAGGCATCCAAATAGGATTCAGCCCTTTGGCCGTTCACATCCTGGGCAATTGGAAAACAGGTCTGAAATTTTCCTTAATCATTCAGCCAGATTCTGCTGCATTCCAAAGGCAATAATAGTAACTAAATAATAAACAAATAAATAAATGCAAATCAGATTCATGTTATTGCAGACAAAGCTACTGATCCTATGCTGTACAATTTTTAAATTATGAGAGGCAGCATGAGGTAGTAGGAGGCTCTGGTGTCAAAATGATCAGGGTATCTAAAGACCTGTATTTGAATCCAGGCTCCTTTCCTGCAGGATAAATGTTAATTTTCTCTCTGAGCTTCAGTTTCTTTATCTGCATAATAAAAATAGAATGCATCATACCTCACAGATTTTTCATGGTGAAAATTGATTACTGTGTATAAAGTACCACAATGTAGGCTCAATAGATGATAGTTAATACCCCCATTTTAGATTTCCATATTCTAGACTACAAGTCAGAGACTATATATAAAAGCACTTATGTCCTTATTATTCAAAGGAATAGGGAAAAAAAATTGAAACAGTGGAGAGGCCTGAAATTGGCCATAGGAACGTGCTACTGTAAAGATGAGGGGAGGAATGAGATTTGGCCCCAAGAATGAGTAGATTATTTGAGGGCATGTTTGATAAAGGGTGAGAGTCTCCTCCTTCAGGCCAAGATTATCTGGGCAGGGAGGAAGCAGCTCAATAGACCAAAAGTGCACAGCTCTTCAATGCTAAGCACTGGGGACTGAATAGACTCCACTGGATATGGCCATCAAGGTCACTGCAACCTTGACCAAGGGAGAGGTTGGGAGTCAGGCTGCCTTAGGCTGAAAGAGTAGAAGAGAAAGTGAAGACAGCAGGTGAGACTATTTTTTCTGACAGCTTAGTTGCAAAGGGAAAGTAATTCTCATCTGCCTCATTTTGAGGACTAGAAATTTTAATTCTCAAAATAGTACAAGTGAGAGTACTAAGCTATACAGAAGGTCTCAGTTATTAGGACAATCCTCTCCCCCTTCTCCGTATCCCCCCAACCTCCCATCCCTAGTTCCTCAGCTATGTTTCTCTGGATGCCACAAGTGCCTGCTTGGATCTTCCCTGACTCTCTGGAAACTTTTAAGCCACACTTGCCTGATGTTGTCTCCTGCCCTTGGATCGTCCCACAAAATAGAGAGTATACTAGGAGCTTGGAGTGAGGGATGAGTCAGGCCTGTCTGATATTCTGGCTCCACCACTCATGAGCTGTGGGGCCTTGGGCAAGAGGCTAAAAACCTCTTTGTGCCTCAGTATCCGCATGTATGAAATGGGAATAACAGTAATACCCAGATGAGATATTATGAAGATTAAGTGAGTTAATATTGTAAAGAACTTAGAATAGCATCTAGCACATTGTAAGTGCTCAATAAATGTAAACTATTACTGTTCTTGTTAGGTTGTTAGATAAACTAACCTGCATGACTATAGCTAAGAGAGTCCATAATTTGTCTGACTCTGGATTCTGCCTTGCCCTAGTCCAATATATAATCTTGTGATAAACCTTTCTTCTCTGTGCCAAGCTGAGCCAACCACTCTCTGGCTCATCTATGGTTCTGGTAAATCCTGTCTCCAATTCAGGCTATGCCACAGCAGTATCCTATTATAACAACAACTACAACAACTGTTTTTTTTTGTTATTACTTAGTGCCCGCTAGGCACTGTGCTAAGAGTTTTACATACATATAATTCTCACAGGCCCAAGAGGTAGTTATCATAAATAAAGAACCCAGCCAGCCAACAACACAGTCAGGATTTGAATCCAGGTCTGCCTGGTTGCACAGTCACACATCTAAGCCCTGAGTTACATTTCCTACACAGGATATCAGATATATTACTCCTGCTAGAGCCTTGATTCCCTTATAATTTCTTCTTTAAATTAGATATTTAGGTGTTTGTGTAATGAATTGCAAAAACAGCCAAAAATTTTCCCACACACTCTGGAAATTCATCAAGAAATACAATTTATTTTTTTTACTCCGTCCATCTGGGCTGGCCTTTTGACTTGCTTTGCCCAATAGATGGGTACAGAAAAAACCTCGTGCTAGTTACAAGCCTGGGCCTTAAAAAGTCTTGTACACTTCCCCTCACTCTTCTGAGACCCTTACCACCATCACCATGTAAACAAGTCCTGGAGAATAAGAGGCTGCATAGAAGAAAACAAGAGCACCCCAATCAAAGCCTGGCACTCAGTTGCAGATACATA
Source organism: Homo sapiens (assembly GCF_000001405.40). Lineage (NCBI taxonomy): Eukaryota > Metazoa > Chordata > Mammalia > Primates > Hominidae > Homo > Homo sapiens. The sequence continues at coordinate 147,657,235 of NC_000002.12, forward strand.
AATGAGCTCCAGCCAAGAGCAGCCACATCTGGCTCAGATCATCAGAGCACTCCAGCTGAGCCCAGCCCAAGTTACCAATTTGTGAATGCATCACTTAAATAAATGGTTATTGTTTTAAGTCATTGTCTTAGTTCAGCCCGCTAAAACAGAAAAAAATAAACAACCATAGTGTGAGTGGCTTAAACAACAAACATTCACATTCACTTCTCACAGTTCTAGAGGCTGGGATGTCCAAGATCAAAGTGCCAGCAGATTTGATGTCTCATGAGGGCTGCCCTCCTGGTTTACAGATGGCTGCCTTCTTTTTGTGTCTTTTCATGGCATACAGACAGAGAGTTCTAGTTTCTCTTCCTCTCCTTATAAGGAGGCCATGGGACTCCACCTTCATGACCTAACCTGAACCAATTTACCTCCCAAAGACCCCTCCTTCAAATACTATCACTTTAGGGGCTAGGACTTTAACATGAATTTCGGGGGGAATGCAAACATTCAGTCCATAGTAGCCACTATCTTTTGGGGTGATTTGCAATGCAGACAAAGCTCACTGATGCAATCTGAAAGTTTTTTTTTTAATTATTAACTAATTCATTTTGCTTTCCTCTGTTGGAGTTTCTGTTTACCATTTAATTTCAGTTGCTGGCCATCTTGATCCCTGCTTTATACTGCTTTTGATCATGCCTTGGACAAGAAATAAACAATATTAAACAAGATCCCACTAGCACTCCAGTAATAAACTTTCTTGGGTGAGAAGCAAACCTATTCTCTTTTTTCTGAATTTCATGCCTTGATAACTTGCATTATAGCAAAGTACCCAGGAAATTGCCAAACATAGAGTAGAAGAACTGAATTCAACTGTGAATAATACAGATCCAAATATGACTTTAATGCCCATAGATTCCCACCACATTTACAGGTAAAAGAAGACATACTTTAGTCAACCTAAGGCTAATATTGGGGCTCCACAACGTCATCAAGGACCCAGGCTTTTTCTTTCTGTTCTGCCACACACAACTTTCATAGTCCAAGATGGCAGTTTTCCAGCCATTACATCTGGATTCCAAGCGATAAGAAGAAAGACATAAACTTCTTCCCACCCCTGTCCCCTGTCTGTCAATAACTCTGCCCACACAGCACTACTCTTCATATCTCACTGGCAAGCACTTTAGTCACAGGGCCACACATCACTCCAAAAGAGGCTGGGAATAGTAGCCCCAGTTCTGTTGCTAAGGAGGAAAGGTAAATGGATGTTGCAAGGTCATTCACCATTATCCGCAATAGATGATATTTCACTATCATCGTAACAAGGTATCAGGTTGTTGGCAATACAGACCAACTTGGTGTCCTGCATCATAAAAGTCTAATAAACTCTCAAGAGGCACTGGAAATAATATCAATTGGAAGATTTATTTCATGGAGAGGGCTGATAGGGCCCTTTTGCCAACAATCAAGATCTGAAGTATTGGTTCCAGTACCTGAAATGTTTAACCAACCATGATTCAGGCAGTTACTGACAGCAATTTGCAGTCCAAACTGTACTACTACCTCCAGACTTGTATATCCAGCTACCTACTCAATATCTCCTCTTAGATGTTTTGAAGTCGATGCAAATCCAATGTGTTCAAAAGTAATTTTGCTCAAAAAACCCAGTCCTCTTCCAGTATGTCTCATCACAGTGAGAAATACCACCATTCACCCAGAAGCTTAAGCCAGAGTCCTGGGTGCCATCCTTGGCCTTCCCATTTCCTTAGCACTAATAACTACTCAGTCACTACCTCCTGCCAATTTTCACTCCCTAATGCCTATTAACTGTACTTATTTTTCTCCATCTCCAAAGATACTGCCCTAATCCAAGCTGACTTCATCTCTTGCCTGGACAGCAGAAATAGTTTCCCAGTTGGTCTCCCCACATCCATTCTTACCATACCTCCAAACCCACTGTTTACATGGCAGCCAAAACATTTACTTAAAAACATAGATGAAATCATATCACATCTCCTCATAAAATGCTTCAATAGTTTTCCATTACTTCTAGCATAAACACTTAAATTCTTCACATGGCCTGCAAGGCTAAGTACTTCTCCTGTTACCCAGCTCCACTTATTCACGATGATCTAGTCACACAACCTTCTTCAGTTCCTCAAATAAATCAGGTTCTTTTTCACCTCAGAGGCTTTACACACACTGTTACTCTGCACTGAAGGTTCCACTTTTTTCCCTTACCTGGTTAACACCCCCCATGCTCCAGAACTCAGTTCAAATGTCACTTCCTCAAGGAGTGAACTAATCAGGCTAGTCCAGTGCCTATTATCAGAGACCCTGATAGTACACCACACTTATCCTCTGTTGTCCTCTTCACAACTGTAATTGAGTATTCAATCATGTCCACTGGCTTCTCTGCTTGAAAGGGGGCTCCATGAAGATAGCATTGTTCTGTCTTGCTCAGAGCTCTATCCTCAGTGAGCATTGTGCTCTCAATAAATATTAGTTGAAGGGTAAGTGAGTGAATAAAGAAGTACTGTACCATGCAAGCAGAAAATCTCCTCATCTTAGGATGTCAGCGGTAGATTTGACCCCATCAAGAGAGAAGATTCAGTCATTGGGGAGGTTAGTATGAAGAGGATACCCAGAAATAGGGTGAATATGGAATACTTTTAGTCACCGTAAGATTAGAGTTGGACAGCAATTATGACCAGCAAGCAACTGAAACAGGGGGTTTTATACTCATCCCAGCTAGGACTGGTTAGATTCCAGGTCCTTGGGCTAAAGCTGATGGGTATTTGATGGGCTCAAGTGTAACCATGAGGGTCACTGCTATGGAAAGTTGGCCTCATCAAAATATAAACTCCATGGTGACAGGGGTCTGATCTAGTCACTGGGTATCCCAAACACCTAGAACGGTGCTGCTAGAAAGTCAGTGCTCAGCAAATATTTGTTGCATAAATCTCAACATTCACAGCCACAAGTAAGAAAGAGGTAAGTATTAACAGTCACAAATTTTAAACAGACACAAGAGGCAGGGGATGATTAAAAAGCATACAGGCTTGCATTAAAAAAAAAAAAAAAAACTTTTTTACAGCGGGACCCTGTGCAGTCTTTAGTCCTTTTTTTACCCAAGCACAGAAGCTGCAGACCATCTCACTTTAGTCACATTTTTGGTACCTTTCCATTTCCTCTTAGAGCTTTGCCACTTTATTTTGCCTAAAATGTGGTGTTTCAATACCAGTTAGTTCCTTTATAGAGCATATTCTTATACCATTTGAACCACACCACAAACCAATGAGTTAAGGTATATTCAGCCCCACTTGGCACATGAAAAAAAAATGAGCATCAGGAATGTTAAGGCATTTGCTCAAGTTAGCACAGCTCACAAAGTGGCATAGGTGAGATGTAAAGAAAACTAGTTTTTTTCTCTCTACTCACACTCAATGCAGAACACTTCTATTGCCAGAAGTGGCAGGAGTGGGGGTTCCCTACTCACTAAGCAATTCTCCAGCAGACACCAACTTCATGTCCTCTAATTCAATTCCATTCTGACACTGTCTACGAGAAGATAGTGTCAGATTCCACAGGGTGAGGACTCAGTTCCACAAGACTGCTTCCCATTGCAGATGTGAATCGCAAGTAGTAGGTTGTCCTCTATACTTGTGACTGGCTATAAATCAGGGTTGCCACTAATCCCTCCTTGGATTCTATTAATTTGCTAGGATGACTCACAGAACTCAAGGAAACACTTACTTGCATTTACTGGTTTATTAAAAAGGATATTTTAAAGGATATAGATGAACAGCTAGATGAAGAGATGTATAAGGCAAAGTGTGGGGAAGGATGTGGAGACACTTCTATCACTCAGAAAATTTCAATTGTTTTAAGAGCTCTTTGACAGGAACTGGGGACAATTATCAAATATATTCCATGTTACACCATTTGACATGGTATAACAAGGGGACTTAACATGGTCTTTTACTTCTAGAGTCTATTCTTCTACCATACTCACTTCTGGGTGATGATCGTGGAGAATGGAATAGCACATTGAAAATCAGTGTTTAGGTCTGGTGACCTAAACATAGAGAAACTATTAAAAGTTTAAGGAGATCATCATTAAAACCCTGCTTATAACAGTTCCCTTTTCTTACCTTCAAATGCACAATTTCTGTCTCTCTGACAGATTCTTCTATTATGGTTTAAAAAACAATGCATGTGAGTCTCACTTGAAGTTTACTGGTGTGGAAAGCATATGATGATCAAATGTTCTGCATTGACTGATACAAGATATGGTCACATGGGGATAGATATTTGCTTTCCCACAACATACTTTAATACATTTTAAAGACCCAGTTTTCTAGAACTCATCTTCCAGCTATCCTGAAACAGAGAAGCAGTTTTTGGCCTCCGCTTCCTAAATTATTCCAACTGTCACTCTAATCTCCACTCTCTGTCTTGCATTTGCTCCACAGTCTGGCCTGCAGTGTTTGTTCAGGCAGGATCAAGAACCACACATTGCAAGCTTTTCTCATTGGAATGGAGCTGTGATTCAGGGCCCCCACTGATTCTGCACAATCCTGGTAGACTGGAGCTGGGAGGTCTGAGCCACAATAATCAGACTGAAAGTAGATGCTCTCATGGGATCACTCTTCTGAGGTGAGGAGCTTGTTACAATGCAGACTCTGAATCAGTTGTGACTGTGGTAGGATCTTCATTTCCAACAAGCTCCCAAGAGATAGCAATGCTGCAGGTGAAGGACCTCATTTGGCATAGCAAGACCCTAGACTAGGTCAACACAGCCCCCTCCCAGTTCCATGCTCTCATTGTACATGTACTTCATAGCATATTTCAGTGTGTCATTACATGTTTATGAGACTATTTGAATAATATCTGTTCCCATTTTAAAAAACTTCAAAGTATTGAGATTGTATCCCATATTAGTCCGTTCTCACATTGCTATAAAGAACTATCTGAGACTGGGTAATTTATTTAAAAAAAGAGGTTTAATTGACTCACAGTTCTGCATGGCTGGGGATGCCTTGGGAAACTTACACTCATGGCAGAAGGTGAAGGGGAAGCAAAACACATCTTACACAGCAGCAGGAGAGATAGAGAAGTACCACACTTTTAAACCATCAGATCTTGTGAGAACTCACTCGCTATCAGGAGAACAGCATGGCAGAAACCGCCCCCATGATCCTATTACCTCCCACCAGGTCCCTCTCTCAACACCTGAGGATTACAATTCTAGATGAGATTTGGGTGCGGATGCAGAGCCAAACCATATCATAACCCTCAAAGCCTAGTCAGGTAAAGAGAGACCATACCAGATAGTCTAACGGAAGGAATTTAATTTAGGAAACTAGTTACAAAAGTGTTGGAGATACTGAGAGTGAAACAACCCAGATTTAAGCAAGAGCAAAAAGCTGCTACCATTTTTAGGGCTGGAGGAACAAAGAAAGAAAGGACTCTCACACAATCCCAAGGCCTGGGCTGCCTGTGGAAGCTGGATTCACGGCAGAAGCTACCATGGGAGCTGGAACACAGAGAAGATGTAGCCACTTCCCAAAGTGGTAGGTGGGGGACACAGTAAGAAATACCATTGCTCCTCCTCTTCCTCCTGCTCTATTATCTCCTTCTAGTGTCTCTTATTAGTCAAATATACCAAGAAGCCAATTGACAAGGGTACCTGGAAATAGAATTTGCAGAGAAGGATTAAGAAATGAATCTACTTGCAGATAACAGTAAGAGCATGTCTACACTACTTACACTTAGAGCACAGTGCCTAGCATACAGTGGGCACAGTCAGTAAATATTTGCTGAAAGACTGAACAACTAAAGGAGGAGTAAAAGCCAGATACCCTTCTCATGAACACACATACACACACTATATAGACACATACTTATTAAAACCATGGTAATGGTCATCAGTGACCACTAGCCTTGAAATTCTCAGCCTCTACATCATCCAAAGTTTACCATCATGCCCAGACTCTAGCCAATTGAATGAATGGTTATCCTGGAGCAGTGAATGTGCCACGCAGCTACTACAGTTGAACAAATTTGTTCTTCAGTAGACTGTGGTTCAGCCTTGAGAGAACAGGGATAGGTGAGCATAAAGGACTCTCAGGACAATTCAGTTTCACTATGGCATTATCTACAGTCAGTGCAAGCCTGATAGCGGAACAAGCAGAAATTTAATTTCCCCTAAAGATTCATCTTTTGTCAATACAGCATCCTACCAGCCATTCCCTCATAGGACAAGCTCGACTATTATTGCTTACTACCTGGCTCTTAAGGATCAACACGGACTACAGAAATCACTCAGCCACCATTTACCCAGATCTCATTATGCACTCAGTGCTTCATCAAAAACCTTTCATATTTTGTCTCACATAGTCCTCACCACAACTCTGTGAGGTTGGCACTATTATCACTTCCATCTTACAAGACAGGAAACTAAGCTCATCAACTAAGTTTTCCTGCTTGAGATCATGCAGCAGGTAAATAACAAAGCTGGACTCTCAAATCCAGGCAATGTGACTACAAAGCCACTTTCCACCTCTGATTCATTAGGGAAGATTCCCATCATAACGACAGGGATTCCCTATGTGGGCTTTGGTATATGACTTCCTTCTTCAGAGCACAGCACTGTGCTGACTACAAAGTGAAACTGATATTCCTCACATCTGCTTGTGTGTGCCTTTCTCAGCATCTGTATATCACCTTGACTTACTGTCTTAAGAAAGGACTTAGATGTTCAGTACCTCTTCACAATCTCAGAAAGTTTTCCTAGAGATCTGAACAGAGACTAACAGCCCTTCTTAGATTTCTAGCAGCATTCTAAAGCATAGCTACGCAAGACAGAGCAAAATGGATCTTTTGAGCAGTACTTCCTCACTCCTTTGATGATGGAAAATGACTATGACACAATGCCATCAACTCTGACCCACCTGACCAACATCCACAAAGCTCAGCGATTTTCTCTGGCAGTCTACTTAGCATTTGTCAGAGCAAGCTTTACTAGGAAAGACAGGCATTCTAGAAAAACTGTCAAATGAGATTTAGACTCCAGAAGGTGTACTGGGTGTTTGTCCTCTGTCAGCTCCTCTTTAAAGAGGACTGTGTCACCCAGCAAGGTATCCTAAAACTCACCAGAGCCCAGGGAGGTGGGGTAGGGAGAGGCTTCGCTTTCATACAGAAAACCTACAGAGCAACCCACCCAGCCTCCTCACTTTCTCCCTTTCAGGGGCTGCCTCTGGGGCTTTCTTTCCCCCCTTGCTGAAAAGTTTTAGAAAAGTCATCAGCGTTAGTTCAAGAAAGTTCCCATTTTTCATGACTATGTTTATAGTACAGGCTCAGCATCCCTTATATGACATGCTTGGGACCAAAAGTTTTTCAGATTTTTAATTTTTTTCAAATTTTGGAATGTTTGCATATACATAATGACATATCTTGAAAATGGGGACCCAAGTCTAAAGATGAAATTCATTTGTTTCATATACACCTAATACGTGCAGCTTGAAGATAATGTCATACAATATTCTTAATAATTTTTTGCATGAAACAAAGCTTGTATACCTGAGGTCAGGTGTGGGATTTTTCCAATTGTGATATCATGTTGACGTTCACAAATTTTCAAATTTCGGAGAATTTTGGATTTCAAATTTTCAGATTAGGGATGCTCAACCTGTATTAAAATCCTTGACAGTATCTATTAATCTATATCTATCAATTACTAGTTATTTATTGAACACTGGTAAAAAAAAAAAAAAAAAAAAAACCGTAGAAAAGATGTGGTCCTGCCCTCAAGGAGCAATCTATTTGGGTAGTGTTTCAGTTCTACATTTCCATAATAACACTGACTAACAAATAATCACATGCAAAATAAGTGCTTAGTGCTTGCCTATTGGAGGTTGTCAGGTGGATCTGCTGACCATGGCTGGGTTGTGTCACATGTCTGGGGCTTGGCTGGCTATAGGCTGGTCTAGCATGGCCTTGGCTAGGTTGACCAGGGTGACTCAGCTCCCCTCACATGTCTTTCGTTCTTCTTCTGGAACTAGTAGGCTAGCCTAGGCATATCCCTCTCATGACAGCAGCAGAGTGCAAAAACGCAGTCAAAATGCACAAGCACTTTTTAAAATAGGTCTGCAAATGTCTTATTAGCCAAAGCAGGTCACATGCCCAAATCCAGATCAAGGGAGAAGAATAGACTCTGCCTGTCTAGTAAGAGGAACTACAATGCCAAATGGCAAAGAGGAAGGTCACAGAAAGGGGTGAGAATTGGGTCTAGGAATAGAATCAATCTACAGCAGATAGCTAAGAGGGAAAATGCAGGAGGGAATCTATGACCAAGCTCCTTGGGCATGGCCTTCATGATCTGCCCAGTTCTGACCTACAGCTCAAGCTTCCTGGTCTCCTCTCAACTCACTGTGTCTCCTTCCTACCCATATCACTCCGTTCCTCTCACTAAGTGACCTAAGTGTTCTCTCACTTCTTGGGCCCATTTCTCTCTGCCTGAAAGGCCCTTCCTTCCCCATCTCACCTGACATTTGCCCAGTAAGCTCCTAGTCATTCCTCAGGCCTCAGCTTGTCCATCAGTTCCTCTGGCAAGTCTTTTCTAAACTCTAGAACTTGAGTTAGAAGCCCACCTATATGCCCTCCAGCAGCCTGTTCCCACTCCATCGTGGGTATTGTCATTTTCTGTTTACCTGTCTCTAGCTTCCACTAGACTTCACATTAAGCTGTGTGTTCAAAGAGGGTCAGTACTGCAGCCCCAGGGCCTCACATAGCCCCTTGCTCAGAGCTCTAAAATCAATAAGTGTTTGATGAATGAAACTGCTTAGGGCCTTGGCACAGATGGGGTGGGGAGAAAAGGGCAGCAAAAAATGCATTCAAGAAGGGAAAGGGGCCGGGCGCGGTAGCTCATGCCTGTAATCCCAGCACTTTGGGAGGCCAAGGCAAGCGGATCACTTCAGGTCAGGAGTTCGAGACCAGCCTGGCCAACATGATGAAACCCTGTCTCTACCAAAAATACAAAACTTAGCCGGGTGTGGTGGCAGGCACCTGCAATCCCAGCTACCCAAGAGGCTGAGGCAGGAGAATTGCTTGAACCTGGGAGGTGGGGGTTGCAGTGAGCCGAGATTGTGCCACAACACTCCAACCTGGGTAACAGAGCGAGACTCCATCTCAAAAAAAAAAAAAAAATGGAAAGGGTGGATTCTTCCTAAAGCACATGAGTAGGAATGGTGCACGTTAGAGAAGGCCCTGAAAACTAAAATGAACATGTAGACCATGGATGGGAATAAAGTACCACTGAAAGTTTCCAAGAAAAGGCATGTGGGGTAGATCAGTTTTCAGCAGATACTCGGGAGTGGCACTGTTCAACAGAAACATAATGTGAGCCACAAATGTGGGCCCACTTATGTAATTTTACATTTTCTGGAAGCCACATTTTTAAAAAGTAAAAATAAACAGGCAAAATTCATTTTAATAACATATTTCACTTATCCCAATGTATCCAAAAGATTATCATTTCAACATGTAATCAATATAAAAAATGACTAATGAGATGTACATTTTTTATACTACATCCTTAAAATCTAATGTGTGTTTTATACTTAAAGCACATCTCAGTTTGAACACACTTTCAGGGCTAAATAGCCACAGTAGCTAGTGACTACCATGTTGAACAGTGCAGCTCTGGGGCCAAGTGATCATCTGGGACTAATCCAGGATGATAATAGTAATGAAAATGATGACAGTATTGAGAATGGAGAGAAAGGCAAGTGCATGACATTCCACTGGCAGAATTAGTGTGTCAGCTTATCTGAGAGCCGGAGCACTGGTAATGTATATTTACACATTTGGCATTCAGTCTGTATTGGAAAGGAGAATCGGTTCACATACAAGCTGTGATTTTGTTCACATTTCTGTTCTCAGAGATAACTATTTGTTAGTGAAATCTACCACCTTTATCCAAGCCATGAAAATAGTGAAAATACTTTCTGAGGCTGATTCCTAGTGTGGAACGCAAGATTTGTGAAATTTGAGCATACTTGGTATAATTCAAAACCATTTTTATGTACTATGGGTCACAATCAATTCAATTCAACAACCATTGAATGAGTTCCTACTAATTGGAAGCCTGGGCTACTGAGCAATTATCCTTGAGAGAAAAGTAAACAAAAGCATAATTTATTAATATACTTGTTGTTCTCCCAGTTATACAATTAGTTAACTGTTACACACTTATTTGTGATGTGTCTGTATGATATGAACATGTGCAGATATATTTTATTAGACTTTATGTTAAACCATACTTAGAAGTTATCTATTCTAAGTGTATCTCTACCTTTAATTTCTTCATTTTGCAAGTGAAAAAACTGAAGAAGAATAAAGAACTTGCCTAAATGTAGCCGCGGGAAGATCTGACGAGAGAATCCTGGTTTCTTTCTCTTTCTAGGCAAATGCTTCTTTTGGGATATATTTTACATAATGTAATGAGTTTTATAGAAAAAATTAAGCATTCACAGACATTGGGTTATCTTTAAAGATATTTCTATGGCTATGTGTGTGTATAATAAACAAAAAGTATTAATTAAACAATTTCCCATTTATGGAAATATTTTAAGTGTACATGTTTCTAATAAAATGGATTTCAAGCAAAGACCTCAAGGCTCTTACCGCTAAATTTGATTTGTCCCCAAACTGTATCTTCATATTAGCTGATAACTCTCTTACTCTTATGAGCATCTTTAACATATCTTTTTAAATGATCTGGATTGACTGTCTAGACTGTTTCAAGTTCCCTGGATAATTCTGCAACTCCCTCTTTACTCTGACAGTGTGCATGTGACCTTGAGTTAAATTAGAGAGATTTATTCTAAGTGCTTCATATGCACTACATACATTACTTAATATTGAAGATTTTTGCTTTATAAGTATAAGGGGAGAATTTCCTGTTGAGAAATATTAAATACCACTTATCTAAGGTTATCAGGTTATGTGACTGCACATTTCCAGCTCTTTCTTTCGGAAAATGAATCCACTGTTATTGAAATTTAAAGAAATTAATGCATTTTTAATCAGATCAATATACATTTACTATAACAAGCACATAATCCATCTTGAGTTGAACACTATGTTTTTTGAAACTAACAAAATTACTGTAGGTCAAGAAACAAATATATAGGAATTTAAATATATATATATTTGTTACTAATAATAACTGATTTCATCAGGAACATCTGATAAATCTCAAGGATGTGATAAAGTCAGGAACACCTTGCAATAGGAAGCAGATATTGAGAACATTCTCTTGTTCTGCTTTTTCACTTGACAATGTGGGCAATTAAGACTTCATAAATTGGCGGGGGGTGGTGGCTCACACCTGTAATCCCAGCACTTTGGGAGGCTGAGGAGGGCGGATCACCTGAGGTCACGAGTTTGAGACCAGCCTGGCCAACATGGCGAAACCCTGTCTCTGCTAAAAATACAAAAATTAGCTGGGCGTGGTGGTGGGTGCCTGTAATCCCAGCTACTTGGGAGGCTGAGGCAGGAGAATCACTTGAACCCGAGAGGTGGAGTTTGCAGTGAGCTCAGATCGCTCCATTGCTCTCCAGCCTGAGCAACAAGAGCGAAACTCTGCGTCAAAAAATAAAAAAATAAAAAAATAAAAAAGACTCCACAAATTAGTTTAAAGGACATTCATTTCAGGATAAACTCATCTCATGAAAATATAAGGATCCTGAAGGCTTAGACCCTTTGGATTCAACAGGTAGTTTCCAAATTGGACATGAAGCATTTTTTTTTCTTACAGAATTTCGACCCCTTAGAGGAAGGAGGAAGGGATACACCCCGAGGCATCTCTTAACTTTCACTAATTATATATAGAGCCACAGAATATCAGAAACTCTTGGAATTATTCTAATCCAAGTCTTTCAATTGCAGATTCGGTGTGAAACATAAACAAATCCCATGTCCAGCTGTTAGCATCTCTTGAGGTAAACATCCACAAATTTGTTAAGCACCCTCTTAGAATTCTACAGCATTTCCTTTGTATCACTAAACTAATATTTTTAAAGCTGCAGCTAAGTGCAATGAGTTAGCCCTTTAAGCTTTAAGGCATTGACCAGGGCTTTAGCTTTCAGAGATTTGGTGAGCAAGTCTGTATTCACTCTTCCAGACCTTTTGTGACTTTATAGACTTCAATCACACCCCCGCCAGCCTTCATCTTTCATATTAGTCCATCCAAACTAAAGACATCTGAGGATTTGAAACATTTGGAAGCATTCCCTTTCATTTCCAGCCAAGACAAAAATAAAGGGTTCCATTGTGCTCTCAAGGAAAGAAGTCTATGTTTTTGGTACTTGGGGCTGTCTCCAAAAATGGGATCTTACAAAGTATAATCCTGTAGAAGGCATACCAATGGGAGCCACTTAGACCTAGAAGAGACCCAAATATAAATATCTACATCCATTTTCACCTTGAAAACACTACTCTTGCTAGCAGCAACCTTTCAGAAGTGGGGATGCTGCCTCATTTCCTTCTTTGGTATGTGTTGAGAGAAACATGTTACCAGAGGAGGAAAGGTACAATGTTTCAAGGTATTTCTTCCACAAAATATTTCTTCTTTATCTTTATCTTGCTATAGATATTGCTAATGTCTTTGATTTAACAGATTCTATGGGGTTTTTTTTTTCAAGTAAGAATATTTCTCCTAGCATGAGTTGTAAAATGCAACTGCCTCTACATTAATTTAGCCATTATCTAGTCTCATTGTGAACTGCTTTAATCAGGTCGCTTTCCTGACTGATACCCACATATGATGAACACTAAGAGAACCGTGAGTTCTGACTGGGAAAATAAAAAAAGAAGTCCCAGGCACTGACAAAAACATAAGGTTTGCACTACACACCAAGATGAAGCATTGGATCACCAGTGGATAGTCTGAGCTTCATGACTTTTGGGTAGAGAGAACTAAACAAGAAAACACAGGGAGAAGAAAGAGAGGCATGGAGGAGAGAGGGGAAGATGCCAACACACCTGGACAACTATAGGTGTTTTCAAAAAAACATTGATTGAAATTTTACATTCATTATGTCACTTAACACTCACATGTCTTGCACATTATAGATTATTGTATCGATTTACAAATATAAAAAATGAGGCTCCAAACATCACATCTAATGAAGTTTCCAAAGACCGTAGGGATAATCTGTCAATAACTGAATATAGTGTACTAAATCCTTTACATTACTTTTTTCATATAATCCTCACAACAATTCTACAAAGTAGGTATTATTATCTGCATTTTAAAGTTGAGAAAACAGAGGCTTGAGGTACTGAAGATGTTATCCAGAGCTAGTAAGTGACAGAGCTGGGATTAGAACCCGCTTTTTCTGACTCCACAGCCATGGCTCCAGACCACTAAGCAGCACTTTCCCTCTAGCTCAAGGCCAAAGCATATCTGTTACCCTACAGCAGCCCAGGGCCTTAATGGTGAGAACCCTAGTTTGCTGCTTAGGGCCTTGAGTCAGTAGTTTTTCTGGGAGGGTCTTTGTGTAACCCAACCTCCCTTCCTTTCCTGATTAAGATTACCCAGCAGATTATCACTCTATCTTCCATTATGCATGTTTGCACACATTAGTCTTTGTCAGAAAATCAGGTGTGTTGGGTAATGGTTCCAGACCTTCCAACTCCTTGTTGTATGTTTCTAGATCAACAACAGAGTCACTAGGGACAGAGTCACATCTCTGATGTGAGGGGATTGGAGGCCTCCTGGCAACAAATTCCACAATCCTATCACAGCCTTCTGTCAACCTGATATCCTTTACATCTTTTCCTAAATATTGAAACTTGGCGTATGCTCAGCAGGTCCTGGAAGAAGTGGAGAATGGAGGCAGAGGATGTGTTGTTTAACCTCCATTGTTTCCTCTGCCACACACAAGGTAGTGTTGTTGGGAATAACATGCATCTATTGTGTTCTTGGTGCAGATACTCCATAATATTAGCTGTGAGGCTTGGATGGTGTTTGCTTATTTTGTTTTGCAAGCTGGATTACACATTGTCACTAAGAGTAAGGCATTTATCCATTCAGCATCTATTGAGAACCACATATGGGCCAGGATCTAGAAAAATAAACACAATTGTTGATATTGGCTCCAGTGGGATTTCACAGTGTAGAGGAGGAGCCACACAATTAATTATTATAGCTAGCTAACCTTTAATGAGCATCCAATATATGCCAGGCAGTGTTCCAAGCACCCTATGTGGATTATCTCCCTGAATCCTCATACCAGCCCTCTCAGGTCAGTACTAGCGATGCCCTCATTTGACAGAGGAAGAAACTGAGTCTCGGGGAGTTAATTAACTTGCCTAAAGTCACACAAATGGTAAGTAGTGGAGCTGGGATTGAACTTCAGTCTTTAGATTTCATTTTATTTATTTGAGACAGGGTCTCACTCTGTCACCCAGGCTGGAGTGCAGTGGTTTGATCATGGCGCACTGCAGCCTTGACCTCCCAGGCTCAAGCCATCCTCCCAGCTTGGCCTCCCAAAGTACTGGGATTACAGGCATGAGCCACTGTGCCCGGCCTGCCTTTAGGTTTTAGCTTATACACTTGCCTTCCTTGCTATACTATGTTCTTATAGCACTTGTATTAAGAGTTGTGTTAAAGGCATTGATGGGAAACTGTGGGACAAGAGATTAGGGAACACAAGACCTAGCTAGAGTTTTACAAATTTGGGAAAAAATGTACCTTGAACTTGAGGCCACTGATTTTTCTTCAGTGCAAAGTGGGGAAAGGAAAAGGGTCTTTCCCCCAGTATTAATTTATCAAATGCATTTTAGTTAAATACTACTTATTATTCATAACATTAATATTAGAATTGAGAAAAAAGTTATTTCATTAAAGGAAAAGGGATCTGTAGAAACGCATCTACTTTGGAATTATTTAGTCAGGTTATTTGTTTTAATTCAACACAAACTCTAAAACTATTAGGACAAGTATCATCAGGATAAATTCTGAATAAGTGCAGAGCTATGGAGCAAAGGATAAACTTAATGACTTCACACATAGTGTTTAACAAACCAGTGGAAGGTGTTTCTTTTAGGGCTCTCTTAATAGTGCTTCAGAGAAAAAAAAAAAACTTTAAAAGAAATGTGATTTTGCTTCATGTTAAAAAAAAGAACAAAGGAGGTGGTAAATGTTTTCTGAAAACACCAACCTGAGACTGTCAACACGGAAGTTTACTTTTGACATCCTGGGCCAGCCTCATCTGGCCTCTTTTGGTTATTTTCCCTAAGTAGAGTTTCCATTCCAACTCCATTTTCTTCCATTGTTATGTTGTTTAATTTAAAATCAAAGATGAAGTTCAGACTAGACAGTAAAAATAGTCTTGCTATTGGGATATATTTGTGGGGGTCGGAAGGGTAGAAGAGTGAGAACCAGCACTTCCTTGCACATTATCAGCCCCCTGTGATGATACTAAGGCCAGTCATCTATGTAACCTCTAGGAGATGGTGAATTTCTACAGAGCTTTCCCACTGGAAGAAGGGTGGCAAGGAAACCAAAATAAACCACCCAACTTTTAGGGTCATGCCCATGCATGCTTATGGCAAAGAGCATTGACAAGCTCTTTTCTCTACCACCACCTCTCATGCATCCCTACCAAACCTTAAGGCAGAGTTATGACCCATGCCTGACATTGAAAGCAATTCTCAGGTCCTGATGTACAATCTGTAGCCCCAAGGCCTAGACACTGGCTAGCTAGAGTCTTTAACCAAGCACCAGCAAGCAAGAGCTTTTAGACTTAATCCTCTCACTTTCCTTTCCCCACTTAACCTATTGGCCCTGTATATATCGCCACAAATCCCCAAGAGCAGGTTTTACTTACCTATCTTTTACCTACCTACCTCCCAGATAGTTGTTTGAAGATGACTCCCTGAGGATAACTGACTAGGAAAATTCTGTATCTTGAATCATCTCTAATAACTTCCTCATTTTTGTCTAGTTTTACACATGCTCCAGAATGCATCTGAGATCTTTTACCAAAGAGGTTTTTTATTTAGCCTTTAAATCATTTTATTTTTAATTTTATTTAATTCTCATTTAGTAAGAAGGCAGAGGACTGAATAACACCATTTCTTTACATCACTTTCAACTTCAAGATTTTATGATCATATAAGAATTTGTAGTAAAAGTATTAAGGCCAACAAAGAAAAGCAACTATGAAAGTGAAACAGAATTGGCTTGTGAAACACAAAGAAGGAATTTTTAAATACCTGAATATGTTAAAACTAGGACTTTGTGGAATACTTTTTTTTTTTTTTTTTTGAGACTGAGTCTCATTCTATCGCCCAGGCTGGAGTGCAGTAGCGCCATCTCGGCAAACTGCAACCTCTGCCTCCTGGGTTCAAGCAATTCTCTGTCTCCACCTCCTGAGTAGCTGGGACTACAGGCGCCTGCCACCACGCCTGTCTAATTTTTTTGTATTTTCAGTAGAGACGGGGTTTCACCATCTTGGCCAGGCTGGTCTTGAACTCCTGACCTGCCTGCCTCGGCCTCCCAAGGTGCTGGGATTACAGACATGAGCCACCGCGCCTGGCCTGTGGAATGCCTTTCTATGGTAGACATTGAGGGTAAACTCATTCTGTCTTTGAGGACAGAAGATTGAACTTATTTCTTGAGCTTCTTCCTCTCCTAAGACAATTTTATTTATACCTTAAATCAGTGTTTCTCAAAATGAACTCAGGGACAATGACTTCAGAACTACTTAGGGCATTCCTAACTATTATGATTCCTGAGCCCTACTTAGAATGTGAATTTTTATCAAGCCCCCTAGTCAATATTTATACACCCTAAAGTTTAAAAACAACCACTGAATTAAGAAAAGACCTCCAAACAGTATTGCCACATCTTGCTCACCAGGTAAAATTAGATATCTAGGTGGAAACCTTAGCTCCTAAATATTGGCCCCTTCTGTTAATACCAAATTACAATGCTAAAGAACTCTGAAAAAGGAAATTGATCCCTTGAGCACTTGATGTTTTAGTCTGCTGAAGTACTAAGTTGATTTTTTAAAATTCATCACAGAAGTTTTAAATGCTGAAGAGCCTCAGAGATTGTCCTGACCCAACCCTCTTGCTTTACAGAAGAGGAGACTAAGGATAGAAATATTGCAGCTTACCCAAGGTCAGTCAGCTTGGAGAGTCAACAGAGGGCTTAGAATGAACCTCTTGGCTCCTGTTCCAGTGCTCATTCTACTTCACAAGGTCAATTTCTATCTATATGGACCATTTATAAAATATATGCTTTTAACAACTGCTCTTTGATTTATTCATTTTAATGACTGCTTAAAATTTATTTTAAACCAAAAGATGAGCAAGTCACAAAATCAACCACTGGGTATTACAACTCACATTTTACCAAAATTTACCAAGGCCATCCTTTAGTTTCCCAGCTTGGGTAGTAACAACAACTATATTTTGGAAAGAATGATAGATAGATAGATAGATAGATAGATAGATAGATAGATAGATAGATAAGATGGATAGATAGATAGATGACACACATATACATATGGTGGCTGGGATAATCCTCAGAGACATTTTTAGCAGAGCTATTGAATTTTCTAGAAACAGGGTCCCCTGTCACTCTGTTCTGACATTTATATATTCATTAAACCAATATTTACTGAATGCCAACCATGTGGTAAGTATGATGCCATTCCAGTGTAGTTTCACTGTGTTCTAGGGTCAGCACTTAAAACAAAAATCATAGAGAATCAAAATTATCCTTACAAAAAAATCCATTAGAAAGACATGTAATCCCATTTTCCCTCGTTCTTTCATTGACCATCAGATGAAATTGTTAGTTTGCTTTGAGTGGCTATGTTGTTTGAAAATTATCTTATTAAACATTCAAATCACTCATGGTACACACAGATACTCCACGTGAGAGGCACATAAGAACTGAGACCATACTAGGAGACATTCTGGGTTCATATCTCCCATCTCAGGCTCATTCGTTAGGTAATATGGCAAACAGAATCACTCCCCCATTTAAATTATTATTTTCTCTTTCCTTTTCCCCCAAGGAGATAGAGTTGAATCCAAGCCATTTAAATTTAGGTATGTTGGGATCTCTCAACATTTGTCATTTTGCCCTCATTTTGCCGCTTAACCTAGATGCTATTTTCTTAAATTGGCCACCCTAGTTCATTTTGTGTTGCTGTAACAGAATACTCAAGACTGAATAATTTATAAAGACAAAAAGTTTGTTTAGCTCACAATTCTGAAGGCTGGGAAGTTCAATATTGGGTGGCCACTTCTGGTGGAGTCTGGTGAGGGCCTCATGCTGAATCAAAACATGACAAAGAAACGAAGGTGAATGAAGTATATGCAAAACAAAACAAACAAAAAAAAAACATGATAGGCAACCTCCCTTTACAATAACCAACTCTGGAGGAAACTAATCTAGTCCCAAGGGAACTCATCCATTCCCACAAGAACCAATCTAGTCTCACAATAAAGACATTAATTCGTATGAATGACCTAATCACTTCATAAAGGCTCCACTTTCTAACACCAAAACATTGGCAATTAAATTTCAACATGAATTTTGGTGGGACAAACATATCCAGACCATAGCATTGGGTTCCTTCACCTACTGAAGAGAAAAATGTAAGAGACCTTTTGTCAGGAAGGAGCGCCTCAGTTTCAAACTCTCTATTACTAGTATATTAAGTCTGTTATTCAAGTATGTGCCCAGTGTTTTTCCATCTTCCTGTCCTTGGCCCTCATGTGTCCTTGGCCTGAAGACTGCTCACCCTTTCCATAGTGCTCTCTAGGCTATCAGGCGGATGACGGAGTCCAGCTTCCTTTGACTCTCACAGTTCTTGCCTCCTATCATGGCCCCATTCTCCATGTAAGCCTACAATCTTGGAACAACTCCAAATCACATTTCTGGATCAGTAATAAAGTTTGGTTACACTTCTTTCTATCAAATTGCCTAAGCTCTTAGGACAGGGGGATAAATTGTATATAAATTGTTTCCAGAAACCATTCCATTCACAGACCATTTATCAACCCTATGGAAAAAGGGATACCATGTGGCACTGAATTACGGGGATTCTTGTTCATTAAAAGTAGGATTGACAGCAACAGCTTATTTCACAGGATCCTCTAACTGGAGGTCATTAAACCCAATGTCTTCTTGATTGGCCCTAAACTTAGAACTGAACGATGAAAGACTCCACATTTCCCATCTCTGATCTCATGAGCCACTCAGCCCAAATCCAGGGCTTTATTGTCAAGCATCATACTACATACAGCAGCATAACAAACCCCTTACCAGATCCAGCTTACCCAAGATATAGCATAACAGTATTGGCATTAGTAACTTCCAGGCTAGTAACCATAAGCCATGGAAAGCTAACATTTCTCCAGCTTTGGAAAATGTGCAAACATCATGCCACCAAGAGAAACAGTAATGGGACAGCTGGCAAGCACTGGAACTTGGGACTCAGTTGTATTTTATTTTGCTTTTATTTCCCAGTTCTCATTATTTTCTTGCCTCCCTCCTTTTCAATAAATGTATCTTATGAAAGACTTCAAGAAAAAAAGTTACTAGAAACATGTAAAGAAATAACTATTTAATACACAAGTGGTAATTAAAATGTTAGCACGTCCTGAGGGCAGAAAATGGATACCTCTGTTAGGAATTTCAAAGCTAATTAAATACAGCAATATAAACACACCATTAAATTGTATTGTAACCAACAAACAGATATGTGAGTTATTGAGCTATACATAAACTTTGGGACCTGACTGCTGAAAAGGGCAAAAAGCAAACCAAAGAAAAAGGCCCAAATTAATTGTACAAGTATAGGATCCAGGAGAGTAAAAGGCTTAAAACTGGAACAGCTGACGTATTGAAGTATAGATTCTCAAAAAGACGAATCCCAAGTGGAGAAAGGGAACAGAAGAGAATCAACATAGAAAAGTTCAGAGGTTGGTCTGGTAAATGTATACCTTGTGGTTTAGGTCTCAGCATTGATGCCAACCAGATTCTGAAGACAGAACATGCTTCTAGAAGCACAGCTGTGGAAACAAAATATGATTCTGTTTTGAATATAATATACAGCAGTGTCTGTATCCTTCTTAAAAGTCTACTGTGGGCTTCAATAATGGAGTATTGAAGACCAGATTTACCCTCCCACCTTAAATAACTTTAAATAATAAACTAAACATATGAAAACACAGTTTTCAGACATTGGACAACAGAGAGTGCAGGACAGTGATCCCTGAGGGAAGGGAAACAAACCGGGTGAGTTCCACCTTGATTTCACCCTTTTATTGCCTGGAGAGACTTCCAAAGCTACACCAAATGGAGGAAGCCCAAACAGAACCTGGGTTTCTCCCTGAGTTGAGGAGGTAGAGTCGAACGTTCAGAGAGGGAGACCACGATGGCTAGAATTCACAGCACACAGGACCAGAGAGGAAAGAGCTGCACAGACAGTAAGTACCCTGGAGGTCTCCGTGGGTTCCTCTGTGTTTTCCGCTGAGCACTGACCAGCATGCTTGTGTAGGAAACTACTCAGGGCAGATAAAGACCACTGAGAAGGAGCAATCCACAGTGCCCACACAGCTCTGGAAAGAATTCATGCTTCCCTCCATCAGAGTGGAAAAGCTCACAATACACAGGGCATCAGGTAGAGTACTCATCCACCTAGTGCCTCAGTAGTGGGGAAAAATGTTCCCTAAATTAGAAGTTACTCTGGGCCCAGATGAAAAAGTTTAAAAACACGCCTACAGGATCACACTGTCTGTGAGTAACTTAAATGTGTCTAGAACAAAGCTCAAGAATATTTAAAATACAAAAATATCCAGTACCCAAGAAGATAAAATTCACAGTAGATGGCATCCAGTAAAAAATTACCAAACATGCAAAAAGCATAATGAGAGAAAAGCCAATTAATAGAAACTGACTCAGAGATGATACAGATGGTAAGACAAATGGACAAAGACATTACAACAACTACTCTAACTATATTGCATATGTGCAAGAAGGCAGTGCAGGGCTTCTCAACCCTGGCACTACTGACATTTCGGACCAGATAGTTATTTGTTGTGGAGGCTGTCCTGTGCATTACAGGATGCTCAGGAACACCCCTGACCTCTACCCATGAGATTCCAGTAGCATCCCAGCCCTGCTGAGACAACCAAAAATATCTTCAACATTGCCAAATGTCTGCTGTGGGGCAAAATCACCTCCAATTGAGAACCACTAAGGTAGAGGAAAACATGAACAAGTTAAGAGATATGGATAATACAAAATAAACCCAATTCGAATTTCTATAAATGAAAAATACAGTGTCTGAGGTTACAAAAAATACACTGCACAAATGAACAGGTTAGACACGGCAGAAGAAAACATTAGTGAACCTGAATATATAGAAATATAAACTTTCCAAAATAAAACAGTCTACCATGTAGTATAGTTACTTATTGTAGTAAGTGTTCAAAGAATGGAGTTAGGAATATTAGCTACAGGGCTATCATAGCAACCCAAGCTAAAGAAAGCAGAAGGTAGGGTGAGATTAACAGTAGTGATGGCAGTACATTAATACAACTACTGCTATTATATCAGTAAAAGGACTAGCTAATATTGAGTTTTTGTGCCATACATTTCACCAAGCATTTAAAATGCATTTCTCATCAAATATTCACAACAATCCTGCAATGTAAATGTTATCACCCCCTTTTAAAGATTAGAAAGTGGAATTTCAGACAGTTTAAATAAAAAATAAAGATCACAAGGTCACATAGCTAATAGTAGCAAAGGAAGAATTTGAACCCAAATCTGTTCTACTCTAGAACCTGTGCTCCTAACTACGGGGTTTCCTGATACAAATTGTTTGGTTGAAAGGAAATAATTTGAGAGATATTTTGAAGATGAATTAAAGTGGAATTTGATGACTGACTTGAATGTGGAGGAAAGATAATACTGCACATGGAAAGTATATTGTACACAAAATAGCAAAAGGGTCAAAAATATAAATAAAGTTGCACACATGTACAGCCCATAGAACTTTAGTGTTGAAAGGAATATAAAAGATAATTTCTTCCAGACACATTTGTGCACATATGCGCATGCATGCGCACACACACACACTTTTAAACAGTAAAATAAACACAGGTCTAGAGAATTTGCTTTCCTTCCTTACATTTGTTGAGTGCTTTAAATGACTTGTTTAGTACCCCCCACTAGTTAGAGATCATGCCAAGACTAAAGCTCTAATTGTTGTGCCCTTGCTACTTCAATACCCTGCTTCTCCTGAATAAATATGTAAATGTTCCTACCCCATGCCTAGCACATGGCAGGTTCTTAATAAATATTAGATGTTTCTATTGACAACCAATTAAGCTATTCAAAACGACTTATGCATATAGACACAGCATTATTGCATAGGCCAGACCCACTCTAAAATTGGCTCAGCCTTTTCTTCATGGAATAATCTTATTTACTATCAAATGATGTAGCCAAGTCACAGTGACTAGGGGAAAGAGCAGATGTTCTTAGGATTATTTTCTCTCATATAGTATGTTCTTGAAACCCTCTCATGATACAGTGACTAACACCCAAGCAGAATGGGAATAGAATAAACATTTTCACATAAACATTGCCCATGTTTACAATCTTTTTCACAGGAGGGATGAGCTGATGAAGCCAGCCAGTCTGAATGTACAATTACATGAGCATGACAGAAGCCAGGTAAGCCATTTTCCAAAGGGCTCTGTAACATTCAGACTCCGTGTCAGCCGCACACCAAAAGGCTGGCCTTAATCGCTTTATCCCCACATTCTGCTCACGCAATTGGTGTGCCCAGTTAGAGATGGCTTTCTCTGCATGAGATTGCTGTCCTGAGCAACATGTGACACAGTTTGTCTTTAAAGAGCCTCTCCATTGCCCTTGGCACCAACATTTCCTAATGTTTATGTTTTTAAGATGAGAGTGTTGGTGATAAAGCTCTCAGTCACACGGAGGTGCCTTTTTGCTCTGGTGGTTCACAAGATCTTCAGTTTTATTTAATGGCTTAACTGCTTCATAATTGCTCATATTCAGCTGCTCCTAAGCCTGAATGATCTCAGCTTTTAATATGCCTTGTCTAATTTTTAGGTACATCAATCTATACAAGTAGCTCATCACTACTCTGAAATGCTAATGGTTGTCACATATTTCAATCGCCTCTATAAGACCTTGTTTCTGTGTTCATAAATCTTGTTAACATTTTAGGACCTTTATTTTCTTATCTAACGATTTAAAGATATATACACACACATATATAAAAGGCCTAATCTTCTTCTCCAAGGTTGGAATTCTTTAAAAATATAAAATTAAAAGGATAAGAAACCTATTTTTTCACTAATGCTACATAAAACAATTTGTAATTATTTGTAGCATTTTATATCCTTACCTAATTTTTATGATTATTTTTATGTTTTTCTCACCTCTCCTTTTTTATAAACACCTTGGGATAAGCAAGGAGAATAACTAAGGGGTTTGGGGAGGTTGTCTAGAGATTGGGCGGCCAGAGGCCACCCTGATAGATGGGATCTGAGCTGGGACCTGAAAACTGAGAAAGATCAGCAGCAGTGAAAACTGGTTCAATATTCTCACATCCTCTAGTGTAACAGCAAGCTAGTCAGCCAGCCACTCAATGACAGTGACCTATTTCATCAAAATGCTAATTTCTTTTTTTTAAGACAGGGTCTCACCGTGTCTCTCAGGCTGGAGTGCAGTGGCTAGACCTCAGCTCACCGCAACTTCCGCCTCCTGGACTCAGTCTATCCTCCCAAGTAGCTGGGATTATAGGCACATGCCACCAAGCCCAGATAATTTTTGCTTTTTTCTTTTTTTTTTGATAGAGACAGGGTTTCACCATGTTGCCCAGGCTGGTCTTGAACTCCTAAGCTCAGATGATCTGCCCACCTCAGCCTCCCAAAGTGCTGAGGTTACAGGTGTGAGCCACCAGCCCCAGGCAAAATACTAATTTCTACAGTGAGGTTAAGTGATGACATCATCATAAGGGGATGGAAAAAAAATAAGAAAAAGTTTCCAGAGGTACCCTATAACAGGGCAAACTAGACACCATGTCCAAGTTGAGATTCACAAAGATCCTCTGAGTTGATGATACCATATCTCTATATTGATATGATGATAAGTATGTGCTGATATATTAGTCTCTACAACTACACTGAGAACTCCTCCAAGGCAGAAACCATTTCTCAAATGTTACCTCTATATCATTGTTATTGTTCATTGCCTATCACTTCCACTAAAATATAAGCTCTAAGAGTGCAGAGACCCTGTTGTGCTAGTTCATAACTGTATACTCAGCCCTCGAATAAAGGACATAATAGGCACTCAGTGTGCTAAATAAATAAATGATACCAATCTGGTATCAATGTGAACATAAACTGTTCATCAATAAGACTGTATGGCCCCTGGGTCAAAAGAGAAGACTTTGTAACTAACTTAAATGGTGTTTATTTTTAAAACCAATATAGTAACCTTAAAATAAATGACTCTTACAATAGTCCTATATTCTTTAGGCTGCAAGTGCTGGATGTGGCAGACCTGACCAGCATACTATGCCTGCCCTCTTCCAATGCCATGTA
The DNA here is from genome assembly GCF_000001405.40 of Homo sapiens. Lineage (NCBI taxonomy): Eukaryota > Metazoa > Chordata > Mammalia > Primates > Hominidae > Homo > Homo sapiens. Next base: position 147,681,904 of record NC_000002.12, read on the forward strand.
CCCCGGAGACCCAGGCCCAGGGAGAAAGCAAAAAAAAAAAAATGGTCACAGGAATCTTCTAGCAAGAGCAGGTGCTCATACAGGGCACTTTCAGAGCACTACTATTGGGTTTAGGAAGGCTGACCATCTGGCTCCCAGCTCCCAGCCCTCCCCCTCCTTACACCCTATTCTAAGCAGAAAATGTATAGGCTTTCTCTCTCTTTTCAGGAGCCTAATAGCATATAGCACCACAGATTCAATTCCTACATGTAAATATCCATTTGCCTTAAATCCAGTGTCATCACCTTCAAGGGCATAATCATTTACTGGACTAAGTGTTTTTAGTTGTATCTACCAGAAATCATCCTTACCCAAACCCAAACACTATAAGATCACTTACAGATCATAGTATTCCCCATGAACTGGAAAATATGATACTTAACAGAATTCTCAACTACATTGACTGGACCTTCCATGAATATTCCAAGAAAAGAACTGTTCAATCTTACTCTCTAAGTACTTATTACCCTTAATAACACCTGTTATGACTAAGGCCTTTAGCAAAAAGAACGTTAGCTTAAAATTATATGTTGTTAGTTATAATTCACCTGCTGGGGAAAATGTTGCCTAAGTAATAAATACATTTTATTCATACAAAACTAGGTCAGAATTTAAAGACATTCCCTCTCCAGCTACCTTTCTCCTCTCTCCTTAATTTGTGTTACTTTCCAAAAGCTGCAAGTGTTCCCAGGAATGATTACAGCAGCTGGGGCAGGGTTTGTCTTACAAGGCCATCCCTAGGAAAAATACCTGGATTGGTCAATTGGCCTCCTGTGTTCTGGCCTCCCTTTTCTGCAACACGTTACCTTTATCATCCCCCCAACATCCACTTTCATGAATGCACTCACACTAAAACATCAGAGGCATCGGAGACTTAGTAAGTCACCCCACGCAGGGGTATTTGTGTTTCAATAGAAGGTGTAAGAAAGAAAGGGCAATATTTAAAATGAAATTAATTCCTAATAGTGGAATTTAAAAAATGATGAAAGATCTACAACTGTCCTTCCCATCGACCAATAAAAGTCAACTATGTGCAGATCTCAGAAGGCATTCATTGTGTCATTCATTGATTCAGTCAGTCACCAAATATCAATTGAGGGTTTATTATACGCCAGTCACTGAACCGGGGCTAAAGATGTATTATATGGTGGGCCTAGACCTTGACCCCACAGAACTTATAATACACAATTCTCTTGATCTTGGTTCAAAAAAAAAAAAAAACTGAACACTGATTTCACATTTAGGCCAATGTATTTCAAATACTCTTCACTTATTAAAGGCCTCCAAATTCACAAAACTTTTAGTACTAATTTTAGCTAAAAAGCATTGCTTAGCTCTGATTTCTGTTTTCTTTCATTTATCTTCAGCCTCTGTGGAAGAAAAGATAATCTGCCACAAGTGTTCCAAAGCTTTTCTCGGAAAGTCTTCAGGGTCCACTTCAAACTTACAAACTAGAGAGACCCCTTAAAGAGTTTCTGTGTAAAATGATTCTCAAAGTAGAGGTAGCAGCTTTCTTCAAACAGAAAAGCTGCTCAGCACTTTAGGAAGCAAGAACCCTCTTTTCCAGAAGCCCATCACAGAGAAATAAGTAGCAGATCAGCGGCCCCAGAGCTTGAGAGAATTCCGGCAGTAGGAAAAGTCCACAGGAGGCCAACAGTAACAATACACACCAGGACAATTGTAACAGGCATTTACATCCAGCCTGTGTTGTGATTGTCAGTGCCTATGACTTACTCCTAAATATACCCCCTTGTAATCACTTTTAAAAAAAAATTTCATATAGGTTCTTTCTGGGTATTTTTTCCTTTTTTTTTTATACAATGATCACATTTAGGTTCTTTCTGGTTTTACTCAACTCTCTATTTTCCTATTTTGTTTAGGCTTGTCAATTTAAACATGGATAGTGTGTCTTTATTCCCTCCTGCAGAACCTGGAACAAAAGACGATTTTGCAACTGAAGCCCAAAGTTTGCCATCAAAATATGAGGAGATTTATTTTAAAAAACAGTAACAGGCAGAAGACTCATTCCTACATGATCTGGAGGTTCCAGGTGAAATTTTCAGTGGCTACACAGGAGCACCGTGGATGACATCCATGCCAAAAGCGTCCTGAACTAAATAAAGTTGTAGTCATAGTGAAGCAAAAGGATGCTATGGTAGAACAAACAACATGGGTAAATGTGGGCATGGCTAACTTAAATTAGTACGGTGAATAGAAACTTAACTACTTCTGGAGACAATTTTCTAGAACTTCTCTATTAGACTTTGAGGACTAGGACTTGGAGATACTTTTGAAAAGGATTTGATCTATATACAGAGAAAAGAAGCTATGTAAAGGAAAAGGAAATACTGAACTGGTCCTATATGAAGCAGGGCAAAATCTTCTCCAGTGATTTTTTGCATGTAGAGCCATGCTTCGGTTTCTTTAAAATGATTAAGCGAATAACTGGAGCACCCAAACAATATTACAGGTCTTTAGGAGGCTATAAATCGGTAATTATTAGGGCATTTGGGAGATAAGTTTAAACAGGTATACAAATCTTAATGATGGCTAAATAAATAAATAAATGTTCCAAACAAAAACAAAAAACCTGCAGATAATAATGATCAAGATTTTATATTTCTCCTTTGGATTTAAGCCAAAGACATCTACATCTAAATTTGACCTACAACTTTGGCCTTCTCATATCTGTTTTTAGTGGGCATCATCCATCTCCTGTCTTAAGCTTTTATGATTAAAGCATAAAATCCTCTCTTGCTATTATCCCCAACTTCTTTCTTGCAAGGAGACAGACAAGACATATTCAATAGCTGAAAGAAATTCCTTATTGCCGCAGCCCCTGCATACACACACATTTTCTTTCCACACAACCACTCTTCCCAGCCATGCAGAGGGGCTGGCACTTGGGAATGGTACCCTCACACTGTCCTGACTACACACGTCCTCAGGAACCACAGTCTGAAGAAGGGGTCTAATTTTTCAAATTAGAGCTACGGATTCATAATCCTTGCTCATGAATTTTTCCCATCTCTGTGATTCAGGACATTCTACTCTGTCCCCTCTATCAAGCCAAATTCTACCTGCACTTCAAGGTTTCATTCAAGCTCCACCTCATCCACACACATTCCCTGATCCATCTAAACACTTTCTCCACTGAGTCACGTGACCCCTACACTAAGGACAACACTATAGAATTTGGGGCTATCCCAACTGGGATAAACACTCCTCAGCCACTGACTGTGCGTGGTTGAATAATGTCCACCCCAAGATTCATATCCAGCTGGAACTCAGAATGTGACCTTACTTGGAAATAGGTTGGTCAGACTTCCAGAGGTCCCACGGCTCTGTTTTGCAGATACAGTTAACATGGTGTGTCTGGAATTGGTGGGTTCTTGGTCTCACTGACTTCAAGAATGAAGCTGCGGACCCTCGCAGTGAGTGTTACAGTTCTTAAAGGTGGTGTGTCCAGAGTTTGTTCCTTCTGATGTTCGGACGTGTTCGGAGTTTCTTCCTTCTGGTGGGCTCGTGGTCTCGCTGGCCTCAGGAGTGAAGCTGCAGACCTTCGCGGTGAATGTTACAGCTCATAAAGGCAGTGTGGACCCAAAGAGTGAGCAGCAGCAAGATTTATCGCAAAGAGTGAAAGAACAAAGCTTCCACACTATGGAAGGAGACCTCAGCAGGTTGCCGCTGCTGGCTGGAACAGCCTGCTTTTATTCTCTTATCTGACCCCACCCACATCCTGCTGATGGGTCCATTTTACAGAGAGCTGATTGGTCCATTTTACAGAGAGCTGATTGGTCCTTTTGGACAGGGTGCTGATTGGTGCATTTACAAACCTTTAGCTAGACACAGAGTGCTGATTGGTGCATTTACAATCCCTGAGCTAGACACAGAGTGCTGACTGATGCATTTACAATCCTCCAGCTAGACATAAAAGTTCTCCAAGTCCCCACCAGATTAGCTAGACACAGAGCACTGATTGGTGCGTTTACAAACCTTGAGCTAGACACAGGGTGCTGACTGTTGCATTTATAATCCTTCAGCTAGACACAAAAGTTCTCTAAGTCTCCACTAGATTAGCTAGACACAAAGCACTGATTGGTGAGTTTACAAACCTTTAGCTAGACACAGAGTGCTGATTGGTGCATCCACAAACCCTGAGCTAGACACAGAGTGCTGATTGGTGTATATACAATCCTCCAGCTAGACATAAAAGTTCTCCAAGTCCCCACCAGACTCAGGAGCCCAGCTGGCTTTGCCTAGTGGATCCCACGCCATGGCTGCGGGTGGAGATGCCCAACAATCCTTTGCCATGTGCCTGCACTCCTCAGCCCTTGGGCAGTCTATAGGACCAGGCGCTGCAGAGCAGAGAGCAGCACCCTTCCAGGAGGCTCAGGCAGTGCGGGAGCCCACTGCGGCGGGCATGGCAGGCTGCAGGTCCCGAGCCCTGCCCTGTAGGGAGGCAGCTGAGGTCCAGTGAGAATTCCAGCGCGGCATGGGCAGGCCAGCAGTGCTGGGGGACCCGGCACTCCCTCCGCAGCTGCTGGCCCAGGTGCTAAGCCCCTCACTGCCCAGGGCCCGCGGCACCGGCCGCTCCCAGTGCAGGGCCTGCCAAGCCCATGCCCACCCAGAATTCGCACTGGCCTGCGAGCGCCACGTGCAGCCCCGGTTCCGCCCACGCCTCTCCCTCCACACCACCCCACAGAGGGAGCCGGCTCCAGCCTCTGCCAGCCCAGAGAGGGGCTCCCACAGTGCAGCGGTGGGCTGAAGGGCTCCTCAAGCGTGGCCAGAGCAGACGCCGAGGCTGAGGACACACTGAGAGCGAGCAAGGGCCACCAGCACATTGTCACCTCTCAATGGGATCACACTGGCTTAGGATGGGCCCTATTCCCATGACTGCTATCCTCATAAGAGAACAGACACAGATACGCAGGGGGAAGACAGCCATGAGAAGACAGAGACAGCTATGCTGCCCCAAGCCAAGGGACATGAAGGAGTGCCAGCAACCATCAGAAGCCAGGAAAGGCAAGAAAGTTTTCTTCCCTAGAGCCTTTGGAGAGAGCATGGCTCTGCTCACACCTTGATTTCGGACTTATAGCCTCCAGGACTTGAGAGATTTCTGTTGTTTTAAGCCATGATGTTTGTGGTGATCGGTTTCAGCAGCTCTAGGAAAGTGTTATAATAGTTCATGTCTTACATTTGTATTTCTTCAGATTTCACAGAGCTGTGAGCTCATGACTAGTAATCAATAATTGATACTTCTTGACTAACAGGAAAATGGTCATGAGAGTCTGGGCAGCTGGCCTGTGCTGCCAAAAATGAGAGCTAGTCTTTCAATAGACCATTTTCAAGACCCTGTGAAGCACAAGAACCCTGTTAGTGATTTTCTAGTGCCATTCAAGTTCAAGAGGTGAGCAAGAGAAGTTTTATGGATTTGTTATTTGTTGTTTGTTATTTGTAACAAAATATATTTGTTACATTAATATATTTTCTATTCTAAAGCATCTTCTCTCAACTATGTGTCATCTTCTCTCACCTACATATTATTTATTTACTCCTCTTTTGAATGAGAGCTGATAGAATGGGATTATAAGCAGGGGCAAAATTTTGCCTTAAGAATCGTTTTGCTCTGAGTCTTTGATATGCTAATTTGATCATTAACTTCAGTGACCATATATAGCTTTAAAATTTTCCATATTTATTTTATCATGGATTACTTTGAGTTGCATGGATTTTGAATTGCATATTTTGAGAAGCTGACCTAATTAATTATTCTTGCCTGTTTTAAAATATTTTTTTAATTGACACACAAAAATTGTACATATTTACAGGGTATGTAGTGATGTTTTAATACACATAATGTGTAGTGATTAGATCAGGATAATCAGCATTCCATCATCAGAAACATTTATCATTTCTTTGTGTTGGGAACATTCAACATCCTCCTTCTAGCTATTTGAAACTATGTAATATATTATTGTTAACTATAGTCATCCGACAGTGCTATAGAACAATAGAACCTCTTACTTCTATCTTGCCATGAGAGTATTTGGACTGAAAGTCATGGAGAAAATAATTCATAGTGTCTTAAACCATAAGAAAACTATTTTCTCCTATAAGAACTTTATTAGGGGTCCCTAGGGTGGTTAATTCAGCCAGTCAGTGATGTCATCAAGCCTTACAGAATTTGTCTCTCTTTGTCTTTCTCAGTATGTTGTGTGCCTCTCCTCATGATTGCAATAGCATCAGCCATCACAACCATCTGCCCCAATGTCTACCAGACAAATATTCTTTTTCCCTGACATGTTTCTTTAGTTGGAGAGGCAACCCTTTTCCAAAAACCTCCTGTCCAATTCCCCTTACACCTCATTGGCCAAAATTATGTCACACTTCCATGTTTAACCCAACCATTGGCAAGAGGAATTGGACCACCATGATTGGCTTAGATCATTTACAAATCATGATTTATTCTTTAGAACTGGGAAGGTAGCCTCCCAGCATGAATGAGTCACACTCCCATGATAGTGTGGAAGAGAAAATGCAATAAAATTGTGGTTGGTTCGTGTATCAGACACTGCTGGCTGGCCCCTCAGCAATCATCCACTCCTTCTTTCATACCAATAGAACCATGATTTTGTGCAGAATAGCAATGTGCTCAGCCCCCACATGTTTGAACCATGTTTAGCTAAGCAATTTCTAGCAACCTCATTCATTTTTCCCAGATATTTGCTTTGCTAGACTTTTGTATTGTGGGTGTATTGAACTGTGACTAGAACACAGTTCCAGTCAATCAGATATGAGTGATAGTCTTCTGGGTCATCTAAATAATATATCTCTGTATCTGTATCTAACTATATCTGCCTATCAGTCTATCTACACACACAGAAAGAGACACAGAGACAGAGAGATGCAGAGGGAGAGAGAGAGAGAGAATTAGCTTAATTAGCTTAAGCCACTTTCTCTCTCACCTACCCCCACCTCTACTCTCTTCTTTATGCCTTTGAATATGGCCATATTGCCAAGAGCTATGACAGCCACCCTGTAGTCATGAAGTAACCAGCACAAGAGCCAATTGCCAGCACACTGAGAACGACTGAGTGTTAGACAAAAAGAGCTTGGTTCATGGATGTCATCACTGAGCCACAGAATACTCTTTATATAACACCTATTCCCATCAGACAGAACATCTAGAGAATACAGAAAGCATGACTCTGGAACCCCAAATTCTAGAGTGGAGACACTGCCACAGCTGAATAATCCCCTGTCTCCCATCCCATCAAGAAAAAAGGAAAGAAAGAAAAATATTGATTGGAGGAAAGTATGTTAAAGATAGTCAGAAAAGCACTCACAAGGCAAGTTTGCCTGGAGTTTTCACTCATCCTACACCATTTGGAGATGCATGAGGGAGGTGCTCAGAGGTGCCTCTGTACTCCTTGTGTTGTGGGAAAGGACACACACCGTGCTTCTGTGCTGCAAAGCAGTATGTTGGTGACTCAGGGAAATCAGGGATGGGGAGAGGAGGCAAGTATTTCCCTGCAGGGATTCCCATGATAATCATTTTAACCAGATTTTGACTGCACAAAACCATGAGGTAGAAAGACATGACCCACCCAGGATTACTGGCACTGGTTCTGAACCCCAGGATGGTCCTGGCAATAAAATACTCTCTTGAGTACCTCCCTACACTCCTCCCCCAAATTCCCTCACAGTCTCCTACCAATTTGTGACCACAATTTTCTAAAGTGCAGGCAAAACACTGGACTTTGCAAGTATGCTTAGAAAAAAGGAAGTGAAATCAGTAATGAAATAAGCATCAGTAATGAAATAAGATGAGCTGGCAAAGCAAGCACACACTGGAGGCTGAACCACTGACAAAGAGGAACTTGACAAGGGTGTGGAATCAGCCTGCTCACTTTCCTCAAATTATTATCACGCCTTCATTCTTACCAATAGTACAAGAACCATATCATATGCCTTCCTCATGCATCTTCATCATGTATCATGTAAGTTTAAAACACTCTCTTTCATTTATTTGTGAATTATATCAGTCTAAGAAATATACGTATGATTCATGGCTTCTGAAATTTTAAAATCTGAGTTCAGGTCAAATGAAAGAGGACAAAGAGGAAGACTCTGGAATGAAGGATGAGGAAAAGAAAAAGAAGTACACTTTTTAACTAGAGGTCTCCATACAGGTTTCCTCATTTTACACCCTTCTCTGTTCAGGCAAAGAACAGAGAAATTAGTTTTGTGCCAGGATAGGAATCTGTATTTCTACATTTTTTCTCCATTGCTTTTCTCTAAGGACTCATATTTTAATTAAATACAAATTTGTCAGACTGAAGGGTGGGAGAATTTTAATCATAAATTATTTTCCTGGTAGCACATTAAGAACACACCATGAAAGATATACATGCCTTGAAATACATAAAAGTATTGCCTTTCCTACCTTCTAGCTCTTTGACTGGTATCATCGGTGATATTGATTAGGTTCATAATAGATGATGGACTAAAAAATGCTTTAAAAGGCTTTGTAAGCAGGATTGTGTCATCCATCATTGGGCTTTCCAACCAAGAGATTATCAGGACTGACAAATATTCAGCCAAAAATGCTATCCAAAATCACCGAAGGTCTTATGAGTCCAGATCAATTCCCCCGCATCCTTAAGGAGTGGTAGAAGCAGAGGGAGTTGGGGAGGAAGGTCCCACAGATGCTCTAAGGCTTCAGGAAATTCCTCTGGCTCTGCCTTCCAGAGCTCCCTTCCCAGCCTTCTGGTTCTTGCTGGTTTGCATCTTGCATCCTCTCATGGCCATGTCATTGATTTCCATCTCTACAGTTCCCACAGATGGAAACTTCAGTTTGGACTGAACAGTGGACTCTCATCTGGTCAGACTTCCGGAGGTCCCATGGCTCTGTTTTTTCACAGTCAGTGAGCCAATCTCACCTACTCCATGTCCCCCAACTCCCCAAGTCCTGCTAGCTCAGGTCAAACCCTTTGAACTCAGTTGGGGATCAAACATGAGCAAAAATGAGTTTTGTCAGCTTTGCTTTGAAAGGTGAGCAAAGGGAAACAAATGGAGAATGAGCATAGATTTGGCTTGAATATATGGCCAAAAAACCTAATTCGGAAAATGTCTATGTCATACCTGGAAATAGCACTGTACCAGGAGTTAGAAGACCTCTAAATAGCTGTATGACCCTGATTAAAATAGCTCAGTTTTCTAAAGTCTATGGTCAAAAGATTTGCACTACTTAATCCATGTGGTTCCTTCCAGATCTAAGATTCCATGGTTTGATGAAGGGAATGGATCAGAAAAGTTGAGTATATAAACTTTCTAGTAACAAATGTTCCTTTAAAAGCACAAGAGGACTGGGGGAGTCTAGAAGGGGACATCAAGCAAGCAAAAATTAAGATAGCCAAATTATCCTCCGTTCCCTCATCCCTCTCCTAGAGAAAACAACAGAGATGTGGTTCTAGGAATGCTCACTAACAACCCAGGAGAAACCAAAGGCATTCATTTACAGGATCACCAAAACCTAGCTACTTCCCCAGATCAGTGAATGTTAAATCATGATTAGGAAGGTAGATGTGTGGTATTGTAATCTGATTCTTTTCAAGTTCCAGAGGTGGTTAATTTTATGTGTCATCTTGACTGGGATAAGGGATACCCAGATAGGTATTTATTATTTACCCAGATAGGCATGGTAAAATATTTCTAGATGTGTCTTTGAGGGTGTTTGCAGAAGAGATTAGCATTTGAATCAGTAGCCTGAGTAAAGAAAATGACCCTTACTCAATATGGGCGAGCATCATCCAGTTCACTGAGGGCCCAAATAGAACAACAAGAAGAAAAAAAAAGAAAAAAAAACAAGAAGGGTGAATTCACTCTGTTTCAGCTGGGACATCCATTGTCTCCTGCCCTTGCACACTAGCACTCCTGGTTCCCGGGCCTTCAAGCTCAGACTGAATTACACCACCTGCTTTCGCGATTCTCCAGCCTGCAGACAGCAGATCATAGGACTTCTTGACTTCCATAACTGCTTGTGCTAATTCCTATAATAAATCCCCTCATATAAATACAGTTGACCCTTGAACATAACAGGTTTGAACTGTGCAAATCCTCTTACATGAAGATTTTCTTCCCCTTCTGCCACCCCTGAGGCAGCAAGACCACACCCTACCCTTCCTCAGCCTACTCAATGTGAAGACAACAAGGATGAAGACCTTTATAATGATCCAATTCCATTTAGTAATAGTAAATGCATTTCCTCTTTTTTTATGATTCTTTAACATTTTGCTTCCTCTGGCTTATTTTAAGAATACAGTATCTAATACATATAACATACAAAATACATGTTAATCAACTGTTTGTTGTTGGTAAGGCTTCCAGTCAACAGTAGGTTATCAGTAGCTAAGTTTTGAGGCATCAAAAGTTACATGTGGATGCTCAGGGGTTGGCACCCCCAACTCCAGCATCGTTCAAGGGTCAACTGTATGTGAATGTGTACATACACACACACACACATACACACACAAACACACACAATGTCCTATTAGCACTTTTGTTCTAGAGAACCCTACCTCATACAGAATTTATTACAGAAAAATTTTCATCCAATTTGGAATAAGTCTGAATATTAACTTTTAAAGGGTCCAAACTTAAAGTATATACAATGAAATAAACAAAACCCCCTGAGTTATATTCAAATATAGTACAGAATATATATTTTGTCACAATTTAATCATGTATTCAATAGAATAAAGAAGCACAGCAAACATACAAATGCTGAGATTTAGCCTGCTAAAGTAAGGAAGACATTCAGAAAGTAAGACTTACCCCCAACAAACCCTGGCCTCCACTTCCCCTGCTTACACATCCAATTTCTGCTGCTCTTCAATCAGTTTTCATTGCCCAAAAACCTTATTCTTAGCTGTTTATCAACCAGGCTTTCTATAGATAATGCCTTTTATCTAATAGTGCTGTTTATCAACCAGGCTCTCTATAGATAATGCCTTTTATCTAATAGTGGTTTAAGGTGTTTCTTTTCCCAGGTGTATTTCCATATATAAGTGGAGGCTTTAAACAATCAGCATCAGGTTTAATGAACTAATTAGATGAGGGAGGTAGAAAGGTAGAAACTAGGAAAGGTTTTTGGGGTTTTTTGTTTGTTTGTTTGTTTTTCGGAAAATTCTCAATTGGCCAGCTCCCTTTGTCAAAGTCCAAGGGAAAGAGAGTTGCAAACAGATATCAAGGTATTTAAACCAAAAACTGTCACCTGCTGAACTTTTATATTTCTTTGACTTGAAAGTAACAAAAATATTCGACTTTGCTGGCTCATGATATTCAAGAAAGGAAAGAAGAGTACGACATGGGAAGAGCAGGTACATTGTTGAACTTCTGAAATTCCTAGAATCAGGACTCAAACACTCACAAATACACTCCGTTCTTTGTTCCTGCCTCTCGGCCTGTCAGCTTCATTCTCTCCCAGCAGATTGGCAATCTTTAAGTGAGAAGATACATGGCCCTTGACAGTTGCTAATTAAGTCCGTGAGACATCCTGCAGACTTAACCTCTAGAAAGGGATTGCACTCAATCTCTTTCTAGTTCCCTGTCCACCAAAGGAAAGGACTCATTAGCCAAGCTTGAATCGGCCATTGGACAAATCACCTGGGGCCAGAGGAATAGCCACCAGGATTGGGCATTTTCAGGGTGGACTTGTCAGGTGGGAACTTGAAATAGAGACATGAAAGGTACTCAAGTGTTTGTTCCTATGTTAACTATGAGAAGAGATAAGGGAAGAGGGAGTTCTTAGCAAAAGGATCCTGGCAGTTAATCCTAGATGCCAGATACCCTCTGCATCTGGACACAGCACAGTGCTGCTTTACCCTCAATGTCTCACATGGGCAGAAAATCCTCACTCCTTCAATACGGAACACTACAATGGCTTCAGCTCATTGGGGACCCTAAAAAAACAGTAGCTTTCTTGGATAGAACCATTATAATTTAGAGGTAGCAGCAAGCCAATATTGAGTAAACACTCAAACAGGGGGAAAGGATTTGGTAGATATACCATACACTGATCTCCACCAGACCACACCCAACAGACATTCTCTGGGAACTCTCAGAAATATTGTGGGGTGGGGAAAGGAAGAGTTGCTGGAGACTAGAGTGTCTGCAGTAGTAGTTAGATGCTGCAGCCAGCAATCTAAGAATTGTTGCAGTTAGTGTATGACACAACGTATGGGGCTAAGAGCTGGGGTTCTGGAGTTTGACTTTCTGGGTTTGAATTCTTTCTCTACTACTTCCTAGCTGTGGGACCCTGCACTCCTAGTGCCTCTGTGCCTCAGTTTTCTCATCTGTAAAATGGGAATAATAGCAGTACTTACCTCACAGTGCTGTTCTGAGGACAACATAGGTTTATATATATATATATATATATATATATATATATATATAAAATATATATTTATGTGTGTGTGTGTATAAGAACTTTAAAAACTTCATTACCAGAGAGGAAAGATCTTCTAACACTAAAACATGTCCAGATCCAAAGAAATGACTCTCTAGTGGTAAAATTGCAGATATTAAGAAGTATATTTCAGGGCAGAGAGTTATGCCAAAAACCCCTCAATCTACCCACCACATAGACACCTAACACTCTGATTTTGGGTTTCTGTGCCAGGCAGGAAGGGGCTGTTTTCATCATTATTCTCCTCCTACCATATCTCTAAGTGTCTGCTCTCAAGCAGCTTTATGATGGCTTAGGAATTCCTAAGTCCAAGTCATAAATCAGACCCCCAGTTTTTGTCCCCTGATTCTAGTCTCTGAAACCTGGAACTTTAGAGTCCCTATGAATTACTCGTCAGGGAAGAAAAGGGAGATAAATCCTGAGAGAACTGAGGAATATCTCACCAGGGGCCCATTGAAGGAGATAAGAAATAAATGAGAAAAGTGTGTATCTGCACAGCCTGGTGTAATGGTCTAGCCTGTCTCAGACAAATCATAACACCTAGCTGACCTCTAGGACAAGGTCAAGGCAAACACATTCATCCTTGACCACCTACCATGGCTCTGAATTACAAGGGAGGCAGAAGACAACCAGGTTAATCCAGGGAAGCTAAGACCAAAGGGTGGCAACAGCAGGCAGTCTCTACACGAAATCAGAGAAGTGTCAACTCAGACACAAAATGGAAAAGTGGACTCCTTTGAACTGTCGACTGAAGACAACCATTGGTTGTGAGTGCAATGAGGGGTTTGGGCTTTTTTTTTTTTGTTTTTTTTTTTTTTTTCCTCTTTAAAGGAAGTTGCTAAACTTGTTACTGGAAAGAGTTTGATTCCTTAGATTGTTCCATATGCCCAAATCTGACAGTTACACTGGCACACTTTGATTCCCCATTTCAAAACCGTGTGTGGAGACAAAACTGAGCGACTTCCATGTCACATCCTGTTCTCTCAACCGAGCTTTGACATTTGCAGAGGACTCTTCCAAGGGAATAAACTAAGCGCAGATAGAACTCAGTCTTTTCCCTTTAAGCCATCTCTTGCTGTAACATATTCTTCATCAGAGATGCACTAGAAAACACTGTCTAGTGCGTAAAGAAGGTGTAATTTTTCAGTTTCTCACTGAGACGCAGGTTGGCAAATAGGTTAATTTTAACTTCGCAGATTGCAAGGTGTGTGAATAGAACAGCTATATCAAGAACAAAATAGAGCTGAGAAGAAAGAACTGCTCTGAGCCACCAAGCTGTTTCATCCCTAAGGTCATAGAGGGCATCAGGGGCCACCACGTTAACTACTGAAACAGCACTGGATTGAGGAGCCTCAACAATATATGCCCTTTTCATTCTTATCAAGAATAGAGAAGTGTGTGGAACACAAAAGGAAAAAAAAGGACACCTAAAATTGTCATAGATAATAATTATAGCTAACATTTATTGAGTGTTTATTACATGCCGAGCAGTTGGCTAAGAATATGACATGCATGATCTCATTGAATCCATACAACTCTATGAGAAAGGAACAATTTCAGTCTCCTTTCATAGATGGGGAAGCTAGGGCTCAGAGAAATTAAATAATTGCTTGGAATCACATAGCTGTGGATGGTGGAGGTAAGATTTGTACCTAGGTCTGTCTGACTTCCAAACTGGTACCCCGTTTCTCTATTCTGGCTTGTGCCACAATCCCAGTGACAAGAAAAGATCATTTACTACCAGCCCCTATTTTCCCAGGGTTCCTCGCACAGTTTGTGGATTATACAGCCTCTCGCTGCTTTCTTCCAAGCACCCTTTGTTTGATACTCCATCAGAGGAGTAATGAGCAGGGACTTAGGGCAAGGGAAAGAGGATATACAGAGCGATTGATTGGACCCACATTGGCATCAAAACCATCAAGGAAGTAATTAAAACAAATATATAGAGTGAGATTTCAGGATTATCTGCATGTTTCAGTTATCAAAAGCATTCACTGTTCTTCATAAACCTACATAATCAGGTTGGCTCCAAAGCTGTTTTGTTTGCTTTGTCCTTTTCCCAACCTCATTAGCCTAGACAAAGACTTCACTTCTGATTTTAGACTAACAAAGTCAATCTGTATGAAACATAACTGGTTCTACAAGTCATACGGCAGCAAGGTCCCGCCCTTAGATTAAATACAATTTAAGGCCAGTAATGAACAAGATCATTAAGTCATTTTAAGGCCTCTTACTCCTACTGTCTACCAAACCAGGGTGTGTTTATTTATTTTCAAATGCCAGAAAAGTCCAAAGAAGCAAATCATGCTCACCTTAATAATGAGTGAGTCTTAAAGGGTTTAGCTTACAAATGACTTTGATTCATAGTTATGTCATTCCCTGGATATAGACCTAATGTTAGAAAATACACACAAACACATACTCAAACCAGTGTTTTGAATGATAAAATATTTAATTAAGTAAATGCTTTGTTTAAAATGTTAAATGCTTTGTTTAAAACTGAGTAATAGCCTTGAGATACTAAATAGCTGCCTTGGGAGGTGAAGACAGAATGCTATTCTTGTTTGATTTAGGGGCAAAGCAGCCAAAGGTAGGGCAGCATGGGGTGCTGAAGTTTTGCAAACTTCAACTTTGAAATAAATATATCTCTTTGGATGAAGTCACAGGTATTCCAATGCCTTGGAAAAGAAGGGCTCCCTTTCAAATATTTTTGAGAAAATTCATTCCTTGAATAAAGTATATCTATTTCTATAGATCACAATAGCTACCAATTGATAAATGGACACTGGGCAGAAACTGTTGATTAAAACCCGTGTTCTCCACCTCTTCCTGGGAGCACAGGTAGACTGTATTTCCCAACCTCCTTCTGCAGTTAGATGTTGCCATGTGGCCAGTGAAATGTGAACAGAAATGATGGGTGCCACTCCCAGGTCTGGCCCATACAACCCTCCCATGTATGCCCCCTTGACCCTTTTCTCCTACATGCTGTGCAAACTTGGAAGCCATATGTTGAATATGGCACAGTCTCCATTGGCCTGAGCCTCTCAATGACTTCATGAAAGAGGCCACTCCGCTGACCTGTTCGCTTGCCCAGTATCATCATGTGAGCTAGAAATAAACTTCTGTTGTGTTTTAGCCATAATATATGTTGGGGTCTCTTCTTATGATAGTTACCCTTCCCTAACTAATACAGACACATTTTTCAGTTAAAAATCAGCTCCAGAATTATTTAAATCATTTCAATCTTGACTGATCTCCTAGGCATTACTCAGGGGAAGTACTAACCATCCATAAATAAAACCTGTAATTATTTCTCTGGAAGCACAGCCACATAGAGTTGCCCATGTGAGAAGCAGCTTGACTGCAAACTGACAACCTTAAATCAGAACATCTGCCCTGAGATTTTTCACTTAAGATTCATTTTGAAACGATGGTAGGTTTTCTCTGTCAAGGGTGCCTTGACGCAGGTGAAGCATCTTTCCCCATTCACAGGCCAAGAGTTACTAATGATGTCTTCATTTCAGCCTCTCTGGAAAATGAGTATCTATCTCTTTGAAGTGGCCCACAGGAACCTCACAAGTGAGTTTCTGATATGCCATATAGTGATCATTTAAGTAAAATTATTAAACTTTATATGCACAAATTGTGCATCAATTCCTATGTCAATTGTAGGTATAGAAGGAATTTTCAATGTTTTGAACAATGTGCGGACCAACTAGAAAACAGTGTGCATACAACCAGTGGAGAGTAAGTGCTGTTTTCTTTACTATTCCGTACAATTACTCTGAAGTATTTTTTAAAAGTGGTTTCAAAACTGTTTTTAAATTATTTATTTTTTTAAATCTGCATAAACAACATGTATAATTTATTTGTTGAAACATGCGAATTATTTTTCTACATAGAAGAATGCCAACCCTTCCTTCCTTCCCTATTACTGAAGAGCTGGCATTTTAAGGAAGTTATTTGGTTCCTTCATTTCTGCCTTCACAGTTTGCTGGGACAGGAAATCTGAATAGGGGGCAGAGCAAAGTCCAGTCCTAGAAACTGGAGAGAAAGATTAGGGAGAAGATAGTAGAGAAGATGTGAGGGAGAGGAAAAGAATCTGAGCTTAAAAACAAAGGAAAGGAAGTACTATGCTCAGAAAACCAGGGAACATGGAGTTGAGAGCAGGGGAACTGGAGAGTGACAAGCAGTTGGTTATGCAGTGACTGATGGGGAGGGTGGTCAGTGTACAACCCCCTCACAGGCTGCTTGAACCAGCTCAGTAATACAATCAAGGTATTGAGATTTAATTTACCTACAAATTTCAGAGTACATCTACTTTTAATTCTCACATCACAATGGCTCTCCCTACAAATCAAGATATCAGCTTCCCTGCCCAACCACTCCAAAAGGCTCCCCTACATTGCTTGTAGGAGCCTCCAAAGGAGTAAGTCCTCTGTGCTTAAAAAGAACTGTCTGCTGAGGCAGGAGAATCACCTGGGCCCGGGAGGCATCGAGATGGCACCACTGCGTGTCCACCTGGACGACAAAGTGTGACCCTGTCTCAAACAAACAAACAAACAAACACAACTATCCACTAGTTACTAGTCAGTGTCTTCTATAGTTGATGCCCACTTCCCTACTAGAAGAAGCTTCTTGGTGGTCACTATTAGCACACCCTTTATGATCTCTATCACTAACCAACTCACAAGGGAAAGCTGGGATGCTGATGGCTACGGTAAAATGAAAAAGCCAAATGAATGGCCTGGGTCTGGATATCCACCTGTCCTCTCATCCAAATTCTGCTCATGTGAAGCACTGGCCAAATCAAGTGATTCTTTGGTGGTATGTTATCTCCACTTTTCGGTTGTTCCTCCACTTCTTCTAATCTCAATTTCTTTGGACACATGTCTTGTATTAGTCTGTTCTCATGCTGCTAATAAAGACATACCCAAGACTGGGTAATTTGTAAAGAAAGAGGTTTAATTGACTCACAGTTCTGCATGGCTATGAAAGCTTCAGGAAACTAACAATCATGGAGAAAGAGAAAGCAAACACGTCTTTCTTCACATGGAGGCAGCAAGAAGTGCTAAGCAAACAGGGGGAAAGCTTACAAAACTATGAGATCTCATAAGAACTCACTATCACGAGAATAGCATTAGGGTAAACATCTCCATTATTAAATTACCTCCCACTGGATCCTTCCCATGACACGTGGGGATTATGAGAACTAAAATTCAAGACGACATTTGGGTGGGGACACAGCCAAACCATATCATGTCTTCAAGGCAAAATAAATCTGATCTCAAAATGGATTCTTGTTTTGGTTTTTGAGGTCTGCCAATAATTTGTACCATCTAAGGGCATCGGGAGCAGCTATTTTGACCATAACCACATGGCTCCAGCTTTCCAAATTATCTGTATCTTCAGCGTAACTTTTTTTTTCATTTGTTTTATGGAATTTTTGTGAGTCTATTGGTATCTTTATTTTAGCAACAAAAATTTCTCCAAGGAACATCATTTTGGCCTCCCCCTCAGCTTTTTCCTAATAGTTGAAATTGTGAGTTTAAAATATAAATAGAATGATCTGTTCAACTTTATAATGCTGCAGAGAAATATCAGTAACTGTTTAGTCAGCGATGCAATTTATATAGATAAATTAGTCTGGACCCAGAGTCTCAATATCTCAACCTCCTTCCTCTCCTTCCTTTCTCCATTCCACCCCCCAAAAAAAACTTCAGAAGAAAAAAGTAGTAAATAACATATGCTATAGATAGATAGATAGATAGATAGATAGATAGATAGATAGATAGATAGATAGATATCATCAGGAAAATAAGGTTATGCTTAAGCTTGAATTTCAACCAAACTGGGCATAAGATGTGAAGAAGACCCTCAACTCTTTGAGGTTATTATAATAAAGAAGTAACAATTGAGATTATTAACAGTAATTCGTGTGATCAGGAGAGAATTTAAATGGAAGCAATGGAACAGCCATAATTACTGTCATCGGACTGAAACTCACATAAGAATATGCAGCCTCTTTCTCTCTCTTTCTCTTTGTCTTTCTGTTTAGAGACATGTTCTTCTTTAGAACAACAACACACATGATCCTCATCTCTTTCTTCCAAAGGGTAGCAGTAGGAGGTGGTGACTGAGAAGTTTACACAAGACCAGCAGATCTTTTGCATTCATTCCAGTCCTTCAACTGGATCTTTGTGCAGGCTGGTGTTACCCTGGCCATACAGTGATAAATAATGTCTCTTCCAATAGAGCATACCCTGGGAAAGCCTTTGAATGACAGTTAGAAAGGAGTAAATGAGACAAAAGAGGGAAGAAGGCCGGCTGTTAGGTGGGGCAGAGGGTTGAGGGTGGAGACGTTATTGTAGAAGCAAATGGGTTGCAGTATTAATCTGCATTTTTCTGTACCTAATTTCATTTTTTATACTAGTCCTTAAGTATGTGGAAAAATCACACACTTTGGGTTAACAGACTCATTTTGGAGGTGGCTTGAAGTCTATCCCTCAACTTTGGGGGTCCTTATTTGCACCAGTTGTAAATCAAGAACAATTCCTTATGATTTTTTTAGGGACACACTGGGAGTTTGAGATGCTAACATGTTGGTCGTTATATATTTCAGTTTTGTATTGTCAGGATAGGCTGGATATGCCAAAGTTAATAACAACAAAAACTGAACTAAACTAAAATATCTGTGACATAAATAACACAAGTTGGTTATCTCACACAAAGTCCATGGCAGATAGGAGCCCTGTCCAGGGCAGCTGCCCTCCAAGTCTCAGGGTAGTAATTCCTGCCACTTAGATCCTGAGACTTCACCATCTCAAGGCACACTCCTTTATGACTCTGGTGGTAAAGGAGGAAAGAACCTGGAGAGACCAGTGGCACTGTCACTCACCACCTTGGCCATAACTTGTCATATGATGTCTCCCAAATGCAAGGAGGGCAAGGAAGGAAGGTCCCAGAGAAATTGAGAAGTAAAAGTCTCTTTCACAGAGTTATGTCAGGAATACAGAAAGTATATTTTTAAATGATACAAAATATGAAAAACATAGTTAATAGCTTAGGAAATTATCAGTATGCTCACAAGTACCTAAAAAACAGAATCTTTATGCCCAAGATACAGCTACATGCTAAGGGAGCTGTATTAGTCCATTTTCACACTGCTATAAGGAAATACCCAAGACTGGGTAATTTACAAAGGAAAGAGGTTTATTTGACTCACAGTTCTGCATGGCTGAGGAAGCCTCAGGAAACTTACAATCATGGCAGAAAGCAAAGAAGAAGCAAGGACCTTCTCCACATGGCGGCAGAAGAGAGAGAGAAGCAAG
The DNA here is from genome assembly GCF_000001405.40 of Homo sapiens. Classification (NCBI taxonomy): domain Eukaryota; kingdom Metazoa; phylum Chordata; class Mammalia; order Primates; family Hominidae; genus Homo; species Homo sapiens. Next base: position 147,701,746 of record NC_000002.12, read on the forward strand.
AGTGCAGGAGAGAGAGAAGCAAGAGTGCAGGAAAAACTACATTTACAAAACCATCAGATCTGATGAGAATTCACTCACTATCATGAGAACAGCATGGGGGAAACAGGCCCCATAATCCAATCACTCCCCTCCTTCAATGCATAGCGATTACAGGTCCCTCCCTCAACACGTAGGGATTACAATTCGAGATGAGATTTGGGTGGGGACACAGAGCCAAACCATATCAGGAGCTGAAGACAATTCTAATAATAGTCCCTTATTTCAAGGAGCTTTCACTATTCTGGTGGTGACAAGATATATGCTTCAAAGAATCAAGGCAGCTGGAAGTAGTGAAAAGAGCACTCTATTAGGAACCAGAGTTCTTAGATTCTAGTACCAGCTCTGACACTTACTAGTTGTATCAACATGGACAAGCACTTTAGCCATTCTCAAGTTCCTCACCTGAAAGCCATCTATATGAGCATTTATTTTATCCACCTTCCAGGGCTGCAGCAAAGGCCAGATGAGATGACAGACATACTTGCCTGAGCACTGTAAAGGATAAAGTGTTTGTCACATGTAAGCTATAACTAGAGAATACAGAATATAATGACAATAGTGCTCAATCTATTTCTTAAGCACCTACTCTTTTATAAACACTAGGCTTTACATAGGATTTCTCTTTTTGCAACTTCATTGTGGATTTTAACAGGAAGGGAGAAGAAAGAAATTCTATTGCACACGTGGAGCAAAGTTTGAAACAGAGGGGCTGGATTCCTACGAGTTTAAGACAAAAAGAATGTAGGTCTGAGTTGCACAAATGGTTTCTAAGAACTATGTGGAAGAAACCTGAGTGGTTGAAGGAGGGGCTTGTTGATGGAGAAATTTTGAAGGCAGGCTGACAAGAATGGTCTAGATCTAGGGGTTCAGAAAAAGCCTCAGTCAGTTCTTGGATAGGAAAGTGACATGACAAAAATGCTGTTTAACAAGATTAATTGGGCACAATATTTAGGGTGGCTTAGAGTAGAGAGAGGCTAGGAGCAAAGACCACATACAATTATGTTTTAAATGGAGCTAGGGAGTGGGGAGGAAGAAAACTTGGCTATGAAGACAAAAATTAATGCTGTGCCAATGGTTAGTTAGAGAAGGGGGATAATGGAAAAAGGATAGTCAAAGATGTTCCCAAGTTGGAATCTGGATGGTAACAAAAGCTACTTTGCACCTTTGATCATATAAAGATGGCAACTTAAATATTTTGACACATGGAAATTATGTGATTACTTAATAATAAAATGAGAGCTAATAACAAATTGTTCATTTAAATCCATTTGAAATGGCTACATGAGTTCTCATAAGAAAAGTGGGGGTCTAAGTGAGGTTTGAGAAGTATAGATCATACCCCTGCTTCACCCCTTTTGATGGCCATCTCCTCATTACCTCTGAATAATCCAGTCACAAGCATAACACTCAAGGCCTTGGAGAGTCTGGCCATAGGACACCTTTTGAACTTTTAACTCACCACATCCTCCCATACGCCTTCATGTTTTCCACACCAAAAATGCTTCAGGCATCTGCAAGCAGGCCAGGTACTTTCTCACCTTCATACCTTTGTTTCTTTAGTCTCTCTGCACGGAATGTTCTTTCCCTCTTCTCCGTGAAGGAACTTGCCATGCTTTACCATGTGCCTCAACATAACTTTGTGCTTCTAGCATGCAACTTGATTTATTTGATTTGGGGCTATGACTAACTGAATAGATGTTCCTCTATCTCCAGGGTGAACAGCTCATCCAGATTTGACTGGCACTGTCACCATTGAAAACTGAAAAAATCATGTCCTAGGAAATCCATCAGTCCCATTCAAACTTGGATGGTTGGTCACCCGATACTTCCTTGCTATATATCACAAGCCCAAGGACAGAGAGAACATCCTAGTCTTCTTGAAACTTACACATTGCTGAGCATATTAACCTGAACACAATAGTATGTACTCATGCTATATGTAAGAGGTGTTTCTCCAAGAACTTTATATGTATTATTTCAATCACCACGGCCACCTAAGAAAGGTATTGTTATTCTATTTTACAAATGAGGAAACTGACGATCAGAGAAGGTATGTTGTCTATGCAGCATGTTTGGAAAATGGCAGGGCTGGAATTGGAACTTAGGAGGTCTGATTTCTGAGTGTATTCAATGAGGGCTCAGACAAGGAGTTGCAGTAAGACATAGACAGATGTTTCCCATGTTTGTCCTCAAGTCAAATTCTATTTCTCTTAATAAAGGAATGTTTGTTCTACATTCCAGTTGTGGCAATGACTAGTTAATAAGTGCTCGGTAAATGCTCATTGAAATGAGACTAATTGATTGATAGGTGCCTAATGTGAAGAAGAAGAGAAATGGATCAAGGGTAAGGGAATCATAAAGGAGAACTATTAACTAATTTTCAACATTGCAAGGGAGAAAGAAGGATAGGAATGATGCTTCTAGTTAGCGCTTAAGGTAAAATTCCATCTAGTCTGACTGCTCTCCCAAGTCTCACCTCTTTTCAAGCAGATACAAACTAGGCCCTTTTTTCATCATTTTCTCAGAACATTTCCAAGTATTACTTCTCATTATTCTTATATTATTCCATTTGCATTTTAAGCATACAGTGTAAAGGCTGGAAAACAATGAAACATGCAAATAAGGAAGCTGAAAGTGTTCTTTGAAAAGTTAAGTGATGAAAAGTAATGGCACTGCAATTCTTTAAATGCAATACATTATCTCTTAAATCAACCTTCTGTGCTTTTCCTACCTTCCCCTGCTTTTGTTACACTGTGCTTTTAAATTAAAAAAAAAAAATCCACAATAGTATTTTTGCAGGGAAAAGTAACTTTTAGAGATTGAATTATTTGTTTTTAATCTTCTAAGCATAATACCCTTTTTCAAAAAGAAAAGTTTAATTTGAGTAGATAATTCTATGACAATTCTCTATCATTGCTATTTAAGATAGATTACATAAAACAGATGTATATCACACTGAATATTCTTACATTTTGAACTATAATGGCAATCAAAGGTTTTCTCTCTTTCCAGGTGAGGGCTAATGACCTGAATTCCACTAAAGAATGTTTGTAACCAATTGGATCATCACATGGCCATTCAGAGTTTCATTGTGAGGAGTTACAGTTTATCACTTCTGTTTCTATAAAATAAGCTTTTAATTGTTATCTTTAATAATTGTCAAGCTTTTAGAAGAAAAGGAAATATTTCTACTTTATTTTCCTGCTTTTTAAATTGTCCAAGATAGCCCTCCACATGGATCGGTTCAGGAAAAAATGTATCTACATAATGACAATGGGGACCATAGCCACTGAATAATGGATGCTTCCAGGATACATTGGGTATCTATTTTTAAATACATTAGAAAGATCTCTGCAGCCACAGAATGTCTTACATAAGCCATGCCTCAATCTCTTCAATATAAGTCCTGGGCTCCCACCCTTGACTTTCACTTCTGAGCCCTGGTCAGACTCATTCTAGATTCTGGTTCTGTCTGTGCTGCCCCTAGATAGATAATCTTGGATAGCATCGAGCTCTAGGCAACATATCTTCTGTGTCAGAAAAAAATTTACCTTAGCTAGGAAATTATAAGTACAGGTTTAGGGTAAGCCAGGAAGTAGGTGAAGCTTTTCTCTTGCTCTGTCTTTAGGGTCTTACAGTCTTCTCATTCTGCAGTTCTTCCCACACCAAGCCTTCTTTCTCAGTGCCCTGGAAAGGTTCCTCCTACTTCTCCTACCTTCACAAGCTACGATCCCAGGTTTTCACCATCTTTTCCTCCCAGGAGTATTTGCATTTTAATCCAAAAAGGGCCCCCTACCCAATTAAACAGCTTTATTATTTTTAATTATGAAATCAATACATATTTGTCTTAGTCCATTTTGTGTTGCTATAAAGGAATACTCAAGGCTGAGTAATCTAGAAAGAAAGAGGTTTAGTTGGCTCATGGTTCTGTAGGCTGTACAAAAAGCATGGTACCAGCATCAGCTTCTGGTGAGGGACTCCAACTGCTTCCACTCATGGTGGAAGGTGAAAGGAATCCAGTGTGTGTAGAGATCATATGGCGAGAGAAGAAACAAGAGGTCAGGGAGAGGTGCCAGGTTCTTTTTAACAACCAGTTTTCATGGGAACTGATAAAGTGAGAACTCACTCACCCCCAAGGGAGGGCATTACATTAGTCTATTCATGAAGGATCTGCCCGTGATAACCCAAACACTTTCCACTAGGTCACACCTCCTAACACCACCACACTGGGGATTAAATTTCAACACAAGATTTGTTGGGGATAAACATCCAACCCACAGAAATACTTGTTTCATAAAATTTGGAAAATTATAAAGAAGAAAATAAAAATTACTTATTCCACCACCTAGAGATAGGATGTGTTCTAAATTATTTTCTAAGCTTACCGGCATATACAAGTGACCATATATACATACTCTATTATAACCTGCTTTTCCACTGTCCTATTGAGTTAATAAGGGCACTCAAAGCTCTTTTTTAAAGTGCCTTAATAGGCCGGGTGCTGTGGCTCACGCCTGTAATCCCAGCATTTTGGGAGGCTGAGGCGGGCAGATCACTTGAAGTCAGGAGCTTGAGACCAGCCTGGGCAACATGGTGAAACCCTGTCTCTACTAAAAATACAAAAATTAGCCAGGCATGGTGGTGGGCATCTGTAATCCCAGCTACTCAGGGAGGCTGAGGCAGGAGAATCGCTTGAACCCAGGAGGCAGAGGTTGCAGTGAGCCGAGATTGCGGCACTGCACTCCAACCTGGGTGACAGAGTGAGACTCCATCTCAAAAATAAATAAATCAAATAAAGTGCCTTAATACATTCTAGCAGAATGTGAATCTAACATTATGTCTTTTCCTGATAGAAAAAGATCTGCTACATGCTCTCTTTCTCCACACCCCAACACCACTAACATTTGGCCAGAATAATGTAGAGAAAACTCTTCATTCAGTAAGTAAATCACTGTTTACTCTACACACACAATTCAGAACAATTCACTAAATGTGGCAAATCTAACTGTCCCCTACACTGGGCTCCCCAAGGGCAGATATCAGGTCCTATTGTTTTCCTTTGTGCTGCTGGGTGCTCAAAGCACAGCCTTTATGGATTCACTGAGTGGGTCCTTGCAAGCTGAACATTGGTGTATTTCAACTGTAAGGAAACTGTTTTCTTTCCCTTGACTATTTCTTCTTCATGTTCTCTGTTCTTTTGTTCGGAACATGTTGGACCTCTTGGATTGGTTCTTTTATCTCATGTGTTTTCATATATTTCCATTTCTTTTTATTATGACTTTACATTCCTGGAACGTTCCTCTACTTCACTTTCTAGCTCTTGCACTAAATGTTTTTATAGGCAATAATATTTTTATTCTTTAGAGCTCTTACTTTTCTGTTGCTTTTATGTAATATTTTCTTGAATCTCTCTGAGTGTTTTTTAAAGTTTTATCCTGTTTATAAAGATCTTGGTTTCCTTTAAATTTAGGGATTATTTTTTCTGTTTATCTTGATCTTTCTCTTTCATGGTGTTAGTTTTCTTTGTATTCCTTCGCTGTCCTATCACACTTAAGAAAAGGGGATTAAGAGGCTGCTGAGGGTTTCACTGCTGCTGCATAAGCCAATCTATTTCTTGGAAGAGTTCTCCCCTAAATTGGAAACCTAATAGATTTATTAAGCTATGTGTCCATGGATAAAACATAAATTAGCAAGCTTCATGGATTAGTCCATTTTGTATTGCTATAAAGAAATACCCAAGGCTGGGTAATTTATAAAGAGAAGAGGTTTATTTGGCTCACAGTTCTGTAGGCTGTACAAGGAGCACACCAGCATCTCCTCTGGTCAAGACCTTGGGAAGCTTACAATCATGGCAGAAGACAAAGAGGGAGAGGGCACATCACATAGCAAGAAAGGGAGCAAGAGAGAGGAGGAGGTGCCAGGCTCTTTTTAATAACCAGGTCTTATGTGAACTGATAATGTGAGAACTCACTTATCACTAAGTGGATGACACCAAAACATTCATGAGAGATCTGCCCCATGACCCAGTACCTTCTACTAGGCCCCATTTCCAACACTGGGGATCATATTTGAACATGAGATTTGGAGGGGACAAACATCTCAACTATATCTCTTCATTTAGGAAGTGAGGGTACGAAGCCCACTCGGAGGCTAAAGACACTACCACTACCCAAACTCCCAAACAAAGAATAAGAAGGTCTTCCCTCCAGGGGCACCAGTACCCACACCAACTGTCCCAACTGTCCTACAAGGGTTTGTTCAATTATTTAAGAGATGAGGTCTCAGAATATCTTTCTGGGAATAAATGGCCCTTTAGGTCGCTAGTGATAAAAACCAATTCACACTAGTTTAGGCAAAAAATAAAAATAAAAAAAGCCAACATTATTAGCATAGGTGCACAATCTCATTTCAGTTCTGATATCCAAAGAGCTCTGAAAACCAAATGTTTTTTTCCAAGCTTGGGGCTGACTCTTTAGGTGGCAAACCTGACCTGAATTGATTGCAGCTATTATGATCTTGGTTCATCTTAGTGTGAATAGCCAGAGGCTTCACTGTAGAAATATGAAAGGCTCTGATTGTGAGGTGTTATCCCAGATCTTTCTAGGGTATTATAATACGTAAAATGTATATTCCTCCAAAACACCTTTCTTTCAAAGGGTTATCTCAAAACAAAAAAATTGGCTACTCAAAAGGTAAACTGAAAAAAACAAAAAACCTGATTTCCATTTTTAATAGTTGTATTTTAGTAGTAATTTTGTTGTTGAAGGTTTTGTTGTTTGGTTTTGGATTTTTTTTTTCAATTTATACCTATAAAGGTTTTTGGGTGTTTTTTTAAGTCTTAAGACTGAGTACAGTAAAATTACTGGTAATCCGTTAATCTATTTTATCACTTTGAGCTGACTGTATGTTGAGTTTTCTTGCCCCCTTCCTAATTTTTTTTAGGCCTGGATCAGTTCTTTAAAGAACTGACTCTATGTCTTCTGACATATGTATAATGGTGAGATAAATTAACTTAAAATCTATAATGAAAGATCATGGTGAAAAAAATATGATAATAAAACTTTCATTTAGAAATGGCTTCTCACCCAGAGCCATTCATATCAGCTACATATAATTCACTAGTTATCTTAGCTGGTCAGAATCATATTTCCAGTTGCATGTGAAGTCATAAAGCAGAAATCCGATTAGCCTCTCTCTTAACAGAGCCCAAAGCTATTAATAATAAATCCAAGAGACATAGTTTAATTAAAAAAAAAGCTAGAAATTATTGTCAGACAGAAATCACCTAATAAAAAAGTAATTTATAATGTACACCCTAATTAATAATTTACCTCCTAGGGTGAAAAAATATCAAGAGTAATTACAATTAGAACACACTATTTCTTTTTTAACAATAATAGGATAATACTCAGAAGCTAGGGGAATATCAAGTAACAAATTCAACTGCTGCTATCATTCCATTCTGTCAAAACTTATGCTTAATTTTTAATGCTTTTCTTTTAAACACAGAGGTTCCTTTGCCTCAGCTCACAGTCCGCTACACTGGTCATTGTGACTTCATAAGTGTTAAAAACTTCTAAACATAGTCTGGTATAATTCTATCTAAAAGAGATATCCACTAATTTAAAAGAATTTGAGAAACAAGAACCGAATGCTTAAAGCTTAGATGAAAAATTTAAATTGGCTTAAATTAGGCCACATTAAATTACTAATCTAGAATCAATTTCTGATTAAACAAGAGACTTCAAGGAAGGAGATTAAATACAAACAACCTTCCCCAGACAATAAACATTATAAGAACAGGAATTTGATGCATAGTTTTCATTCATATCCCCAGCCTCTCACATAGTGCCTGGCAAAAATTATACACTTAAATATTATATTTTGGTTAAGTAAATGAATGATTAAAGAATGACAGAAAAATATATGTGAATATAAACAGCTGTGGTGGGTGCTCCAATGAGCTTTCCAGATCTCCCTTAATGAAAAGGACTTCCTCTCCCCAGCTGGGGGCAGATGCTGCTGGCTGATACCTCTCAGTGGGTAGCCCTCTTCATGGTTCTATTTATCAGTGAAGAGGCCACCTCACCCAAGATCACACCTTTTTCCCAGGATGGCCTACATCCAGGAATAGATATATGTAGCTGTAAAAGGCCCAGCCTCCCCAACCCCAACTCTGGAAAGGTGATCCTTGCTTCCAAATTCCCTATAGGGTTGTCTGAGAAATCAGCTGAAATTGCATCATAGCTCAATTTCTTCCCTCTGCCCAGTTCTGCCTTCTTCCATTTTCTTTGAATATGTTGATACCAAGAGAACTCCCTAATAAATCTGTTTGTTCATCTCCATTCCAGAGTCTGCTTCCCAGGGAACCCAACCTGTGACCAGATGTACCCTTTAGTTGAGAAAATTAAAGATTTAGAAAAATAAAATATTTTTAAGACATAATGCCCTAAGTCCTTTTGTCAATTACTGAATTTACAACTAAATTTAGTGAGTCAGTGAAGAAAGACTGGAGACGGCTGATTTCAGTTGAGACAGACAAAAATCATCACAGGCAGATAATCAGGCAATGCCATGTTGTTGGAAGTCAGTCTTGAAAACAAGTGTGAACCTAATTTGTCTCCTTGATGTGTGGCAGAAGTGGTACATCAAAGGATTATTGCATGGTCATCAACAACATGGAATTAGATGTCAAATGAAACTGCATTGGAATTCCTTATCTACAACTTATTGGTTCAGTGACCTTGGGCAAGTTACTTACCTTTCTAAGCCTCAATAATGGAGATGATAATACATAAAGTTATTGCAAAATACTTAACAAAGTAGCTAGCATATAGTATGCACTCACTAAATGGCAGACATACTTAATTTTTTAAAATATTGATTGCTAAGAAAGCAGAAAGATGATATCCTTCCACTCTCAGTCTCCCAACCTGAAAACTAAATGACTTCTATTATTGACAAGAAGAAAAATAATCCTCTACACCCTGGTTATCAGCACTCGGAAATGAGAACACTGAGTATTCACAAAGAAATTGAGGAAGAGGTATGGGAAGAACTTCAAACCTGTTTGCTTCTTGAAGGATAAGTAATGCATGGAGTATGCCCATTTGGGGACATACTGTCAAATATAGTACATGTCTTTTGGAATATGGACTGAGCTTTTATACTCACATGCAAAGAGTATGGACCAGCTCATCTTCATTGAAGATCTTGTCACTAAAACTAAGCATAGGAGACTTGCAACTTCCACCATGACACAAAAAAGGCAGTCAAAAAAATCCTCTGTCCCAAAAGCAAATATAAAGATGGATAATACACTAAAATGCAACCATCTCAGCACTCTGGAATTTGACCAGAGACATACAACAAACGGAGATGCATTTATTCCTGAAAACCACTTAACTTTGGATAAGAACAGCGCACGTCTCTGGAATTTTGCCTGGGGTAACTACCATCCCTCCTTCAGCTCTCAGCCCAGTAGATGAACCAGAGTGGGTCAGGCTGTGAAAATAATATGCTTTCCTGATGCTGCTTCTGCTGCTGCTGTTTCTGTTGCTGCTACTGCTGTTGCTGCTGCAGAGAACTCACTTGATTTAGAGCGTTGTTAGTAAAAAAGGAGATCTTGGAGGTTGGACATGGTGGTTCATGCCCATAATCCCAGCACTTTGGAAGGCTGAGGCAGGAGAATCACTTGAGGCTAGGAGTTCAAGACCAACCTGGGCAACACAGTGAGACTCTGTCTATACAACAAAATTTTTAAATAGCTGGGTGTGGTGGTGCATGCCTGTAATCCCAGCTACTAAGAAAGCTAAGGCAGGAGGATTGCTTGAGAGCCTGGGAGATTGAGGCTATAGTGAGCTACGATTGAGCCATTGCGCTCCAGCCTGGTGACAGAGCAAGACCCTATCAAAAAAAAAAAAAAAAAAGAAAGAAAGAAAAGAAAAGAAAGGAATGAAGGAGAAAAGAAAAGAAAAGAAGATCTTGGTGGCAAGAGAGGGCCAGAGCTACAGTAGCCTGATGTAATTGGCTTCTTTGAGGCAAAATAATGGACTGGCAGACTAGCCAGAGTTTTAACAGAGAGTTGTGGAAAATGAGACATCTAAAGTGGACATGATAAACTCTTCAAATATCCTGGATTGATCAGAAGTTATGCTACTCACACATTCCTGGTTGACATAGCTGAATTGAAGCACATGAAAAGGAGATTAAAGAAAGCCCAGAAGAAAGTAAAAGCTGGTGCAGGCTTGAAAATGGCCTGAAGTTTCAATACACTCCCCTGGCCTACACACAGGCCTATCAACAGAGAATTGAAACTATACTGGCTCAAGGTGTTCAAATACAACTTCTGACCAATAGTTGGCTGAACAATAAACCATGTTGACACAGATATGACTCCTAGGAAGCCAGGCTTAAAAATAAAAACAAGAAAAAATAAAACTGAGTAGAGGCATCTGGGGCCATACATTTCAGAGCAGACAGACTACAGATTTGGTCCAAGCAAGCTATTAAACAAACAATAATAAATACCTCAGAGGAAAAGGTCACAATTCAGAGTTGCTAAAGCAGATACCTACGATGTTTGGTATTCAACAAAAAGAAATTACGAGACATGCAAAGAAATAAGAAATTATGACTCATACTCAGGGGAAAATAGCAGTCAATAGAAAACTGTCTGAGAGAATGCAGATATTGGATTTAGCAGAAAAAAGCTTGAAAGCAGTTCTTATAAATATGTTCAAAGAACTAAAGAAAACTTTGTTTAAAGAATTAAAGGAAAATAGGATGGCAATGTTTGAGCAAAAAAGAGCATCTCAATAAAGAGATACATATTATAAATGAACCAAATAAAACTCTGGAGATGAAAAGTACAGAAACTGAAATGAACAATTCTTTAGAGGGTTTCAACAGAAGATGTGACATGGCAGAAAAATATGGAAACTTGAAGATAGATCAATAGAAATTATACAATCTGAAGAACAGAGAGAAAAAAAAGGTAGTAGAACAATGAAAAGAGCCTCAAAGACCTGTTGGTGCGCAGTATTAAACACAGCAACATATATGTAAAGGGAGCTTCAGAAGTAGAGGAGACAAAGAGACAGATAAAATTTGAAGATATGATGGGCAAAAAGTCCCAAAATTGAGAAAAACATTAACCTGCATATTCAGGAAGCTCAATAAACCCCAAGTAAGACCAACACAAAAAGATCTACGTATAGAAGCATTAGAGTCAGACTGCTGGATGACAAACACAAGCAGAAAATCTTGAAAGCATCAGGAGAGAAATGCCTCATCTTGTACAGGTAAACCCAATGCAACTAATGACTAAACAATGGAGGCCAAAAAATAGTGGAATGTCAAAGTATTAAATTTATTGAATAGTACTCTTGCCATGTGTGAATTTTATGGCAGATAAACAATAATTCAATAAAGCTGTTTAAACAAAAACAACTGAAGAGTGAAAGATCACGGCACAGAAATACTTGAACCACGTATGAAAGTATTCTGTCACTCCCATTCTCTCCTTTTATTTCCTCTTTCCCTTTTTCGATTCCCCCTTTTCCTTTATCCTCCATCACCATCTTTTCCTTCTCTCAGGCAGTGCCATCTGTGGCAGCTATAATCCATGGAGATTGCTCAGGCCCAGAAAAATAGAGAGGCTCCAAACCCTATCTTTGAGTGATAGATATTCTCCCATCCAAGTACTAACCAGGCCTGACCCTGCTTAGCTTCTGAAATCAGGCATGTTTAGGGTGGTATGGCCATAGACTGAGCATTAGATATTCTGAAATCAGCCTTCTCTGTGTTGATCATTCCCCTTTCTTTCTTAGAGAAAAAATTGTATTTCCATTGAGCAGTCTGACTTTATAAATCTTTATAAAAAAAGCACAAAAGAGGCAAGTTGGATATCCAAAAGTACAATTTCAGGATGCCTAGCATTCAAGGACAGCTTAAGAAATTTACTTGGCTTTGGCTCCACAATTTGGCACAGCAGTAATTTTTATGTAAACCTAGATGCCTCAACATAATGGTCAACTGTTCACAGTATGCTCTTGTTATTTATGCTGATATTTTATATGGAAAAAACTTGATTTACTTCTATGCATTAATTTGAAGCAAGTTTTAGAGAAAGAATTCCTTGAAAATCACCACATACTACAGGCAGCCTCTTTCTCTAAGATTAGTCAGATACAGGGGAAATTGGGCAGCTTTTTAAAATTAACACTGAAAATGACAGATAGGGGCTAGCATCAGGTGGGAAAAGTTACACAATGTTCTTGGAGCCTGGTGATGTTACTGTACTGGCTAAGCTGGTACACTTAGTTGGTGCAGTATGCTACAAGGACATTCAAATTAAGCTCCTTTTTACAGTGCCGAAAGGACATAATGTGATGCAGGCTTCACAAAACAAACTTTTATCAAAAGTGAAATATCAATTATTAGAATTCGACCCAAGCCAGCAGCTTGATCTGGTGGGGAAATCTAAGGCAGCAGGCCCTGATAGCAAAGCCTTGGGCTGAAAATCAAGAATTCATTCTGGTTCTACTGCTAAGCAGTTAAATAACCTAAAACACGGCATTTACATTCTTTGGACCTCAGTTTTCTCATCTGTAAAATGAAGGCTTTAGACCATCTACCCTAGGTCCCCTTTCAAGCTTAACTAGAAATGAAGCATATAAAATAGTCACCAAATCCAACTCAATTTTGTTAATTTCTAATTCAGAAATCATTTTTTAAATGTTTGCCCAGTACTGGATGTTACCATCCCTGAACAATCTGGCAGATGATGATCATGAGGGCTCCAAAGATACCAGGGAACAACTTGTTATAAAAATTTACCAAATTATTTGTGTTATTAAGGAACTTTCAAAGCCAAGTCATAACTAGATATGAAAGAGCTTGAGATTAGCATCCATAAAAATGCCTTCTTCCAGACATCTTTTTGTGTGTGTAATCGTGTCTGGAATTTCATCACAAGATATTCAAAATATTCCACCCACTTTCCACGGAATTGTTAGAAGGTTTAGTCAGATATGAAGCAGGGATCAATTTACCAGCCTTTTCTACTCAGGTTATTCACCGCTTTTGTGCCTAACAAAATTTACCCCCTTATGCTTCCAACATTTTTTTGGAATGAATTTTCCTACCCCAGAAGGAAACTGCAGAGTGCAAACACACAGAGGTAGAGGGTCTACCCAAAGATGTTCTATTTCACTTCCAACAGATAGTCAATGTTGAGTGAAGAGAAAGCAGACAACAGATGAGGAGAAAATGAGAAAAAGAGCATAAATTTACAAATTGAGAATCTGGTCAGTCTGCTCCCTACCCTGAGTAATAATCTTACCATCAGATCCCTATTGCCTCCTATTCTCCCTGAGTCAAAGCTCCTATTTTTGTGTTTTTCTTCAGCAACTTACTGCTAAGAGATTTATGTTTTAAGCTATCTATTTCCCTGAATCAATTGATAGAAATTCTTTAATTTGCATTAGCTCTAGTCTAGTCCTGGGAACCTGTCCAGTAAAACAGGAACAGGGAAATTTGCATCTGGGCTCACCGATTTCTCACAATTTAATCAGCAGGTGAAAGAGAATAATCTTGCAAAATACACATTATCTTTAGATGTTCTTTGGTTATCAATAAACAAACTCTTCAAGGATTACATCTGACAATAAGCATTGTTTGCTTCACTTTACAGCTCCTTAGAGTAGCAAAGTTGCAACAAGCTAGTAAGAAAACAATGATTTATTTCGGCAAATAGTTATCTTCTTTCTCTAAACCATCTCTCTAATATCCCTATTAATTTTTTTCTACACAAATTCAATTATTAATAAATCAACAAGAAATAAATTCCTTTCATTAATCATTCCCACCAGCCTCCCAGACTCAATGTTAGTTTACTACTGTAGATTTTTATTGACTGTATTCATTCTCTCCAAGAATCAGGAATAAAGGTTAAACTGAAGATGCACAACAACTGGACATAATTCAGGGATGCTGTGCTTGAAACTTTTCATGGTCACACCTCCCCTCTTTGCCTGACCAAAGCTTACTTATATCACTTCTTATGGTGGGAAGGATAGACTGCCATCTGTGATTTTTAATGAAAGATGATCCCAAGCCATAAGATGCAGCTAACCCTTACCACAGCAGCTGGGCTCTGTCTCCAAAGAGAGTTATAGAAGAATTGTTGCATGCATAGCATTGCTTTGGAAGAATCTGATTAGATACAGTGTGGTAATCAAAAATGTGAACAAGCACAGTACAACTTCAGAAAGTGAGATTTACTATTCTATTTTCAGTTCCACATTCTTTCTAGATTACAAGTAGAAAGCCATTGTCTCTAACTTTCACAGAAGCAAGTTATTTTACATTGTCTATCTAGAAGTAAATGTATGGAAGGAGAAAAATTTAATGGAGGTGTGAAAATTAAAGCCAAGTTTATTCCTCCATCACTGCCCCTAAAGAAGGGACAGAGTAGAAGGGGCCCTATACAGGTAGAATACATATTCTTTGTAAGAGCATAAGTTCAGAAAGGAATGAGAGGAAAACTGAGATCTTGTGAGGCAGAAGAAGAAAAGTAACATGTGTAATGAATTTAACGAATTTAAGAGTAACTAAAGTTTTCCCACAATGTTCCTTGAAACAAAGCTCAAAAAGTCACACCATTTTAGAAGATCACAGAAAAGGAGAAAAAAAAAAAAAAAAAAAAAAACCCTGGCAAATGCAAGGATAGCAAATGAAGGAACCTACAGAACCCAGGAAATTGGTTGTGATTTGAGAATGCAAAACCCCTTGGCACCAGATCTTTCCATTTGTTAAGAAATGTTAAAAATCTTACATGAAATTTCCTGACTTTTAAAAGGACATGTAGCCCAAAAAAGAAAAAAAAAAAAAAAAAAAAAAACCTGTGTACCTTAGATTTAAACCATGAGCCACCAGTTTGCAACCCTCTCATTTCACAAAGTGAGTACACTAAGACTCAAGGAGTTTAAACTCAGCATCAAATAGTTACCTGTGGGCAAATCCTGATACCAATTCTGTGTTCTGTCCATGTCCTTCAGCAACTGGATTACCCTAAATATGTCAACAATATGAAGACTATGGAAAAGAAAAAGTAAAACTACAGGTGATAAGGACCCTTCCATTTTCCCATATTAGCTACCCAATTTGTAGTTAATGCTGCTGAAGAAAAGAACCTAAGCCTTCCTAACAGGACTAGGCTACAAGAAGCAAGATGCTTACAATGTGCAGCCATGGATCTTTTCAGAGATATGCAGGGATACACAGGCACTTCTCAGATTAGAATCTGACTCAAGGAGTATAAATCATCTTCTTCTAGGATTGTGACACTTTCTCAAAATGACAAGCATGTTGACATAAGGCAATAAACACAACTGACCAGTACTTTTCTATGAAGATTTTACTCATTAATGCCTTGAAATAACAAACACTATTTTAAAACATTTAAAAATAACTCATACTGCAGTATTTACTTGTTCCTGTTGAGAACTGCAAACAAAAAAAATAGACACTCATGGAGACTTGCCTGAGTGTACTATGTCTTTCAATAAAATCAGGACCAGTTCTCTAAGGTCAGAGGTAAAATCTACAAAACTTTAACAAAACAAAATAATGCAAACTAAGAGGGATATTTCATGCCTTTAAAAAATGTTCTATGTAAGAATGTTATTGTGATATTGTGACTTGCATCTTACAAGAATATAGAATGCATTATGTATGCATAATAGATTTGCAATAAAGATGAAGACTGATACTGAACAACTTTCCCTTAAAGAAACCTTCAGCCATGGGCTCTAAGATCTGAGAATTTAAGTCTATGAATACAAATCAAAAATTTTCATGTTAAATGCAAATATTCCTTTTGCAAATAAGATTTGATACATGTAATACATAGATATTTAATATATTTTTATAATAAAGTTGAATCAAAGCATGGCTTGGCACATCCACTGACTGAAATTCTTTCATCTAGCTAAGAAGAATTCCTTTACAGAAGAGTTGATTAATTTCTTTTCAAATGTTACTATCTAGGTGGTCTGTTTTCTGCAACTCCATAGTCTCTGAAGACTCTGGAAGTATGAAATAAATCATACTTACCAAAGAACATACAACTAAATATCCTCTTATGTTATCAAAAGGAATCAAATTAGAACAGGAGCACACTGTAAACAGCTGGTCACATGATCAGACATTAAACTAGGAGGTCATTTTGTTAGGACGTAGGAGCTTTAAAAAGATCTAAGAACACAGGAAACTGAACCAATAACTAAATACTACCATGATCTCATGCTTCATTTTGGGAAACAGTGTAGAGGCAATAAAGAGAATTTTAGGACTATTTTAGATACAAGTATGCAAGGATGGTGAGCTTGCTGTCTGCAAAGGAGCTAACTGCTCCCTTATAAATGTCAGAACCAACTTAAGAAGGATCTGGGCCAATATAACATCATCTCAAAAAATAACAGCTATTATTATAGATCATACTGCAAATGGTGTTTTGAATCATGCCATCCATACCAAATTAAGTTTGCAAAAGGTAAATTATGTAATTCTATAACACTTCAGTGGCATACAGGTTCTTAAGACCCACTATTTACATAGGCAAGAAATGTTGGGCCACTATTTTTTTATTGTATTTCTTATAGTGAGAAATAATTTTGCTCTTCCAAATGTGCCATACTTTTTAAATGAACATAAAAATTCCAACCTTATATTATAGCATTTGTCATCTCTCACGTACACATTCCTTAAAGGCAGGAACAAGATTTATTCATCTTTATATTTCTTACCATCTAATGGTACTTTTCACGTGTATATTTAAAACATGTTTATAAGTTGCTATTCATGAAAACTCCCTTTCGTTTACCCACTCAATTTGCTATTCATTCAGATAATTCACATTTTTAAAGATTAAAATATAAAATTTGTGGTATTGCTTCATATGCTTTTTTTGATACACTTTTATCAGTTAAGTGTTTTTTAAACCAAGTTTTCTGCAATTCTATGAAGCATGTTTTCTCCCTTGACATTCCTAGATTTAGTGTTGCAATTAAGGGAAAATAAAATACTGGTTTAAATGCTGTTTTATAACAGAAATATGGTCCTTAAATCTCTTCCCTACACGTAATGACATATAAGAGTTCCATCATCTCATGGAGAACTTACAAGGGTTGCAATACCAACCTCTTGTGTCATGAAATTTAATCTCTTAATGTCTGGCCAAGTTTAAATTGGAGTACATCCACTATGTTTTCATAATCCAGGAAGATGCAAGCAGGAGTTCTGGGACCATTTATCTCCTCCTTCTTAGTTAATGGGGGTTCCTTTCCCCCGTTACCCTGAGAAATATCATTTGGCAAGGTCCTTAAGCCACTGCTGCTTTTGGATTTTCAGTTAGCAGCTTGAGCTGACAGTGTTAAATTCTGGCTGTGTTAGGGCAGAGACTGTGGCCACTCTCTGAGACTCACACTTCTGCTGATTGCCTACCTCATACATCTCCAGACCAATTTTCTAAGCAGCATATGGCAAAGAGAGAGATTAGAGCTGGAAGGTAAAAGACCTGGCTTTTGATCCTAGCTGTCACTATTTTCAGTCAGATAGAGTCACCTTTCAAACGTATTTCTTCATGAGTAAAATGAAGAGTTCAAATAAAAATGTTGTCTAAGATACCTTCCAGAGTTGAAAAATCTATTGTTTCAATCTCTTATGGCCATAATTTTCTCATCTATTAAATGGGGACACTGTACAGATTAAACTAGATAATAGAAATATTAAGGGCCAGGTGTGGTGGTTTATAGGGCCTGGTGGGGTGGCTCATGCCTGTAATCCCAACACTTTGGGAGGCTGAGGCAGGTGGATCAGTTGAGGTCAGGAGTTCAAGACCAGCCTGGCCAACATGGTGAAACCCCATCTCTACTAAAAACACAAAAAATTAGCCAGGTGTGGTGTTGGACACCTGTAATCCCAGCTACTTGGGAAGCTGAGGCAGGGGAATCACTTGAACCTGGGAGGCAGAGGTCACAGTGAGCCAAGACTACACCACTGCACTCCAGCCTGGGCAACAGAGTGAGATTCCATCTCAAAAAAAAAAAAAAAAAGAAAAGAAAAGAAAAGAAAAAGAAAGAAGAAATATTAGGTCAGGGAATTTAACTCTTGTCACTGTGATAGCCCAAGTGACCAGAACAGTGCCTGCCATGTTGTAGGCACCCAATAAATATTTGTAGAGTTATAAATATCAGTGGATGCTTTGACCAGGAGCAACATGAATATAAGTCCTTCTAATGGTGGGCTACATGAGTGCTAACCACAGAAATGATCCAATAGTCTGCCTGTCTACTGAGCAGCACCAGCCACAACAGCTGTCCCACACTTTACATCTTGTCCACTTATCTCTGGTGCAATTTAACACTATGCCTATCTTGGAAATGTCCCATGGTCTTCCCCCCAAATCTCCTAACTACCTAGGCAGCAGTGTTAGAATTGTAGGAATGGTCTGGATTACCCCATTTTCAGTATCGTGCACCCACTTTTTCAGCGATGCTGCCAACTGCTGAGAATGACTTTGGCAATGGAGGAACAAAGACTCTTGTTTTCAGATGGCTGCCTGGCAAAGTTTATCAGATCTGGACCACCCCCATCACCCTCTTGGCATGAGGCACACATTGATCAAAAGTCCTGGATTATTTGAAGCAGATCCAATATCAAATTGTCTACTATGAGAAAGCATATTAAGTTAATTGTACTAATTTTTGCTTCCAGGTATGTATCTTCTCCCTTCCCTATTTACAATTCTTATTTAGGAAATTTAAGATATCATTTTATTTCCCAAAGCATTTTCCCTAAAACCTAGTCCTCAGCAATCTTCTGTGAAGAGAGAATTTTTGTGGAAAATCATCTGGGGAGGATATTGGATACATAATGAACATTACCATGTTAAAGGTTTTGATAAGTCCTGTAGAGAAGAAATCAACTTGTTTTTCTAGCGGTTCCCCAATCTTTTCACCCAGAAATATTTTTCTTTTCTGGGAACACTTACAAACACCCATGAAATGAAGGAACACATTTTGAGAAATGCTCATAAGTCAATTTTAATTGGGGGCAATGAAGGAAATACAACACAATTTATGAAAAAGAGACAATCTTAAAATTCATACTGATAAAGACATTTTAACCATAAAATTTACCTATGAATAAACTTCATAGTCAGGAGGCAGCTCTAGCTTTGATAAATGCTAGCATTAAACTATTGAAAGCCTGGGCCCCACTGAGGCATGCTTTCTTTAGAAGGGAACAGTCTGTAACCTCAGCTATTACAGCCAAATTTGAGGGTGTGGAGGGAGATGTGTTTGATAGATTAAAATAGTAAACTGCAACAGAGAAAAGGGCTTCTGACCAATGAGGGAAAATCTTCCAGGAGACATGCGGACAGACCATCTTCTTCCTGCCCACATAACTCCCTACAGATTCACTTTAGATATGATCAAAAATTTTATTTTGTTTTGTTTTAAGTTTAGTTTAGAGCATGTATCCACATTGGAGGAAAACAAACATCCCAAATTTACCCCATTTGCTCCATTTGCACATGAGCAACAGAAAAAGTTTGAGTCAAAGATGAATGCAAATTGACAGAGGTCATGTGTGAAGTCAGAAATTATTTGTACTAGAGAATAATGTCCAAACAGGACTGATAACTTTATGGGCACACTGCCCCTGAGAGGTAGACATGGAGCCCGATGCCTGCAGAGGGATGTTCACAGGTCTCTTGACTGCTTAATACAACCATAAGTGGCTCTTGCCTTCTTCTGATTTGACCAAGGGGTGCTCTGTGGAGAATTAGGTAAACTGATTAGGTTAGCTGCCCTCTGTGGGTTGGGCATCAGGCACCCAGCCACCTACACTTTATTAACAGTTCTACAACCGATCTTGAGGCAGCCAGAACTGAGTACCACTGCTCAGTTCACACCCAGAAGATGCTTAATCTCTCTGGCAATGCAGAAAAAAGAAAGCAGGAAAAGACAAAAGGCCAAAAATAGCCAAAGCCAGAGGCACAAGATTCTTGCTTCTGTGGCAGACTCACCTGTCAGGTAGGAACTCCCTATGTGACTTGGTAATTGGTTGCAGGGGAGAACAGATCAGAGCTAGAGAGCTAGAGACTGAAACTGACTTTAAGTGAGACCAGTTTACAGAGTAGGGCTGACCATGGTGACGGTGAGCAGAGAGAAAACCAGAAGGCTTTTACAAGCCCCAAGAAAGTTTTTGTATAATAGTATAATACTATTCCTTGTAGCAAATTCACTGTAACCAAATGCCCAAAGACCAGTTTCTTAATGCCATGACATTTTAAGAAAAATATTTGTTTTGCAGAGTTCTTTGTTGCAACGTCTACCCGAAAGTTCCAACTGCATCTTCCCATCAGATAGCCACTAATAACACTAACATCTATTGGGCCTTCATCACATGCCAGGCAACATGCTAAACACTGTAAGTACAGTAGCTCATTTACTCTTCACCACAACCCAATGCAGTGAGTAAAGTTACTCTTCTTATACACAGAGAAAAGTGAAGGTTGGAGAAGTGACGTAACTTACTCAAAGGTACACTGCTAGCAAGCAAGCAATGGAGGCAGCATCAAGTTAGACCCTGTCTGACCAAAGTTCCTGCTCTTAACCACTGTGTCTGACTGCCAGGATAGATGAAGTTTAATTACCTGCTACACTATCCCCAGAGTATGCATCTGTGTTCCGAGCAGAGACCAGGCCGACCTCTCCATCTTTCCTGCTGTGAAAGGATGCTAGAACTAGGGACTCTCCTTATCCCACTGCTTCCTCAAGGCAGAATAGTGTTTCCCTGTGGGTCAAATATCTTCAGAACTTACACATTCTCAGATGACCCAGCTTTCATGTTTTCTTGGATTTGTAAGCAGGACCCTTACACAGCATCACATGAAGGGTATGTCTGAGAAACACCAGTTCATCCGTGGTGGATCCAGGTGTCATCTGCCAGGTGTCATCTGTCCTAGCTTTGTATCTGGTAGTGTTCATAGCTACACTGGTGATCAGCCTTGCTGCTCCCTCTACCAGGGTTCACTCTGTTGTGAATGGTGTGCTCTTTAACCTTCATATGTGGCATGTATCTGACTGACGAGGGAGCCTATTGTCTGTAGACATTGAACACAAGTATGTCTTATAATATAAGGAATAGTATATTCCTCTCTTCAATTGACTTTGGCCAAATAATTGCAACAATTTCTAGAACAGATTGTGAGTTTCATTCCAAACAGGTAAATTTTCATTTAATCAGTCCTGCTTAGTACAGCAATTTCCAGGTCTCCATGGTAGGCCATAGTTACAGCACTTTGCTGATCTGGTTTCCACACACACACAAAAAATCTATTAAAAGAAAATTCTTTAGAACAGATGTGTCGACAAATCCCTGTCCACAAAGCAGTCAAGCTATTTAACAAAAATGTTAGTTCAGTATTTGTTCTATTTGTTGTAACTGTATGAGTTTGCTGAGTCTCAGCGGGGGTGGATGGAGGAAGTAGGGGGGAGAACAGGGAAAGAAGCGTTAGCAGAGCCAGGTGAGGATGAAAGAAAGCAGCAATGGGGTGCCATAAGGGGGAGTCAAA
Source organism: Homo sapiens (assembly GCF_000001405.40). Classification (NCBI taxonomy): domain Eukaryota; kingdom Metazoa; phylum Chordata; class Mammalia; order Primates; family Hominidae; genus Homo; species Homo sapiens. The sequence goes on from NC_000002.12 coordinate 147,723,434, forward strand.
GAGGGAGAGAAAGAGAAGACAGGGTGGGACAGTTGAAACCAAAGTTTCAGAGACAGTGCCAGAAAGCAGGAAAAAATATCCCATGACTTTCACCATTCTAGACAATGCTAATCCCAACAGTCTTTCCTCTGATGCAGCAATCTTAAATCATCTTCCACCTCATACCTTCTCCTCCCCCTCTCTTAGGAAGAGAAAGCACTGGATTTTCAAGCCTGATACCTCTGAGTTTTCTTTGACTCCTCTCTCTTTGTCATACCAGCATTGAGTCAACCACCAAGTTCCAACAACTCTTCCAATTTATTGTTGCTCAAATCTGTCCCTTTCTCCCCATTACTGTCATTAGCTCTCCAGCAGGCTTTTCCAGTCACCCCCTACTGCCCTCAGGCACACCCTCCTTCAATCCATTCTTTACTCAGCAGCCCAGAGAGTATTACTTAAAACCCAAAATATCACCTAATTGTATCCACACACAGTCTTTCTAATCCCACTCTTAATTCTTTCCTTCAGCACTCAACACCAACATGATGCTTAAATGCTCCCCCATGACATTCCAAATAAACTTCTAATTTTTTAAATGGCAGACAAAACCGTTTTATATTAGACTCTGTCTACACTTCCAGCTTCATCTTTTCTCCCATCACTCTTACCAGTCTCAATGTGTATTCCAGCCAGCATCCTTAGCCCCTGGGTATTTTCTATCCTTATAGCTTTGTACATGAAGAGCCCTCTACATAGATTGTACCAGCACCCTCACCAACTCCTCCTCCTGTCCACTCTTCAGTTCTTTTGCTCTGGTAGTGAAATTGGAAGCAAGGCAATTTTAGATCATTTTAATGCAGTTATTCCAGCTGAATAATTCCCCAGATATATAAAAAATTTTAGATAGATGATAGATAGATAGATAGATAGATAGATAGATAGAGACATAGATATAGATATAGAAGACAGATACCATGTACAGACATATGGCACAGATTGAGCAGACTCTCCCACCTGCCTCATCCCTGAGCTGCCACAATCCTTTGGACTTGCCTCTCTTAGAGCCATTGTCATTGTCTTTTGTCTTTGACAAGCCACAGTCTTTTAATCACCAGAAGTTTTTAATGTCTTCAGGCAATAACTCTTTCAGGACATTATCAACATCAGCTGAATGCTCCCCCACACAATAGCTATTGCTTCTTAAATGGAAAAAATTCTTACCCACACTAAAACTTTCAACGTTAAGAAATTATTATTTGCAAAGAGTGCATGCCAAAGCAAGGAGGGTAGAAAGTAAACTTTCCATACCCTTCAGTAATCAATTTTTACTTAAACACAATTTGAATTTAACAAAATCATCTAATCCCAAACAAGCAAAAGCTGAATGAACTCATCCCTACTAGACCAGCCTTATAAGAACTGCTCAAGGGATTTCTGCATCTGAAAGCAAAAAGATGATCATCATCATAAAAACAGGTAAAATGATAAAACTCACTTATAAAATAGAAATATAAAGGAGAAAGTAAAGAATCAAACCTTATCACTACAAAAAACTCACCAAACTACAATGATTAATAATGACAGAGGAAGAAAGGAACAAAGGATATAGAAAACAACCAGAAAACAATTAACAAAATGACAGGAGTAAGTCCTCATCTGTCAATAAACTTGAATATAAACAGATTAAATTTTCCACTTGAAGGATAGCTTTTAAGATAAATTCCCCACCAGCTGAATGAAAGATAACATGACACAACTATATGCTGCCTACAAGGAACTGACCTCACCTGTAAAGACACATGTACAATTGACCCTTGAACAACACAAAAGTTAGGGGCACCAACCCCCATGCAGTCAAAAATTCCCATATAATTTTTGACTCTAAAACACTTAACTACCAATAGCCTATTGTTGAGTGGAGGCCTTAATGATAACATAAACAGTCCGTTAAAACATATTTTATATGTTATATGTATTATATACTTAAAATGAAGTAAGCTAGAGAACAGAAAATTTTATTAAGGAAATAATGAGAGAAGAGAAGATATATTTACTGTCCATTAAGTAGAAGTGAATCATCATAAACATCTTTATCCTTGTCTTCACATTGAGTAGTCTTAACAGGAGGAAGAAGAGGAGAGATTGGTTTTGTTGCCTCAGAGGTGACAGAGCCATAAGTGGTAGAGAAGGTGGAAGAAGAGACAGGAGGGTTACAATCAGTGTAACTTTTACTGAAAAAAATATTGCATGTAAGTGAACCCATGTGGGTTCAAACCCGTTATTCAAGGGTCAACTGCATACTGAAAGTGGAGGGATGGAAAAAGACATTCCATGTCAACAGAAACCAAAAGCAAGCAAGAGTAGCTATACTTAAATCAGATAAAACAAACTTTAAGTCAAAAAGTGTAAAAAGAGATAAAGAAGGTTATTATATAATGATAAAGGGGTCCATCTGGCAAGAGGATACAACAATAATAAACATGTATGTACCCAACACCAGAGCACTCAGATATATAAAGCAAATACTATTTCATCTAAAGGGAGAGATAGACTGCAAAACAATAATAGTTGGGGACCCCACTCTCAGCATTAGACGGATCATCTAGACAGAAAATCAACAAGGAAACATTGAATTTAAACTTCTTTAGACCAAATGGTCCTAACAGACATTTACAGAACATTTTATCTAACAGCTGTAGAATGCACTTTTTTTTTCATCAGCACATGGAACATTCTCCAGGATAGAACACGTTAGGCCACAAGCCAAGTCTCAACTAATTTAAATGAATTGAAATTATATCAAATATATTTTCTGACCACAATGGAATAAAACTAAAAACCAATAATAAGAGGAACTTTTGAAAATGTACAAATACCTGGAAATTAAACAACATGTTCCTGAGTGACCAATAAGTCAGTAAGAAATTAGGAAGAAAATTTAAAAATGTCTCGAAACAAATAAAAATAGAAACACAACATACCAAAACCTAGGGGATACAGCAAAAGTAATAGTAAGAGAGAAGTTCACAGCAACAAACACCTACTTCAAAAATGTAGAAAGATTTCAAATAAGCATCCTAACGACGTATCTGAAGAAACTAGAAAAACAAGAACAAACCAAACTCAAAATTAGTGGAATGAAAGAAATAATAAAGATGCGAGCAGAAATAAATAAAACTAGGTCTAAAAAATATATAAAACAAGGAAGTGAAAAGTTTGTTTTCTGGAAAGACAAATAAAATTGACAAATCATTAGCTAGACTAACCAAGAAAAAGAAAAGACACAAATAAATAAAATAATAAATAAAGAAGGAGACATTACTATTGATACCACAGAAATACAAAGTCTCATTAGAGACTGTTATGAACAACTGTATGCCAACAAATTAGATACCTAATGAAAATGGTTAAATGCCCGGGCACATGTAACCTACCAACATTGAACCAAGAAGAAATAGAAAACCTGAATAGACCCATTGTGAGTAATGAGATTGAATTAGTAATAAAAAGTCTTCCATCAAAGAAAAGTCCAGGACCTGATGGCTTCACTGCTAAATTCTACCAAACATTTAAAGAATTATTACCGACACTAGGGGAGGAGCCAAGATGGCTGAATAGGAACAGCTCCGGTCTACAGCTCCCAGCGTGAGCGATGCAGAAGACGGGTGATTTCTGCATTTCCATCTGAGGTACCGGGTTCATCTCACTAGGGAGTGCCAGACAGTGGGCGCAGGCCAGTGGGTGCGTGCACCGTGTGCGAGCCGAAGCAGGGCGAGGCATTGCCTCACTTGGGAAGCGCAAGGGGTCAGGGAGTTCCCTTTCCGAGTCAAAGAAAGGGATGACGGACGCACCTGGAAAATTGGGTCACTCCCACCCGAATACTGCGCTTTTCCGACGGGCTTAAAAAATGGCGCACCACGAGATTATATCCACCACCTGGCTCGGAGGGTCCTATGCCCACGGAGTCTCGCTGATTGCTAGCACAGCAGTCTGAGATCAAACTGCAAGGTGGCAGCGAGGCTGGGGGAGGGGCGCCCGCCATTGCCCAGGCTTGCTTAGGTAAACAAAGCAGCCAGGAAGCTCGAACTGGGTGGAGCCCACCACAGCTCAAGGAGGCCTGCCTGCCTCTGTAGGCTCCACCTCTGGGGGCAGGGCACAGACAAACAAAAAGACAGCAGTAACCTCTGCAGACTTAAATGTTCCTGTCTGACAGCTTTGAAGAGAGCAGTGGTTCTCCCAGCACGCAGCTGGAGATCTGAGAACTGGCAGACGGCCTCCTCAAGTGGGTCCCTGACCCCTGACCCCCGAGCAGCCTAACTGGGAGGCAACCCCCAGCAGGGGCACACTGACACCTCACATGGCAGGGTATTCCAACAGACCTGCAGCTGAGGGTCCTGTCTGTTAGCAGGAAAACTAACAAACAGAAAGGACATCCACACCAAAAACCCATCTGTACATCACCATCATCAAAGACCAAAAGTAGATAAAACCACAAAGATGGGGAAAAAACAGAACAGAAAAACTGGAAACTCTAAAACGCAGAGCGCCTCTCCTCCTCCAAAGGAACGCAGTTCCTCACCAGCAACGGAACAAAGCTGGATGGAGAATGACTTTGACGAGCTGAGAGAAGAAGGCTTCAGACGATCAAATTACTCTGAGCTACGGGAGGACATTCAAACCAAAGGCAAAGAAGTTGAAAACTTTGAAAAAAATTTAGAAGAATGTATAACTAGAATAACCAATACAGAGAAGTGCTTAAAGGAGCTGATGGAGCTGAAAACTAAGGCTCGAGAACTACGTGAAGAATGCAGAAGCCTCAGGAGCCGATGAGATCAACCGGAAGAAAGGGTATCAGCAATGGAAGATGAAATGAATGAAATGAAGCGAGAAGGGAAGTTTAGAGAAAAAAGAATAAAAAGAAATGAGCAAAGCCTCCAAGAAATATGGGACTATGTGAAAAGACCAAATCTACTTCTGATTGGTGTACCTGAAAGTGATGGGGAGAATGGAACCAAGTTGGAAAACACTCTGCAGGATATTATCCAGAAGAACTTCCCCAATCTAGCAAGGCAGGCCAACGTTCAGATTCAGGAAATACAGAGAACGCCACAAAGATACTCCTCGAGAAGAGCAACTCCAAGACACATAATTGTCAGATTCATCAAAGTTGAAATGAAGGAAAAAATATTAAGGGCAGCCAGAGAGAAAGGTCGGGTTACCCTCAAAGGGAAGCCCATCAGACTAACAGCGGATCTCTTGGCAGAAACCCTACAAGCCAGAAGAGAGTGGGGGTCAATATTCAACATTCTCAAAGAAAAGAATTTTCAACCCAGAATTTCATATCCAGCCAAACTAAGCTTCATAAGTGAAGGAGAAATAAAATACTTCACAGACAAGCAAATGCTGAGAGATTTTGTCACCACCAGGCCTGCCCTAAAAGAGCTCCTCAAGGAAGCGCTAAACATGGAAAGGAACAACCGGTACCAGCCGCTGCAAAATCATGCCAAAATGTAAAGACCATCGAGACTAGGAAGAAACTGCATCAACTAACGAGCAAAATCACCAGCTAACATCATAATGACAGGATCAAATTCACACATAACAATATTAACTTTAAATGTAAATGGACTAAATGCTCCAATTAAAAGACACAGACTGGAAAATTGGATAAAGAGTCAAGACCCATCAGTGTGCTGTATTCAGGAAACCCATCTCACATGCAGAGACACACATAGGCTCAAAATAAAAGGATGGAGGAAGATCTATCAAGCAAATGGAAAACAAAAAAAGGCAGGGGTTGCAATCCTCGTCTCTGATAAAACAGACTTTAAACCAACAAAGATCAAGAGAGACAAAGAAGGCCATTACATAATGGTAAAGGGATCAATTCAACAAGAAGAGCTAACTATCCTAAATATATATGCACCCAATACAGGAGCACCCAGATTCATAAAGCAAGTCCTGAGTGACCTACAAAGAGACTTAGACTCCCACACATTAATAATGGGAGACTTTAACACCCCACTGTCAACATTAGACAGATCAACGAGACAGAAAGTCAACAAGGATACCCAGGAATTGAACTCAGCTCTGCACCAAGTGGACCTAATAGACATCTACAGGACTCTCCACCCCAAATCAACAGAATATACATTTTTTTCAGCACCACACCACACCTATTCCAAAATTGACCACATACTTGGAAGTAAAGCTCTCCTCAGCAAATGTAAAAGAACAGAAATTATAACAAACTATCTCTCAGACCACAGTGCAATCAAACTAGAACTTAGGATTAAGAATCTCACTCAAAGCCGCTCAACTACATGGAAACTGAACAACCTGCTCCTGAATGACTACTGGGTACATAACGAAATGAAGGCAGAAATAAAGATGTTCTTTGAAACCAATGAGAACAAAGACACAACATATCAGAATCTCTGGGATGCATTCAAAGCAGTGTGTAGAGGGAAATTTATAGCACTAAATGCCCACAAGAGAAAGCAGGAAAGATCCAAAATTGACACCCTAACATCACAATTAAAAGAACTAGAAAAGCAAGAGCAAACACATTCAAAAGCTAGCAGAAGGCAAGAAATAACTAAAATCAGAGCAGAACTGAAGGAAATAGAGACACAAAAAACCCTTCAAAAAATCAATGAATCCAGGAGCTGGTTTTTTGAAAGGATGAACAAAATTGATAGACCGCTAGCAAGACTAATAAAGAAAAAAAGAGAGAAGAATCAAATAGACAAAATAAAAAATGATAAAGGGGATATCACCACCGATCCCACAGAAATACAAACTACCATCAGAGAATACTACAAACACCTCTACGCAAATAAACTAGAAAATCTAGAAGAAATGGATAAATTCCTCGACACATACACTATCCCAAGACTAAAACAGGAAGAAGTTGAATCTCTGAATAGACCAATAACAGGAGCTGAAATTGTGGCAATAATCAATAATTTACCAACCAAAAAGAGTCCAGGACCAGATGGATTCACAGCTGAATTCTACCAGAGGTACAAGGAGGAACTGGTACCATTCCTTCTGAAACTATTCCAATCAATAGAAAAAGAAGGAATCCTCCCTAACTCATTTTATGAGGCCAGCATCATTCTGATACCAAAGCCAGGCAGAGACACAACCAAAAAAGAGAATTTTAGACCAATATCCTTGATGAACATTGATGCAAAAATCCTCAATAAAATACTGGCAAACCAAATCCAGCAGCACATCAAAAAGCTTATCCATCATGATCAAGTGGGCTTCATCCCTGGGATGCAAGGCTGGTTCAATATACGCAAATCAATGAATGTAATCCAGCATATAAACAGAGCCAAAGACAAAAACCACATGATTATCTCAATAGATGCAGAAAAAGCCTTTGACAAAATTCAACAACCCTTCATGCTAAAAACTCTCAATAAATTAGGTATTGATGGGACGTATTTCAAAATAATAAGAGCTATCTATGACAAACCCACAGCCAATATCATACTGAATGGACAAAAACTGGAAGCATTCCCTTTGAAAACTGGCACAAGACAGGGATGCCCTCTCTCACCACTCCTATTCAACATAGCGTTGGAAGTTCTGGCCAGGGCAATTAGGCAGGAGAAGGAAATAAAGGGTATTCAATTAGGAAAAGAGGAAGTCAAATTGTCCCTGTTTGCAGACGACATGATTGTATATCTAGAAAACCCCATCGTCTCAGCCCAAAATCTCCTTAAGCTGATAAGCAACTTCAGCAAAGTCTCAGGATACAAAATCAATGTACAAAAATCACAAGCATTCTTATACACCAACAACAGACAGAGAGCCAAATCATGAGTGAACTCCCATTCACAATCGCTTCAAAGAGAATAAAATACCTAGGAATCCAACTTACAAGGGATGTGAAGGACCTCTTCAAGGAGAACTACAAACCACTGCTCAAGGAAATAAAAGAGGATACAAACAAATGGAAGAACATTCCATGCTCATGGGTAGGAAGAATCAATATCGTGAAAATGGCCATACTGCCCAAGGTAATTTACAGATTCAATGCCATCCCTATCAAGCTACCAATGACTTTCTTCACAGAATTGGAAAAAACTACTTTAAAGTTCATATGGAACCAAAAAAGAGCCCGCATTGCCAAGTCAATCCTAACCCAAAAGAACAAAGCTGGAGGCATCACACTACCTGACTTCAAACTATACTACAAGGCTACAGTAACCAAAACAGCATGGTACTGGTACCAAAACAGAGATATAGATCAATGGAACAGAACAGAGCCCTCAGAAATAATGCCGCATATCTACAACTATCTGATCTTTGACAAACCTGAGAAAAACAAGCAATGGGGAAAGGATTCCCTATTTAATAAATGGTGCTGGGAAAACTGGCTAGCCATATGTAGAAAGCTGAAACTGAATCCTTTCCTTACACCTTATACAAAAATCAATTCAAGATGGATTAAAGATTTAAACGTTAGACCTAAAACCATAAAAACCCTAGAAGAAAACCTAGGCATTACCATTCAGGACATAGGCATGGGCAAGGACTTCATGTCCAAAACACCAAAAGCAATGGCAACAAAAGACAAAACTGACAAATGGGATCTAATTAAACTAAAGAGCTTCTGCACAGCAAAAGAAACTACCATCAGAGTGAACAGGCAACCTACAAAATGGGAGAAAATTTTCGCAACCTACTCATCTGACAAAGGGCTAATATCCAGAATCTACAATGAATTCAAACAAATTTACAAGAAAAAAACAAACAACCCCATCAAAAAGTGGGCGAAGGACATGAACAGACACTTCTCAAAAGAAGACATTTATGCATCCAAAAAACACATGAAAAAATGCTCATCATCACTGGCCATCAGAGAAATGCAAATCAAAACCACAATGAGATACCATCTCACACCAGTTAGAATGGCAATCATTAAAAAGTCAGGAAACAACAGGTGCTGGAGAGGATGTGGAGAAACAGGAACACTTTTACACTGTTGGTGGGACTGTAAACTAGTTCAACCATTGTGGAAGTCAGTGTGGCGATTCCTCAGGGATCTAGAACTAGAAATACCATTTGACCCAGCCATCCCATTACTGGGTATATACCCAAAGGACTATAAATCATGCTGCTATAAAGACACATGCACACGTATGTTTATTGCGGCATTATTCACAATAGCAAAGACTTGGAACCAACCCAAATGTCCAACAATCATAGACTGGATTAAGAAAATGTGGCACATATACACCATGGAATACTATGCAGCCATAAAAAATGATGAGTTCATGTCCTTTGTAGGGACATGGATGAAATTGGAAATCATCATTCTCAGTAAACTATCGCAAGAACAAAAAACCAAACACCACATATTCTCACTCATAGGTGGGAATTGAACAATGAGATCACATGGACACAGGAAGGGGAATATCACACTCTGGGGACTGTTGTGGGGTAGGGGGATGGGGGAGGGATAGCATTGGGAGTTATACCTAATGCTGGATGATGAGTTAGTGGGTGCAGCGCACCAGCATGGCACATGTATACATATGTAACTAACCTGCACAATGTGCACATGTACCCTAAAACTTAAAGTATTAAAAAAAAAAAAGTGAGAAAAAAAAAAAGAAAAAGAATTTGGTGCTTGATCAGACTAAGTGCTAGGTGATACATTGCACTTTGATGTCTAAAAAGCCAAACCCCAGAGACAAATTTTAGCAATTTCCCTGCCAGCCTTTTCCATATTAATATCTAAATTATATATTAATTACAGTTCTGTAAGAGTGAGCCTTTAATTTATTCTCGCTGAATGAAGAAATTAATGAGTGCACATTTATGGAATTATTTTATTGCAGATACCACTTCCCTGTGTCTCTTGGACTCAGTGGCTGTCTTTTATAATTCAGCAGGAGGGTGAGCATTTTAAGAGGCTGTGCATTTCAGCAGCTTTCAGAACAAACTTCTATCCTGAAAGCCAGAGCTAGTCTTAGCTCCATCATAAGGCAGCTCTAGGTCCTTAGAGAAGTAAACCACTTAGCACCATGTGCCTTCATCTACCTAACAAAGGAGGGCATGATTCTTCACTCCCTATTTCATCAGAGAAAGGATCCAAGTTGAGGTTTACTAAGTAAAGAAATCTATTGGAGAAATGAGTTGGGTGAATGTCTAAAACAAAGAAAGAAAAGTTATCATTGCAGAGAACTTCAGAAAAACAACAGAAGACTTAGAATGAGAAGTCTTGGTTTTAAAGCCTGGCTCCAGGACCTTGGGTGATCACCTTAAGCTTCAAATTCGTCTTCTGTGAAATGGGGGTGCATAATGAGATGAGAATCTGTGTAAACCATAAAGATATACAGCAGAGTCGAAAAAAAAAAAAAAGAAAGGGACACTAACTGTTTAATAAAAATGTAATAACCGATAAAAAAAAAGAATTATTACCTATTCTGAAACTCTTCCAGAAAATTGAAGAGAAGGGAATTCTTTGAAACTCATTCTATGACGCCAGCATAACCCTGATACCAAAACCAGATGGCAGCAAAACAAAATGAAAAAAAACTATAGGCCAGTATCCTTGATTAACACAGACATAAAAGTCCTCAACACAATACTAGCAAATTTAACCAAGCAGCACATTAAAAAGATTATTCATCATGATCAAATGGGATTTAACATTTACAGCACATTTGATGCAAGAATGGTTCAACATATGCAAATCAATAAACATGATACATTACATCAACAGAATGAAGGACAAAAATCATATGATCATCTCAATAGACACAGAAAAAGCATTTTATAAAATACAAAATCCCTTCATGATAAAAATCCTCAACAAACTAGGTATAGAAGAGCCACACCTCAACACAATTAAGGTCATATGTGACAATCCCACAGATACTATTATACTGAAAATTATATTGAACTAACATTATACTGAAAAGCTTTCACCTTTTCCCCTAAGAACTGGAAGAAGACAAAGATATTTACTCTCACCACCGTTATTCAGCACAGTTCTGGAATTCCTAGACAGAGCAATTAGGCAAGAGAAAGAAATAAAGGGCATTCAAATTGGAAAAGGGCAAGTCAGTTGTCCCTGTTTACAGATGACATGATCTTATATATAAAAAACCCTAAAAGGTTCACCAAAAAACTCTTAGAATAAGCGGATTCAGTAAACTTGCAGAATATGAAATCAACATACAAAAATCTGTCATGTTTTTATGTACCAACAGTGAACTAACAGAAAAAGAAATCCAGAAAGCAATCCCATTTATAATAGTTACAAAAAATAATAAAATACCTAGGAATAAAGTTAACCAAGAAGATGAATGATCTCTACAAAGGAAACTATAAAATACGGATAACAGAAATTAGAGAGGTCACTGAAAAATGGAAAAACATCTATATTCATAAATTGGAAGAATTAATATTGAGAAAATGATCATACTACCAAAAGCAATCAACAGAGGCAATGCAATGCCTATCAAAATACCAATGACATCCTTGAAGAAATAGAAAAAACAATGTTAAAATTCACAGGGAGCCACAGACGACCCCAAATAGCCAAGGTAATACAGAGCAAAAATAACAAAACTGGAGGCATCACACTACTGAACTTTCAAATATACTACAAAGCTATAGTAACCAAAGCAGCATTGTGCTGGCATAAAAACAAACACATAGACCAATGAAACAGAATAGAGAACGCAGAGATAAATCCATGTAGTTAAGACCAACTGATTTTTGACTGGGCACGGTGGCTCACGCCTGTAATCTCAGCACTTTGGAAGGCCTAGGCAGGCAGATCACTTGAGGTCAGGAGTTCAAGACCAGCCTGGCTAACATGGCAAAACTCTGTCTCTACTAAAAATACAAAAATTAGCCAAACATGGTGGTACACACCTGTAGTCCCACTAATTGGGAGGCTGAGGCAGGAGAATCACTTGAACCCAGGTGGCAGATGTTACAGTGAGCCGAGATCACACCACTGCACTCCAGCCTGGTGACAGAGTGAGACTCCATCTCAAAAAATGAAAAAATAAGTAAATAAATAAAACCAACTGATTTTCAACAAAGGTGTCAAGAACATTCAGTGGGAAAAGGACTGTCTGTTCAACAAATGGTGCCGAGAAAACTGTATATCCATTGGCAGAAAAATGAAAATAGATCCCTATCTCTCACCATACACAAAAATTAAATCAAAATGGATTAAAGACTTAAATGCAAGACCTGAAACTATAAAATTGCCACAAGAAAATATTGGGGAAACACTTCAGGACATTGGTCTGGGAAACATTTGTTGGATAAGACCTCAAAAGCACAAGCAACAAAAGTAAAAATAGACAAATGGGTATTGACTGGGCGCAGTGGCTTAGGCCTGTAATCCCAGCACTTTGGGAAGCTGAGGCAGGGAGATCAATTGAGGTCAGGAGTTTGAGACCAGCCTGGTCAGCATGGTGAAACTTCATCTCTACTAAAAATAAAAATAAAAAAATTAGCGGGGCATAGTGGTACATGCCTGTAATCCCAGATACTTGGGAGGCTGAGGCAGGAGAATCACTTGAACCTGGGAGGCGGAGGTTGCAGTGAGCCGAGATCATGCCATTGCACTCCAGCCTGGGCAATGGAATTTTTTCTGTCTCAAAAAAAAAAAAAAGAAAGAAAGAAAAGAAAGAAAGAAAAAAATAGACAAATGGGATCACTCAAACTAAAATGCTTCTGCACAGCAAAGGAAACAATCTACAGAGTGAGTAAACAGAATGGGAGGAAATATTTGCAAACTACCCATCCAACATGGGATAAACAACCAGAAAGTGTAAGAAACTCAAACAACTCAACTGCAAAAAAAAAAAAAAAAAAAAAACAAGAGTCTGATTAAAAAGTGGGCAAATGATCTGAATAGACATTTCTCAAAGAAGACATATACATGGTCAACAGGCATATGAAAAAAGTGCTCAGTATCACTCATCATCAGGGAAACGCAAAAAAACCCACAGTGGGGTATCATCATCTCATCCCAGTTAAAATGGCTATCAAAAAGATAAAAAAAAAACAGATGCTAGCAAGGATGTGGAGAAAGAGGAATGCTAGTATACTACTGGTGGGAATGTAAATTAGTAAGAACACTGTCGAAAATAGTATGGAGATTCCTCAAAAAACTAAAATAATAAATCTACCACAATCTTCAGCTATCCCACTGCTGGATATACACTCAAAAGAAAAGAAATCAGAATATTGAGGAGGTATCTTCAGGCTTATGTTTATTGTAGCACTATTCACAATAGCCAAGATATGGAATCAACCTATGTGTCCATCAACAGATAAATGGATAAAGAAAATGTGGTACATATGATGGAATACTATTCAGCTGTAAATAAGAATGAAATTGTGTCATTAGCAGCAACATGGAAGGAACTGGAAATCATATGTTAAGGAAAATTAGCCAGACAGAAGAAGACAAATCTCATATGTTCTCACTCATATGTGGGAGCTAAAAACATTGATATCATGGAGGTAAAAAGTAAAATGATGGGTACCAGAGACTGGGAAGGGTAAAGAGGCAACGAGGAGAGGTTAGTTAATGGGTACAAAAATACAGTTAGCTACTCGGGAGGCTGAGGCAGGAGAATGGCGTGAACCCGGGAGGCGGAGCTTGCAGTGAGCCGAAATAGCGCCACTGCAGTCCGGCCTGGGAGCCTGGGCGAAAGAGCGAGACTCTGTCTCAAAAAAAAAAAAAAAAAAAAAAAATACAGTTAGGTGGAGTAAGTCCTACCATTCAATAGCTCAGTAGGGTGATGGTAGTTAGTTAATGATAAATGATTATGTATTTCCAAATAGCAGAAGAGAAAATTTAAACTGTTACCAACACAAAGAAATGATAAATGTTTGAGGTGATGGATATCTTAATTACCCTGTTTTGATTATTACACATTGTGTGTGTACCAAAATATCACATGTACCCCATAAAAATATGCAAGTTATTATGTATTAATAAAAAAGCTGAGTAGCCCGTCTGATCGATTAAAATGGAAGTTTTTTACCTGCAAATATGAAGAAGGATTTTTTTAAAACATTGTATAGTATCTGAATAGTTCTCTTTGATGGTACCTTATCTGGAATTTAATCACAGTGTTTATTGATGTTTCCATAAATATATCTGTATTGAAGCACAGTTTATTTTCTGAACCACAGAGCTCTAATTTCACCCACCCCAGAGAATACTCATCATTTTCATCCAATTCCTTGACTTCATAGGAGGTCTTCCTTCCTCTTCAATGTGAGAAATGAACCATTTTCCATCACTTAAGCTCACAGTGGCTGCTATAGTAGAAGTCCTTTGCACAAGAGAGAACGATTCATTAGGCACTCAGCAATACCACACTAAGTACCATGAGGAGAAATTAAGGACCTAGATAAAGACCCTGCCATTGAGGGATATCCATTTTTAGATGCGAATAGTCAGCAACTTTGAAGAAACTGCTGTTAGTGCTCCCTAATCTTCCCAGTCTATAAACGTCTTTTCTCTGTTTGCTTTTTCTTTCCCTTTCCTGCTTTACTGGCCTTAGGCCTGACATTAACACTCCCAGGTACTCAAATTCCCAGAGTGATACCAAACTTTTCTCTTGCTTCTTCCTTCAACTTCTACGGCTACCAGCTCCAAGGTCAGAGTCCCAGCACCCCCACCCTGCTAGTGAGAAATTCTTCTGTAAAGTACTTAACTTCTCTGCACTACAACTTCTATTAATGGAAGTCACATCTGCCTGTTACAGAAAATCAGATCTGGAAAAATCTGGAACAATCTTACAAAAGTTCACTATATCAGATAATGAATATAAAAATATGCTACCACCATAAAGTGCTACACAAATCTTATCATGATGACATTTATAATTTTTTCAGTGAAAAGATAAGAAGTAAGCCTATGATGCCACCTGGACCAAAATAGCTCATTTGACCTTCATTTATAACTCTGCCCAAATTTTAAGAATATATATGATGGATAGGTGAGAGTGGATAAGGTGAGTGGGTGGGACTGGTGCAGAGGGGATTAAAGATGGGGGAAGGGTAAATTCAGTGACAAAAGACAGGGATTTCCACATAATCTCTTTGGGAAGCGCCGCTCCCATTGGCTCTAAGGACTATAGTAATAACAGTGTTGATACTATACAGGTAGTATTTATTAAGCGATTTGCTGTGTACCAGGCACTCTTTTAAGAGTTTTATATGTATTCACTTTCTATCCTCCCAACAAAACTATGAGAAAGGAACTGTTATTACTCTCATTTTACAGAGAGGGAGACTGAGGCACTTGAGGTTCCATAACTCAGCATCTGAGACTGGAGCCCATAATTTTGACCAGCATGCTCTATTGCCTTTCATTACAGTACTGTGCACTTAAGCACATGGACTTATAGCCCCAAACTGCTAGGGATGAAGTCTGTGCACCATTTACAATTGCCCTCAGATTAATGAGAGAGTAAGTATCAGGTGCATGGTAAGTACACAGTAGGTGTTAGCTAGCAACACATTGGCTCAATTTGTTTTTGTTTGCTCCTCAAACAATGAACTGGCTTTTTTGATTGTCTCAAAGCAAAGCCATTTTTGAAGGTAACATATTTAAAATAAAATGCCAAGTGGAAACTCACACAGATGCACAGTGAACCAGCTGAACTAAGATCATTAAATGTGTTAGACTCAGACCCTCCCAAGCTTTACAGTGGAATGGGGCAGCATTCACTTGCCATTTGTGCAATGCTAAGACGATCCAATGTGAATAGAATTAATTGAATTTTTTGTCCCCAAATCAATCCATACAGGGTAAAGCAGACACAGCCTAAGGTCTGCCTCTCTAAACAGATAAGGTGAATGAGGGAGCAAGGCAATTTGAGATAATTTTAATGTAACTAGTCCAGCTGAATAATTTAAGCTAAAGCTCCCTGTTTAGCCTTAATGAAGGTTTTTAAAAATGAAATAATTTGGATAATTGTCCCAGATTTCCATTTCACTTTGCGTCTATCGACAAAGCTTAAACTTGCAATTGAGAAACTTGTTTTTAAAAAGGACTGGAACTTAGCTATCTGTTTAGATAGAAGGGAAAATCTTCTGCAGCCTATACTTATCTGATCAGGACCATCCTTAGGTAGTCTTCTTTCACGAGTCCTCTGTCAGTACTTCCCCTCTAGTCTCTCTTCTGATAGAAAAGATACGATCAATTATTTCATAATAGGGTGTGAGTTACACAGTATGTTATACCTCCCTGGAGTATTTGCAATTCAGAAAAGAGCCACTATATGAGGAAAAAGCTCAACAGAAAGCAATGAATCATTATCAGTGGCATTTCAACTATCCACAGTAGGGCTATATCTTTGAGCAGGGAAACTTCCCAGCTTCCTGTCAAATCCACAGGCATCTATTTACACTCTATCCATCGGAAACACTTCACAATTACTGGCATTTTAAGAGTCTGAAATAGTCCATCATGATATTATAAAAAACAAAGCAATACAAACCTTCATTAATGGAAAATAACAGACAATATAATTATGTATTCAATATACCAAAAAGCTATGAAATAACAAAAAGCATTTTCCCACTAGAAATGTAGATGTCTCCTATGCCTTAATACAGTATGGAAGCTACAGGAGATATTATTTTCAAACATAATGACACATATGCATTTTAAAAGCCCTACAGGTAAGTCTGACCATGATATTTGGCACCAGACATATAATTTTTTTAGATATGAGACAGGGAAGTGTAGACAAGCACAATTGTCACACAGCAGAGGCACTGACTCATTAAATAATACATGTTTTCAGAGGAAGTTAAAGAGAGTATGTGTGAGGTAGCTGTGTCTCTGCATGAACATAACATGTATGCATTTGCACACACAAAAAAGAAAAACACTTTCAACTAAGCTGTAGAGACATGATGCAATGTTTTAAATTTTTACCAGTTTTTCTTAATCACTATTCAACACCATGATGATCTTTGCAAAAATTGTTTTAATGTGCCCAGACACGTCTTTGTATAGTCATATCTTAAATCCAGAATTCAGAACAATTGCATTATGTAAGGATTTTGACCACTCTCATCATTAGAACTACTGCCTTCAATAGCAAAATTACATTGTGTATGTATTATTGGACATAGTACAATACTATATAGTATTTCAGTTCATGAAATACTATGTGTAAGAATATTATTTTAATTGTGAAAAAATACACATGATGTAAAATTTACCATCTTAGCCCTTTTAAGTGTACTGGTCAGTATTAAGTATATTCCCATTGTTGTGCAATCAATCCTCAGAACTTTTCATCTTGCAAAACTGAAACTCTGTAGCCATTAAACAACAACCCCTGATTTTTCCCTCCCTACAATGCCTGAAAACAACCAATCGATTTTCTGTTTCCATGAATTTGATTACTCTGGATACTTCATACAAGTGGAATTATACAGTATTTTTCTGTTTGTGACAGGCTTATGTCACTTAGCCTAATGTCCTCAAGGTTCATCTATGCTATAGTATGTGTCAGAATTCCTTCCATTTTCAGGCTGAATAGTAGTCCATTGTATGCATATGCTACATTTTGTTTATCCTTTCATCCATCAGTGAATACTTGAGTTGCTTTCACTTTTTGGCTATTGTGAATAATGCTGCTATGAATATGGTGTACAGATATCTCTTTGAGACCCTGCTCTTAATTCTTTTGGATATATACTCAGAGGTGAAATTGCTGGATCATATGGGGATTCTATTTTTCATATTTTGAGGAACTGCCATACTTTTTTCATACCAGCTGCATCATTTTACATTCCCACCAACAGTGCACCAGGCTTCCAATTTGTCCACACCCTCACCAAAACTTGTAATTTTCTATTAACAAGTGTTGATAGTAGCCATCTTGATGGGTATGAGGAAGAATAATTTTTAAAACACTTTTTTCTAAAGTCAAAGTCAAAGATTATTCTCTGATTGCACTCAGTGCTGTGTTTTGTTGTTTAAGAAAGTATTTGGGTTGGGTGCAATGGCTCACGCCTGTAATGCCAGCACTTTGGGAGGCTGAGGCAGGTGGATGACCTGAGGTCAGGAGTTCGAGACTAGCCTGGCCAACATGGTGAAACCCTGTCTCTATTAAAAATAAAAAAATTAGATAGGCATGGTGGTGTACACCTGTAATCCCAGCTACTCAAGAGGCTGAGGCAGGAGAATCACTTTAACCAGGGAGGCAGAAGTTGCAGTGACCCGAGATTGCACCACTGCACTCCAGCCTGGGCAACAAGAGCGAAACTCCATCTCAAAAAACAAAAAAAGTATTTGGAAGCAGACATACACGGATTTAAATTACAACTCCACTATGTTCTAGTTTTTTCTCCAGTGACATAGGAATATTTATGCTTTCCTTAAAAATTATTCTAAATACTAAGATAATGTAAATAAAACACTTGGCACAGCAGCTAGCATATTGTAAGTGCTCAAAAAATGGTAGTTGCACTGATATTGAAATAAGAAGACTTATGATACCTACTCATAAGAAACTTATCATCTTGTTGAGAAGAGACAACTAACTTACATGAAACATCTAAATAATGAAAGTGAACTCTGGGCCATTCAGAATGTGTTGGCGACATTCCATAAGACAGAAATCAACCTATAGAGTTCAAAGCACTTAATGTTCATGAAACTCTTGGAGAGGATGAAGGAAAAAAAGCTTCTTCCATCCGCTCCTCCTTCATCTCCATGATTTTTTTACCTCTAGGTTCACTCCCCCATCAAGAGAGATCCAAGGTGACTTTGTCATTCACTCATTGTACCTCCATATAAAGAGTCAAACAGGGAGTGAGTGGGTGGCAACTCCAGTTGGCAGGACCTGGAGACACAGATATGGCATTAAGGAAGGAAACCTGAGATGACAGAGAAGTTTTAAGGAGTTAGGCAGAAGGCAATAAGTAAAGGTCTAGGAGAAGAGGTGCTTAGGTCTGCTATCAAGTATCAAGTTTTCAGCCACAAGAGTTAGGAGACCAGGGATAAGACTCTAGAAATTATATGTATTCTACAGCAACTGCTATATCAGGCAAATTATCAAGGTAGGCCCAGAACTATGTTTTGAATACTTTCTCCAAAACTCATATTGACATTTAATTGCCATTGTAACAGTATTAAAAAGTGAGATATTTAAGTAGGTCATGAGGGCTCTGCCTTCATGAATAGACCAATGCCATTATCTCTGGAGTAGTTACTGAGATCATGCATTCTTGAGCAAAAGGATGAGTTCAGTCCTATTTTTTCTGTCTGTCCTTCATGATCACTTGCCTTTCCACCATATTATGGTACAACACAGAATCCCTCGCGAGATGCCAGCATCATGCTCTTAGGCTTCCCAGCCTCCAGAACTGTGAGCCAAATAAATTTCTATTCATTACAAAAACCACCCAGTCTGTGGAATTCTGTTATAGAAGCAGAAAACAGACTATGACAGAAAATTGGTACCAGAGAAGGGTTGTTGCTGTAACAAATATCAAAATTCTAGAAGAGGCTTTGGAACTGGTAGATGGCTGGAGAATGGAAGAATTTGGAGGCACAGGCTAGAAAAAGCTTTGACTGCTATGAGTGGAGCATTAAGGGCTTGGAAGAAGAGAAGCACTGTAGAGAAAGTCTGAAACTTCTTAGAGATTACTTTAGTGGTCATAATCAGAATGTTGATAGAAATATAGAAGGCAAAGTTCATTGGATCAAGTCTAAGATGGAAATAAAAAACACGGTACTGGAGTGAGGGCCATCCTTGTTATACAGTTGCAAAGAACTTGACAGAGCTGTATTTGTGTCCTAGGACTTTATGGATTGCAGAACTTAAGAGTGATAAACTAGGATATCTGATGGAAGAAATATCTAAGAAACAAAGCATTTAATCTGCAGCATAGTTACTTTTAACCACATACAATGAGATGTGAGGGCAAAGAGATGCCCTAAAGACAGAATTTACGATTAAAAGAGAAGCAGAACTGGCGTTTTAGACATGAAGTCCTTGCCCATGCCTATGTCCTGAATGGTAATGCCTAGGTTTTCTTCTAGGGTTTTTATGGTTTTAGGTCTAACGTTTAAGTCTTTAATCCATCTTGAATTGATTTTTGTATAAGGTGTAAAGAAGGGATCCAGTTTCAGCTTTCTACATATGGCTAGCCAGTTTTCCCAGCACCATTTATTAAATAGGGAATCCTTTCCCCATTGCTTGTTTTTCTCAGGTTTGTCAAAGATCAGATAGCTGTAGATATGCGGCATTATTTCTGAGGGCTCTGTTCTGTTCCATTGATCTATATCTCTGTTTTGGTACCAGTACCATGCTGTTTTGGTTACTGTAACCTTATAGTATAGTTTGAAATCAGGTAGTGTGATGCCTCCAGCTTTGTTCTTTCAGCTTAGGATTGACTTGGCGATGCAGGCTCTTTTTTGGTTCCATATGAACTTTAAAGTAGTTTTTTCCAATTCTGTGAAGAAAGGCTTTGGTAGCTTGATAGGGATGGCATTGAATCTATAAATTACCTTGGGCAGTATGGCCATTTTCACGATATTGATTCTTCCGACCCATGAGCATGGAATGTCCTTCCATTTGTCTGTATCCTCTTTTATTTCATTGAGCAGTGGTTTGTAGTTCTCCTTGAAGAGGTCCTTCACATCCCTTGTAAGTTGGATTCCTAGGTATTTTATTCTCTTTGAAGCAATTGTGAATGGGAGTTCACTCATGATTTGGCTCTCTGTTTGTCTGTTATTGGTGTATAAGAATGCTTGTGATTTTTGTACATTGATTTTGTATCCTGAGACTTTGCTGAAGTTGCTTATCAGCTTAAGGAGATTTTGGGCTGAGACGATGGGGTTTTCTAGATATACAATCATGTCGTCTGCAAACAGGGACAATTTGACTTCCTCTTTTCCTAACTGACTACCTTTTATTTCCTTCTCCTGCCTAATTGCCCTGGCCAGAACTTCCAACACTATGTTGAATAGGAGTGGTGAGAGAGGGCATCCCTGTCTTGTGCCAGTTTTCAAAGGGAATGCTTCCAGTTTTTGTCCATTCAGTATGATATTGACTGTGGGTTTGTCATAGATAGCTCTTATTATTTTGAGATACGTCCCATCAATACCTAATTTATTGAGAGTTTTTAGCATGAAGGGTTGTTGAATTTTGTCAAAGGCCTTTTCTGCATCTATTGAAATAATCATGTGGTTTTTGTCTTTGGCTCTGTTTATATGCTGGATTACATTTATTGATTTGTGTATATTGAACCAGCCTTGCATCCCAGGGATGAAGCCCACTTGATCATGGTGGATAAGTGGATAAGCTTTTTGATGTGCTGCTGGATTCGGTTTGCCAGTATTTTATTGAGGATTTTTGCATCAATGTTCATCAAGGATATTGGTCTAAAATTCTCTTTTTTGGTTGTGTCTCTGCCTGGCTTTGGTATCAGAATGATGCTGGCCTCATAAAATGAGTTAGGGAGGATTCCTTCTTTTTCTATTGATTGGAATAGTTTCAGAAGGAATGGTACCAGTTCCTCCTTGTACCTCTGGTAGACTTTGGCTGTGAATCCAAAAGCAATGGCAACAAAAGCCAAAATTGACAAATGGGATCTAATTAAACTAAGGAGCTTCTGCACAGCAAAAGAAATCACCATCAGAGTGAACAGGCAACCTACAAAATGGGAGAAAATTTTCGCAACCTACTCATCTGACAAAGGGCTAATATCCAGAATCTACAATGAACTCAAACAAATTTACAAGAAAAAAACAAACAACCCCATCAAAAAGTGGGCGAAGGACATGAACAGACACTTCTCAGAAGACATTTATGCAGCCAAAAGACACATGAAAAAATGCTCATCATCACTGGCCATCAGAGAAATGCAAATCAAAACCACAATGAGATACCATCTCACACCAGTTAGAATGGCGATCATTAAAAAGTCAGGAAACAACAGGTGCTGGAGAGGATGTGGAGAAATAGGAACACTTTTACACTGTTGGTGGGACTGTAAACTAGTTCAACCATTGTGGAAGTCAGTGTGGCGATTCCTCAGGGATCTAGAACTAGAAATACCATTTGACCCAGCCATCCCATTACTGGGTATATACCCAAAGGACTATAAATCATGCAGCTATAAAGACACATGCACATGTATGTTTATTGTGGCACTATTCACAATAGCAAAGACTTGGAACCAACCCAAATGTCCAACAATGATAGACTGGATTAAGAAAATGTGGCACATATACACCATGGAATACTATGCAGCCATAAAAAATGATGAGTTCATGTCCTTTGTAGGGACATGGATGAAATTGGAAATCATCATTCTCAGTAAACTACAGCAAGGACAAAAAACCAAACACCGCATGTTCTCACTCTTAGATGGGAATTGAACAATGAGAACACATGGACACAGGAAGGGGAACATCACACTCTGGGGACTGTTGTGGGGTGGGGGGAGGGGGGAGGGATAGCATTAGGAGATATACCTAATGCTAAATGACGAGTTAATGGGTGCAGCACACCAGCATGGCACATGTATACATATGTAACTAACCTGCACATTGTGCACATGTACCCTAAAACTTAAAGTATAATAATAAAAAAAAGAAAAAAAAGAAAGACAAAAAATAAATAAATAAATAAATAAATAAAAGAGAAGCATAATTGAAAGATTTGGAAAATTTCATCCTGGCCATGTAAAGAATGAAAGAGTATGTTCAGGAGAGAATACCAAGGACTCAGCCAAATGACAGTTTGCTAAAGGGATTCACATGAATAGAAGGGATTCAGGTGCTGTTCATTAAAACAATGGGAGAGAGATTCTGAAAGCATTTTAGAGATCTTCAAGGCTGCCCAGGGCTGCCTCAGGTCTCTGCTCCCTGTATTCTGGTGTAGTGCCCCTCAACTACCTCAGCCATGGCTTAAACAGACTCAGGTGAAGCTCAGCCCACTGCTCCAGAAGGTGCAAGCAGCAAGCCTTGGCAGCATCTGCATGGTATGAAGTCTGTAGGCTCACAGAATATGAAAGCTGTGGGGGCCATACCTACCTTTACCTAGATTTCAAAGGATGCCATGTACCATCAGGGAACCCAGGCAGAGGCTTGTCACAGGAGCGGAGCCACCTCATAGAGTCCCCACTAGGGCAATGATTAATGGAGCTGTGGGAGAAAGGTCACCTCAGAGACCCCAGAACTCTAGGGCCAGCAGCATGCAACATTAGCGTAGAAAAGCTACAGACACAAGATTCCAACCCATGACAGCTACTGGGTGGACTAAGCCCAACAAGGCATAAGGGGCAGTGCTGCCTGAGGCCTTGGAAGCCCAGCCCCTACACTAATGTGTCCAAGATGTGAAACAGCCAACCAAGAATATCATCCAGCTTTAAGAGTTAATGTTGTTCATGCTGTCGGGTTTTGGACTTACTTGGGACCAGTTACCCCTTTTTGCATTCCTATTTCTCCCTTTTGGCATGGGAATGTCTATCCTATTCCAGTCCTATCATTGTATTTTCGAAGTAGATAATCTTATTGATTTCACAGGCTTACAGCTGGATGTATTTGCTTCAGGAAAATCATGCCTTCATTCGCACTCATATCTGATCTAGATAACTCTGGAATTTGGACTTCTGAGTTGATGTAGAACAAATTAAGACTTTGGGAGCTACTAGGATGAAATGAATGTACTTTGTATGTGAGAAGGACATGAATATTGGGAGGACTAGAGATGGAATACTATGGTTCGAATGTCCCCTCCAAAACTGATGTTGAATTTTAATTGCCATTGTAATAGTATTAAGAGATGAGACCTTTAAGAGGTGATTATGTCGTGATTGCTCTGCCCTCATGAATGGATAATGCTGTTATCATGTAAGTGGTTAGTTATTGTGGGAGCAGTATCCTGATGTAAAGGTTGAGCTTGGCCTGATTTCCTCTCCCTGTCTTATATGTTCACTTGCCCTTCCACCATGTTATGATGCAGCACAAAGGCTCATAAAGATGCCAGTGCCATGCCTTTGGACTTCCCAGGCTTCAGAATCATAAGTCAAAATATTTCTGTTCATTATAAATTACCCAGTCTGTGATATTCTGTTATAGCGCAGAAAATGAACTAAGACACCCAGAAAAACAACAATATCATTACTGGCATTGAGTACTGAAGCAAAACAATAGCCTATTAGTCCTCCACAAGTATAAGAGGTGAACTAGCAAGCAGAGCCTTTGGCTCTCTGGATTGTTCCTCTAAAAAACAAAAATAACCCTAACAAAAAAACAGCCTCAAAACAGCAGACAATGCAGTGGCTCCATCCAAAAGAATGGACTCCATAGCAACAGTGCTGTGGAGTCAAGGAATCAGAGTGCCTCAAGAACCCTGCCCTCTGCTAAAAATTGGAAATGACCTGGAACATAGACTGTAGGGTGAGCTTACACTCTAAACAATAACTATTTGTTGAATCAATAATTTGTGGCTATGAATCCTCTCTGGCATGATGTCTATCACCTCCCACCACAATCAGATTATTCATTCATTTCTTCCACCAACATTCACTGAACACATTCTACATACTAGTCCCTGTATGTGCTGTAAGTGCTACGAGTAAAGAAATGAATAAGCCACAGTCCTGAATGGCTCTCAAAATGCTCCTGATCTAATGGGCCATGAAAATCTCTTGACAACCACGATTCTTTATATCAGACACTGTTCTCCATGGATTATTTCAGCTTTCTACCAATGTTACACCATGAAACTAGAAAACAAGGGGAACATAATTCATATCCATATGATTTCATATCCATGATTTCATATCCATATGAATTCACACATTGTACCCATACACAGGGTAGAAAGGAAAAATGGGAATTGCTTCATTAGTTTTCAGAACATTCTCCAACCACTTAGGTTTTGGTCAAATAGATAGACCGGCTCCTTTACTTACTAGCCATGAAACACTGGACAAGAATTATAAATCTCTGTGCTTCACTTCTCTCATCTTTAAAACAGGAATGATAATGGTATCTACCTCAATGGTAATATTATACATGGAACAAAATAGCCACTCCATAAAAGCTGATATTTTATAAACTTACATTGCTTTTAGCTTCATACTACAGTTATTAAAATTCTGAGCAGCGAAATTAACTTGGCCACAGTGGTTACTTTAACCAGTGGTGAAGATGAAAATAATACTCAAACCTTCTCCCTCTAAAATTCCTTCTAACATATGTTGCTGCTTCTCCTCACCACAAATCTGAAATATCAGAAATCTTTCTTCAGTATTACAAAGAAAAAAAAAAACTTTATATCTCAGTAATACACCACAGCTTAAAAATACATATCTCAATAATGTACCATAACATTAAATAAAATAATTATGCAGTATATTTTTAAAATAAAAGATGAAGGAAGGGATGAAGGGAGGAAAAGAAGAGATTGCAGTTATATTTGAGGTTAAAATACATTGTGTTTGGTACTTGGAAACTGGTCCAAGATCTTTGAAATGTGTAATTATCTATTATTCAGTAAATATTTATTGAGTACTTACTATGTCCCAGGCACTATTCTAGGTGCTGGAGATTCTACCATGAGCAAAGATAAAATCCTGACCTCATGCAACGTACAATAAATTAAGAGAAATTGGCAATAATCATATGATCGTGTAATATAATTTAGTAAATGGCAGGTAAAAGGAAAATAAAACAAGTTAAAGTGGCATATGAGGGGGATACTTCAGAGAGGGTGACCCCTCTAAGAAGGTAGTGTTTGAGACCAAAATGGAAGAGGAAGCAAGGTATGCAATTATCTGGGGAACTCCAACGGAAGAAACAGAGAATGTAGAGGTTCTAAGGGAAGAATGAGCTTAGAGTATTCAAAAATAACAAGAACACCAGTTTGGAAACTACAGAAAGAAATGACGAGAGATAAAAATCACAAAGGTAGGTAGACGCTAGATCACCTAGACCATAAAAGGAGGCTGGAATTTGTTATAAGTATGATAGACAGTCACTGGCTACTTCTTAACAGTCATGTGACATGATGTGACTTGTTAAAAGCTCGTCTTGAATGCTGTGTGGAAAATAAACTAGAAAGAGACAAGATTGGGAACTGAAGGTTATCTAATTCATCTAGATAAGTAATGATGTTAGGAGGACTGGGTTGGCATAGTGGAAGCAGCAGTAGCAAGAGAAAGGATAATAGCAGAGGTAGTAATTAGAATTGGTAGGTTTCAGGATATATTCTAAAGGTGGAGCTGGGTAGGCTTACTGGTGGAGCTGGGTAGGCTTACCGATGAATTGGCTATTGAGAGTGAGAAAAAGAGAAATTAAAGATGACTTCTATGTTTTATCTTGATCAGCTGCTGGAATGGCAGATCTCCTTAGTGAAATGGAAAGTACTTGGAGTGGAAGGGGGTTAATCAAGAGTTATACTTGAGACATATTAAATTTGAGATGCCTATTAGAAAACTAGGCGATGTTGAGCAGGCAGTTGACAAAAGTCTGGGCAAGAGGCCAGAATTGGAGTTGTAAGTTTGGAAAGCATCACCTCTTATATAGAAGAGGAGAAACTTATATAGAATAGGAGAAACTCATTTGATAATTAGGAGAAAAATAAAGAAAAAAAAAAGCTGGAGACAGAGCACTGGGACATTCCAGCATTTAGAGATCTATAAAAGAGGAAGACCCAGCCAAGAGACTGAGATCAACCAGTGTGGTAGCAACATCCAGAAGAAAACAAATGAGTAAAGGATTGTTCATAAAAAATAAAATACAAATGGCTCTTGGAAACGAAAAGATATTCAGCCTCCCTCAAATAAGAGAAAACAAAATTTAAACTTCATTGCGATACTATTGTTTACCCATCAGATTAACAAAATCACAAGTTTAATAACGCACTATATTGGTGAGGCTATAGGGAAACAGTCTCAGATATTGTGGTGGGAGGTGGTGTATAAATTGGCACATTCTCTTTCAAGAACAACTTGGCAATAGCAAAATTTCTGGTGTAAATATACTCTTTGACTAGGCAATTCTATTTCTCAAAATTCATCCTATAGTATATTTAGAGATATGCAAAATGACAAACAAGCTAGGACATAGATTCCCAAATTAAATTCAATAGCAAAAGATTAAACCAATTTGAATATATATCATCATAGAACTATTTAAATAAATTACACTTCATCTTGAAAATGAAATACTATTCAGTTATTAAAAAGAATGAGGTAGTTCTATAGGTACAATATGGAAGGCTCCTGAAGATATATGACTGAATTAAACAAGTCAAAGTTTATATCTTTAGTATGTTAATATCTTTAGTATGTTACCTATCTTTTATATAAGAAAACAAAGGAATAAAAAATATATCATTGTATATGCCTAGAATATCTCAAAGGATACACAATAATCTAGTTACAAGGTCACTTCTGGGCATGAGAACTGTGTGGGATAGAAGAGAAACTTATTCTCAGTTCATACCCTTTTGTATCTTTTGAATGTTATAGCATATACATGTACTACCTATTCAAAAAGTATTTTTGAAAATTTAAAGAAGGAGAGCTCCAAGAGGTCAAGTGAAATAAGGACTGAAAATTGACCATCGTTAAGGCAAGATGGAGGTTCTTGGTGGCCTTGGTAAGAGTGAGTTCACTGGAGTGGTAAGCATGAAAACGTGATTGGATTTTCAGGAGAGAATGGGAGGTAAGTGGCAATAGTGAATGTAGAGTTCTATACAGGAAAGAATACTGCACTTTATTTTAACTTCTGATTCAACCATTTCTTACCCTTTCAACCTGGACAATTCACTTAATTTCTGTGAGCCCCAGTTACATCACAAGTAAGATGAAGAAAGCCATGTTTGCCCTCCCTACTGTAGAGCATCCTTGTTGAGCTCAAATGAGAGAGTGTCTTTTAATTGGTAAGCTGCAAAACTCTGATAGGACATGTCATTATTGTTATTAATATACAAGCACTCTTGCGATACAGGAAAAAAACTCTCAAAATAAGTATTTTGGAGAGTTTGAGATTTTGTTTTTGCTGTACTGGTCCATTTTTCTAACATAACCTATATTATATTATAGGTGTCTCTATACTGTTGCTTTCTTAAATGCCTCTTTTTTCCCAAAGGGAAATATATTTTATTTCTGATTTTAAACTCACTGGTTTTAAAACCATAGCTTTAGCAAAAAGCTTTAAAAAACCTACTGGTTATCTTTTCCTTAACATTATTGTGATGATAAAGAAATACATAAAGTCAAAAATACAATATCACAACAGTCTCATTTCTCAGAGATAACCACTATTAACCAGTACATTTTAAAAATCTTTCCAGACATTTCTCTGTCACAGTCAGCAATGCAATCAATGTCCTTGTATGCATTTACTTTGGATTTAAACAAAAACAAGTTGACCTCTCCTGACAGTTCTTAATCCAAAACCGAAACTTAGTCACAGTGTCCCACCTCAAACATACATTACCCATCCAGATTTGACTTACAATAGGAAAAATCAAGAGCTTTTTTTTTTTCTGGCGTGAACAGAGTCCATGTAAAAGTGTGAATAGAAACAACCACTTTTGATATTAGTTCCTTCCTAAATGTTAAGTTTCTAGTTTGGGCAGAAGTTGTTGTAGCTAATTTTACCCTGCCAAATAATTCTTATCTTATTGGAAGCTGGGGTAATAATGTGGATGAATGCCTTGCAGAATAAAGAATGCAAAACTCACTCTGCTACTAACTTCTTTGACCAAGATAATTAGGAATCACCTAATTTAGCCCTGAACATTCAATAGTGAATAACATATTCTCATTTGAAATAATGATTTTAAGACATAATAAATATTCTTTTTAATCAAATTAATCTTTGTTTGCTTAAGCAGACCCATCTCAAGGGCAGGCACAAGAACAGAATTTGCTCATACATTATACAATCCACCTCTGTCTACAACTGTGAATTTGCAAGTTGCAGAAACTTAGCATGCACTGCAGGGATAAGTATACTTCTTACTTTCTAACTGTAATGTCAGTACTTGCAACATCACCAAATCAATGGGAAAATAGCGGAATTTGGCCATATGAAAAAAGTATTTTTTAATTGGTTGTTGGCTGCTCATCTCTCATAACAAAATCCCACCTACTATGTGACTTAAACAACAGAAACATGTTCTCTCACAGCTATGGAGGCTAGAAGTCCAAGATCAGGGTGGCAGCATGGTCAGTTTTTGGCAAGGGGTCTCTTCCCAATTTACAGATCGCTGCCTTCTTGCTGTGTTCTCACATGATGGAGAGAGGACCAGCAAGTTTTCTGGTGTCTCTTCTTATAAGGAGCTGTAGTCCTATCATGAGGGCCCTATCCTCATGACCTCATATAACCCTAAATACTTTTGTAGGAGTCCTATCTGCAAATACCATCACACTGAGAATTTGGGGCTTTGACATCTGAGTTTTGGGGAAACACAAACATTCAGTCCATACCATTAGTCCTTTCTATGGTGATTTTATAATTAAAAGAACTATAAAAAGAATGAAAAGTAGTGAAAAATGTCCTGGATTAGAAGTCAACAGATTTGAGTTGTATCACAACTCCTTGTGTCCTTGAGCTAGACATTAAATATCTCTCAGTTTCTCTCATTTGTTAAAATGAAACAGGTACACAAGAGACTCACCACCAAAGCTAATACTGCATTTATTCAAAGCAAAAGAAATGTTATAGAACTTAATTTTTCTAACACTGGCTAAAATTAATTTCTCTCCAGCTGTGAAAAGGCAATTGAATTATAACCTCCTTTTCTCTTTCAACAATTATCTTTTCCAAACAAAAATCTAGTTTTGTTGCTAGAAATAAATCCCAATATCTATAGGAGAGACAGTTTAACATTGCAAAACCATGTATAATGTATACCACATGACTGATGAAGAATTAACAAAGAGACATTGGGAACAATCCACTGGAGAAAAAGTTTAAATTATTTCAAATTTCTTATTAATTTTCTTTCATCATCTCACCTTCATCTCTGAATTCATTCCTTCATACTATAATGTTATCAGGACCAGATTTAACAAAATTAGTTAATAATCTTTCCACTTTCATAGTGATACATAATTGCCTAAGCTTCATTTTATGAGGGTAATATGTAGGTTACATGACTGTCACAAAATACTTTTAGATACCATGAAATTTAGATAGCAAGTATTTGGGGATTTTGTTATTCACAGGATTCAGACACCTCACAAACTCTAAGAATAAAAACAAGAACTCAAAAGTTACTCAATAACTATTTATTGAGAGTTTAACAGTGGCATGTACTCAATCAATGCTTAAATTTTCTGAATTAGAAGTAGGCATAGAAAATATTCCACAGTGACACTAGGAAGCCATAAAAATGATTTCTACACAACACGGGATCATTCTAGGTGGAATCCAACCAGTGGCTGTTTCCTCATATCAAAAAGCCACAGAAATACTTCTAATGACTTTCAACCCCTCAATATAGAACAGATCAAAACCTCTCAGAGATTCTAAGCTGCAGCAATGCTTGCAAAGCACAATCCCACTCCAGGAACCAAAATGGGGAAAAGGATTTTACAGAGTATAGGGGAAGCACAAGAATCCTTATATTTGATGAAATTATAGAGTTGAAACAAATTACATTTGATGCAATTAGCTAAAAAATGGTTTATAAAGTGCTACTTAGAGATTGTCTTGTGTGATTGTAAATGTAGCAACCAAATATCCTCTTCTAGTCATAACCCAGACTCTGAGGCAATGCATGTTCATTCTGAGACGGGTAGAAGTAGGACATGCAGACTGTAGGACCCGGGAAAGGAGCCACGCAAAGGGACCAACACTAGGTCGGAGGCATTTCTCTGATTCACACTCACCTAAGGTTTCATCAATTTCCTCATGTGAAGGGAATGAATGTTGCTGTCAGAATCATGTTCAATATCCATTGTAGTTTGTTGGATATATGTTCATGTTCAACTTAATTTGAATTATAATAGTACTAATTTTATAGCATGGTTTCAGTGATTAATTACACACATTTCCTTCATACCTTCTTAAAGAATGTTAACTGGGCTAAGTGGTTCCCAAGTCCCCAGCTAACTGCAGTCAAGATTCAGTTGCCCAAAGTGAATGAGCTAAGTGAGCATTACTCCTAGCAGAGGGCGTCTGAACAAGTCTTATTCCTACCTGGCTGTATATAGAGTACACCAGCCTTTAACTAGGTAATAAATGGACGACTACTCTAGAAACTTATTACATAGTTGAGAAGGCAAAAACTAATATACATACACGCACAAATGTAGCAAACGAGGGTCTAAGTGTAAGACACTATGCTACGCATAATATAAAGATGAACGAGACAGGCATGGTCTTGAATTCAAAATGATCATAATCTTGTAAGTAGTAGAGGACATAATAATAACAATGAAATAATAATTTAAAATATATAGGGCTCACATAATGTGGCAAGGACTACACCAAGAGACCCATAGCACATTCTGTTTTATCCTTTTATTAATACTTACGGGGTAGGTATAATTATTCTCAACTTACAGGAGAACAAACTAAGTTCACAGAGTTTAAGTAAGCAGTTCAAGTTTATAAAGCTACTTAGTAGGACTTGTCTGTTTGACTCCAAAGAGCATTAGCTCCTTTCTGTGACATCATATTTCCACATATAGGCAGATCACTGTGATATGGCAAACACTACAAAAACAGACCAAAAAACTGAAGGACTTTTACAGCACTCATTTCCAGCCAGAGGAAACTAGAAACGTTTGGTGGAAGAGGTGTCCTTTGAGCTGGCCCTTGAGGACTCTAATAGGGGATGAATAACTGTAGAAAGCTGGATTATTCCAGGAGGCAGAAGGCACGGGGGCAAAAACATAGAGGTAGGAGAGCCTACGTTTTGCAAAGGAAGAATGATCAGTAATCTATTTTGGTGACAGCCTAGAAAAAATATGGTGGAGTGGTGGGAAAAATGGGTTGGAATTAGGTTGGAACCAAATGGTAACACACAGGTCTGGAATGTGACTTTAAGAAGTTTAGAATATTTGATAGGTACCATTGACCTACTGAAAAGCGTTTGAGGAAGAAGGGCTTAATCAAAACCATGCTTTAGTGTGAACAAACAAACAATAATCAGGGATATGTGACAACAAATATTTGATAAAATCTAATGTCAGGAAATATTCTTGTTGTAACATAAGGAGAAAACTAGTAGGCTGTTGAAGTTTGATCCCCTGGAAGAAATAATAAGAAAAATAAAATAATAAATTATAATAATAGCCAACCTTTGTTAAACTCATATTATGCACCAGGCTCTGTCTCCAAGTTCCTTATAATAACAATCGAGTATTCACTCTGTGAGTCCAGGTTTGCTGCAAAGGAGGTTGTAAGTCAGCAGTCCCCAATTTTTTTGGCACCAGGGACTGGTTTCGTGAAAAACAGGTTTTCCACAGACCAAGGATTCAAGTGCATTACATTTATTGTGCATTTTATTTCTATTATAATTACATTGTAATATATAATGAAATAATTATACAACTCACATAATGTAAAGTCAGCGGGAGCCCTGAGCTTGTTTTCCTGCAACTAAATGGTCCCATCTGGGGGTGACAGGAGACAGTGACAGATCATCAGACATTAGATTCTCATGAGGAGTGCACAACCTAGATCCCCCACATGCTCAGTTCACAATAGGGTTCACGCTTCTAAGAGAATATAGTGCTGCTACTGCTGATCTGACAGGAGGTTGAGCTCAGGCAGTAATGCATGTGATGGGGAGCAGCTGTAAATACAGATGAAGCTTTGTTTGCTCACCCACCACTCACCTCCTCCTGTGCGGCATAGTTAGTTCCTAACTGTCCATGGCCCAGGGGTTGGGGACCCCTGCTGTAAACTATTTAAATCAAGCTGTTAGAGATCAGAGAATTCATCTCTTTTCAAGTGATCAGGTCACTAGTGACATCAAATATAGTCTCTTCCTCCTGTTGAGTGGGCATGAATAAACACTGAAAAATACTCTCACCAACTTTTTCTTTCCTAAACTCCATAAGGACCATTTGTCACTAACATGCCTCCATTTCCAAGATTACAGTTTCTTTTACATTACTTATATTTTGTGGTGCTTGTTTCCCAGCACTTCTGTCCCTTCAGTAAACTCTCTTCTCCAAATCAGACTGTAGGATGGGTTATTTCTAGGAAAAGCTCCTCCAAATAAACTGATTCCACCCACTATGTATTCATTCTGATGTCTTGTTCCTGCAATTTAAAGCACTTTTGGAACCTGAAGCTCACAATTTATAATTGCTTCAACTTTCTCAATGTAAGGAGGGGCAGGGATTGCAAAACAAAAAGCAAGAGAAAGATTTTGCGACCATTATCATTCTTAACTAGCAAAGGAGAATTAGTCACCCATGTTCTCATTCACAAAACACTATCTGTAAGTAAGCTGTGTGCTTACAAGCTACATGAGTACAGAGTATGGGGGAATAAGCACAAGTTTGAGCCAAATTATTACATATCAGTTCTTTAATGATAGAAATTACTTAATTATTTTTATATTTCTGAATTGCCTAGCACAGTGAACTGCACACTCTAGACACTGAATAAATATCTGGTGAATAAATGAATAAATAAATGCTTTCTTAGCAAACTATAGATTAGTAAAGGGAGAGAAAGTAAAATTCAAATGTGAATAATTCATATATTTTAACAGTTTGGATTAACGTATCTCATGAAGAATGAGGATAATGGCTAAATTTGAGCAGAATGTTGGATTTTTGTGGAGATTTAATTATCTATTATTTAACATGACCAATGCAATAAATACCTTTAATAATAATATTCAATTATTTAATCTGACAACTCAGGCAGGTGTAGCCTCCAAAAAGATATGTCCAAGCCCAAATCCCTGAGACCTGTGAATATTGCCTTATTTGGAAAAGGGGACTTTGCAAACGTAATTAAGTGGAAGTTCTTAACTAAAGATTATCCTAGACTGCCTGGGTGGGCCCTGAATTCAATGACAAGTACCCTAAGAGACAGAAAAGCAGGATGCAACATGACAAGGGAGGCAGTGATTGGAGAGATGCCACCGAGAAATGCCAATGAATGCTAACAGCCACCAGATGCTGAAGGAGACACAACATGGATTCTCCCATAGAACCTCCAGAGGACGTAGAGCCTTACAGACACGTTAATTTTGGACTTCTGCCATGCAGAACTGTGAGAGAATACATTTTTGTCATTTTAAGCCACCCAGTTTGTGGAAATTTGTTACAGCATGCCTAAAAATCTAAGATAAATAAAGACCCCTTCTTTCCCCTAAAATCAACCTTGACTTCCATCTTTTGTTCACCAACAATCCCTCCAACAGCACTGCTTTTAAAACATACCCAGTATCCAACCACTTCTCACCACTTCCACTGCTCCCACTGATCCTAGCCACCATCCTGCATTAGCCTCTTAAAGAATCTCCTTGATCCCGCCCATCCCCACTACAATCTATTCTCAGCACCCAGGCTGCAACATTTAAACTTAAGTCATATCATGTAAAAACACTGCAAGCCCCCACTCCCCCGCATTACCTCCAGAGTAAAAGCAAAAATCCCCACATTGGCCTACACAGCCCCCAGTCACCTACTGATCTCATTTCCTACTACTCTCCCCAGGCATCGCTCTGCCCCAGACTTGGCCTCTAGTCCTCTTTGCTCCCCTCCTGCACTCCAGGCATGGTCCCACCTCAAGGCCTTTGCACTGGCAGTTTCCTCTGTTCTGTAAGTCGTTTCCTCAGGCAGGTACCTTCTTCTTCTAATGTCACCTTCTCAGTGATGTGTAAAAATGTATTGAATATGTAACAAAGAAAATATTTTTATAACTATCTTTATAATTTTGTTTACTTTATTCTGTTTTCTCTATTATTGTTCTTTTTTTAATCATATGACCTGGTCTTAGTGTTCCATGCATATTTTCTCAGCTTGTACAGAACTAGATTCCTCTATAATGTCCCATGTGTTAACTATGATTTGTTAATGACTTTGGATATTTGAGAAACATACAATAATGTCCAACATTTTCTGAAGTAGTACATCATGCCTTGACCATATAATTAATTATTTTTAATTTGTGACTTAAGTAAAATAGTCTTTGCTTTATGATCAGGGAGACAACTGTGTATCTCCTCTTTACTTCCAAAGTTACAAACCACTCTCAAAAGCACAAATAGTGATTAGTTAATGAATAATGTAAGAGAGTAGTGAGAATAACATAGAAATTTAGCTTCAAAAATGAGCAAATCTATCAAAGTAAAAGCTATTTCTCCAATATGGTCAGGATGGTAGCAGGTATATTATCACTACAGGAAGCAAATTTGACTGTCAAGTTGATGAGGAATAATTACGATTGTCAGGCAGAGAAATGATGAGATTGTGGGAAATTGAGCATTCCAAAATTCTCATGAAAGTGTTGACTTCATGTCATAGTCCCCAAACTCATTTTAATGCTATAAGATCCAACTCACTTTTCCAGAAGTTATTGTTGCCAGTTTTCATCCTGCCAATTGTGAGATGTTCCAATGTGATTTTTGTGTTTGTTTGTTTTGTTTGGGAATTCATTATCACATTGTCAGATTTCTAGGTCATTGCTTGGAGAGGCAATTCTAGTAGTGTTTTAAATCACCCATGTGATAAACCTTTTCTTTGGAAAGACCTCTCCCCCAATCATCCAAAATAATTTCATAATCTCTCTTGGTTTGAAAGTTTATAGATTTGAGGCCCACGTAATTCTTTCCTTGGCTAAGATAATATGCTAAAAAGAACTTTCCCAAACTATATTGAAAACAAAATTATGACATTCTACTAAGTATCAGTTTCAACAAATACTTTTTTAAAAATTTCAAGCAGATCAAATACTTCTACAAGTTAGGCATTGTGGGTCCCCTTCTATTTCATTAGGTGTATGGCTTCTGGAACTCCTAAGACCGCAGCACTTCCTTTGAAATAAGTATTCTTGAAGGCTCTAGAGACAGTGGGCTCAGAAAAGCGCCTCAGGCCTCTATACAGGAGACAGACCTGGTATAATTTGTACAACAGCCCACGGCATTACCAATTCACCCTGTAATTTTGCCAGATCTTATAAACTAAGCAGGCTTGGCCCTAGTCATTACAGAGATGGGAAGCCTCCAGGGTAAACCCAATTGCTGCAGAAACTATCATTAAAACTATTATTGAACATCTATCTGGTGCCAAAAATACATCCAACTTATTGTAGTCATTTGGATCTGCAGCAAGACGATGCTTCTGCACTTCACAAGAAACACATGAAGGCCTTGGCAATTTTAACCTAGGGAAATGCTGAAATGGAAAAGCACTTGTCCCAAAAGGCACTCAGGCAACATCACGCTGCCCCCACAACCCCAGACTGGATCACTGCCAGTTCCAGCATCCTTTATCATTCCCTCCTGTAGCCAAGACTCTGAAGGGAGGCCCAGATACAATTTGGTCATATTTAGACTATTTTATCACTAAAATACTTCTCAGTCTATCTCCTCTTTCTTCATGCCAAATACCATTGCCTTAGTTTAGTCCTTCACACCTTTGACCTGAACTAACACAAAAGCTTCCTAACTGATTCTCTTAACTCCTTTCTACCTTCCTCCCACACCTCAGATCCCCTTACATACATCCTCCACACTGCAGAGAGAGTGATCTGCCTGAAACACACATCCGATCATTTCACTCCCAAGTTTTGAATGGCTGTGAATTCACTCATTGATGCACTCATTTAATTCATTCAATAAACACCCAGTGCTTGGCACTAGGAATACAACAGTAAACAAAACAGACACATCTCTACCGTCTTGAAGCTTACATTCCTGTGGACAAGATGGGAAATAAGCAAACAGATATAAATATATATATATATATAAATATATAAATATATATATATATATATATATATATATATATATATATATATATATATATATGGAAAAAGAGAGAGTAAAAGATGGGGTGGGGGATTTTTAGAAAGAGTAGTCAGGACAGTCCTTCATCAACACATAGGGATGAGGGGAGAGAGTCAGCCATGAGGCAGGGAAAGGGAGTGTTGGACCAACTCAAATGAGGCCTTGCCTTTCAGGCCTTGGTAAGAATGTGGATTTTATTCTAGATGGGGAAGAAGCCATTGGGGTTTGAGTACTGGGGAATGACATTATCTAACTTGTGTTTTAGAGGAAACACTCTCACTCTGTGCATAGGGTAAACCATAGAGGGACAGAAGTGGGAGCAAGGAGACCTGATTACCAGACTAATTGTGGAGCCATTGATGTGATCCTGGTGGAGGTAGAAGTAGCTTAGATTAGCCTGGTGATGATGATCAGATTTGGGATATCTGGCCAAAAGGATTTGCTGAAGGACTGAATGTGGATGTGCAAGAAAGCAAGGAATGAAGGACTCAGCACTGCCCACAGAAAAAAACAACCCACATGTGGCATCCAAGTCCTTCCCAATCTGACTCCTCCTTCTCTCTTCAGCCTCATCTCACACCACTCCACACCTGAAACATTTCCTTCCAGTAATTCTGAATTCCAGGAGTTTCTTCACTCAGGCTTGCACACAGCAAAGGCTCAATGAATGCTGATCAGAACTGAACTCCTAAGAACTATCCATATCATCAGGTCAGCCAGATCACAGACCAGAGGAATGATATCATCAGAGAAAAATGGAAAGCAATGCTTTCCTGGATAAATCCCCTTGCACGAGGGGGTGTGCTGACCACATGAATCAGGAGCTCTTCCTATGGAGTCAAGTCCTGTAGTCAAAGTTAGCCAGCCCCAAAACATCTCTGGAGGTGACAAAGATAGGCATCAAAGATAAATGGCTTGGGGAAAAAGAGAAAAAGAACACACTCGCCCATTCTATTTTACAATGAGGGTAACAGGCATCTAGAAAAATGAAAAAACCAGGCGCTAGCTGCCTGTTACCTCCACGCGCAACCTCAACGGCAGCCCATGCTGCTTTTCACAGTCATGCCTGGTAGACAATGTTGAGAGAATCAGTCCGCAAGCTACAGGTACAAAGCAGTGTTCAGGGGATCTATAATCATGTTACATAAAGTGGGGTTTATATAAAGTTGACAGAATGTGCTGATGTGAGCCATTTACAGTTCAATTGTAACAGAGCAGTCTGGCAAGCAGCTAGCTTTATCTGGGATACGATGTACTTTGGATTCTGCTATCAAGTCAGATTTAGAATAACAATCTGAAGGGAATGCAATCCCCCTTTTAAAAATCCTGCCTTTTCTTTCTTGGATCTAGGAAATAAAACTAGGTGAGTCTACATAATCCCAGCAAACTTTTCATTACTTTATAAAGAAATAAAAATCATCTAAAAATTTTGTTCAAGGAAAACAAATTCAGTGCACAGAACTTGATTTAATACAGTGGACAAGAAATCTTTAAAAATATATATATATGTTTCCTTGAACTTAAGATATTTGCCAGATGAATTAATCTAATATTTTAATGTATTTCAGCATAGCTTTACTATGTACCATAAAACACAAAGCCAGTGAAAATTCTACATAGGGATTAAATTATAGAAAAGACACAGACTATCAGTCTATATGTGTTATGTGTGTGAAAAGATTGAGAACTGTTCTCCTTAAAAACACAGGACTATATTGTTATCTGATTTTACTTTCAGATGCATTTTCAAATATGTGTTTAAAATGTTTTCCCAATTTGTTTTAGATTCTTCTGGGTTTTTAAATCTTTTTACTATGCTGAATTTTTTTTATTTTTATAGATAAATAATTCAATATTTTCGTGTGTGTGTGTGCGTACGTGAGCACACGTGTGTGTGTGCATGTGTTGGGAAAAGGCTTTCCCCACCACAAGTGTATATTAGCCACCTTTGTTTGTTTGTTTATACTTCTATTATTTCAGTTTTTCACTAAATATTTAATCCATTTAGGATTAAAGTCAGTATTGGTCTCTTTTTTTTCCTGAATGAACAGTTTTCTTCACTATTCATTAAATAATTCACATTTTTTACACTGCCACCTTTATCATAGATTTTGTTCCTCTATTTACATTAGTCTCTTTGTGAACTCATTGTTGTATTTCATCCTTCTGTCTATTCCTGTGCTAGGAGAACCACATACCTTTACTTATCCCTCATCACTTTTCTTTTTCAGATTTTTATTGGCTATGATATCCACTGGCTATTATTATTTTTTCAATATTGCTGGATATATTTATGTATTTATTTATTATTTTTATTTTTATTTGTTGAGGTGGACTGAGTCTCCCTCTGTCACCCAGGATGGAGTGCAGTGGCACAATCTCATCTCACTGCAACCTCCACCTTCCGGATTCAAGCGATTCTCCTGTCTCAGTCTCCTGAGTAGCTGGGATTACAGGTGCAAGCCAGCACGCCCAGCTAAATTTTGTATTTTTAGTAGAGATGGGGTTTCGCCATGTTAGCCAGGCTGGTCTCGAACTCCCGACCTCAAGTGATCCACCCACCCAGGCCTTCTGAAGTGTTGGGATTATAGGCGTGAGCCACCACACCTGGCCTGTTGACTATATTTATGATCCATGATTATCTTTATAATTATTTTGTCAAATTCCCTCCAAAAAACGCACTTGTGGTTTTGATGAGGATTACCATTCACATGCAGATTTTGAGAACACTGTCATCTTTACATATAGTGTACATTTCTAGCCAAGAAAAGATATCTTTACACTATTGTTATCTTCTTTTATGCCTCTTTATTAGTCAATTTTCACACTGCTATGAAGAAATACCAGAGACTGGGTAATTTATAAAGAAAAAGACGTTTAATGGACTCATAGTTCCACATTGCAGGAGAGGCCTCACAAACGTGGCAGAAGGCAAAAGAGGAGCAAAGGTGTATCTTATGGTGGCAGGCAAGAGAGCATGTGCGGGGGAACTGCCCTTTATAAAACCATTAGATCTCATGAGACTTATTCACTATCATGATAACAGCACAGGAAAAACCTGCCTCCATGATCAGTTACCTCCCACTGGGTCCCTCCCACGACACGTGGGGATTAGGGGGGCTACAATTCAAGGTGAGATTTGGGTGGGGACACAGCAAAACCATATCAGCCCCTCGGTACATTTTATCCCTTTCTTCATAGGTTATACCCATTTCCTGTTACATTTATACCTCAGTATTTTGGGTGTTTGCAATTTAGAAATTATAATTTGTCATGTCCTATACATCAAGATTCAAAAAAAAGATCTTAGCCCCTTTCAGTCACACCCTGTTAATGAATCACTAATTTTAATTGCTATCTCATCCCAAAACAAATGTGTCTTTACTGAGTTTCTTCAGTCATAGCCTTTGGAATTTTATCATTTATAGCTGCTTGGTATCTTTTAAACACTCTCAATATTTTG
Source organism: Homo sapiens (assembly GCF_000001405.40). NCBI lineage: Eukaryota > Metazoa > Chordata > Mammalia > Primates > Hominidae > Homo > Homo sapiens. The sequence continues at coordinate 147,763,871 of NC_000002.12, forward strand.
ATAGATTCTCACATTGTGAATCCATCCTTGCCAAAGTAGAATTAAACAAAACAAAAGGAAAACAAAAGACACTATTCCTTCCAGACTCACTTGCAGCTACAGTACAAGCATCAGACCTAGACTGTACTAAGCAAATACAACCATAGAAGACTAAACTTGTGGAAGGTAGCAACATGACTAGTGGCCACATGGGGGAAACTGATCTGGCAAATGTGGTAGTATAGGCATCTCATTCTTCAGGAGATATCTGACTGCTGGTATGTGGCACCACACACAGTCAGTGAAGGGTGGCAGCTGGTTTCTTGGAGATAACAACCCTGCAGCATGGTGAGGCAGAGCTTCAGCCTGTATTGGTGGAGAATGTGTTGCATTCAAAAGGGGTTGATGGCCCTTGCAGAGATTCTGTGAGCTACCTGAGATACTTTAAGATGTCTCTCTTCAAACTATCCAGAGTGGACTCTGGGATTTGCGACTAAAAACCATGACCAATTCATAAATGAAAGATGGAAATTCAGGCAATAGGCACTAAGAAGAAAGAACTAGAAGCAAAAGTGGATGGATTTTGTCTATGCTTCTCTTTCTAGTCCTCTGGCATTTATTTAATTACGGCCTTTACCATGCATGCCTCTAATTAGTAAACAAGGCTTCTGTTTGAATTCAAGTGCTGGTAAACTTGGCTCCCTGGTGTGAAGAGGAAACATACTTTCATAACACAGGACTTCGATCCCTCAGTTGTTTAATTAACAATGCCTTTTGGAGAAAATGTGTGAATTTGCTCATTTTTTTTAATCCTTATTAATAGGTATGCTTAAACACACAAATTACGCATTCATATATAACCATTAATCCACAAATAAGACAATAAACATATATATTGCTAAACTGCATACTGGTCTCAGATACACCATTCACCACCAATAATTCTACATATTTTTACAGAGTTTCCAAGCCACGTTAAATAAGCTAGAAGAGACCAAGTTTTTAGAATCGAATGGGGACTTATTGCTTTGGTTATTGGTTTCCCATTCCTGAACACCAGCTGAAGATGAAAACAAAAAAAAGGCTCTCTTTAAGATTGCTAGGTATAACATATGGAAAAGTGAATCCCAATATATATTCCATTTTTTTGTCTAATTCCATTTTTCTCTCCCCATCTCATACACATAGTTGACCCCTTTCCCCTTTTTTGTCTCCTTTCCATTTCCTCAACTATATAGTGAAATCTCTGCTCTGTTCTTCCTTAGTCAAAGTTCAAAGACACCTAGGACTTCTATTTGTCTCAACCAAGACTAAGATCATCCCTACTGATTTCCAAAAATACACCTCATACTCTGTTTAAGTCATCTGCTAGTCTTTAGAAGAATAATGATTAACAGAGGATTAATTCCCAGAATGCTCACACCACCTCGAGTGCCATTTTATTTCTCAAGCTCCAGAATCTGTAACCTCCATTTTAATTTTTTTTAAATTATCTTCTCCAGAGCTTAACACAGTCCCTGATACATATGGGGTGCACAAGCAATATTTATTAAATGATGTTTTGGTATTGATCAGTTTCTTGAATATATGTGAAAATGCATTATAACTACATTTTAAATTTCCAATGCATTTGAGGTGGTCCATGGTTCAAATAGCAAAAATATTGATCATTAGTGCATATTTTTTCCTTCTGAAATTTATTTTTATAATTTACTTTAGAAGAGAGGATGAAAGTAAATTCATATTCACCCAAAAATTGCCTTATATGAATACATTTTTGAAAAGTTCATGGTTCTGCTCATATTAGCAACTACATGCACCAGACATAGCTTATTCAAATGAAGCAATCAACAGAGACCATTTCACAAAGAGTTGAACTGAAACATTTATCCAGTGAGAGTCAGTGGGATTATCTTTACTATTGTAATAATATATATTATTAATATATTTTGGAATGAGTACTAGACTCTATATTATATTATTATGTGGAAAATTTTCTATCAAATTGAAAAGTCTTTTCTTTTTTCTGATCTAATAGGCCATCCTATCTAAAGACTCTTTTCCTGTGAGGACATGGCTAAAATGAGTTTTTAAATACTTGTTTCTTTGGCTCTGAGGTTATCTGATTGTCCCTCTAAAACGTAAGCCACAACTCAGGTAGCTGCTATAAATTTTATTTTTTGTGCAATGATTCATTTTTCTCCAATTGACCTTCCTTTTTCAATAATAATTGCAATAAAAATTAATAGCAATTGGGAAATCAAGAAGGATTTTACCCAAGAAACTTGACAATGTAAGAAAAACTGAACACTTCAAAGGTAGTGGCCTTTATAAATATTTTCTTGACATCTTGTATTTATTGCTTCAGACTAATCATGTTGATTGTAATTACTGGCTTGCATATAAATACAATTAAGAAACATTTTCTTTTCATATAAGAAAAGATGGATACTTGTTCTCTAATAAAGCAAAAATGATGACAGAATGAAAAAGGAAAAGAAGGTAAGCTCTCCCAAACCTAAAACACTGTGATTGATTCTTCTTTTTAAAGAATACAAAAGGGTCCTTTCTCGGCCCTTTATACACTAGGAATTTATCTCCTCAGCTTCAATCATATTAAACAGGAATCTTATGGTTTAATGCCTATATATCACATTGAAAAGAGAGGACAAGGGGGGTGGAGCCAAGATGGCTGAATAGGCAGCTCCAGTCTACAGCTCCCAGCGTGAGCGATGCAGAAGATGGGTGATTTCTGCATTTCCAACTGAGGTACCAGGTTCATCTCACTGGGGAGTGTCAGAAAGTGGGTGCAGGACAGTGGGTGCAGCGCACCGAGTGTGAGCCAAAGAAGGGCGAGGCATCGCCTCACCTGGGAAGCGCAAGGGATCAGGGAATTCCCTTTCCTAGTCAAAGAAAGGGGTGACAGACGGCACCTGGAAAATCGGGTCACTCCCACCCTAATACTGCGCTTTTCCAATGGTCTTAGCAAACGGCACACCAGGAGATTATATCCCACGCCTGGCTCAGAGGGTCCTACACCCACAGAGCCTCACTCATTCCTAGCACAGCAGTCTGAGATCAAATTGCAAGGTGGCAGCGAGGCTGGGGGAGGGACGCCCACCGCTGCCGAGGCTTGAGTAGGTAAGCAAAGCCTCCGGGAAGCTCGAACTGGGTGGAGCCCACCGCAGCTCAAGGAGGCCTGCCTGCCTCTGTAGACTCCACCTCTGGGGGCAGGGCATAGCCAAATAAAAGGCAGCAGAAACCTCTGCAGACTTAAATATCCCTGTCTGACAGCTTTGAAGAGAGTAGTGGTTCTCCCAGCACGCAGCTGGAGATCTGAGAATGGAGAGACTGCCTCCTCAAGTGGGTCCCTGACCCCCAAGTAGCCTAACTGGGAGGCACCCCCGAGTAGGGGCAGACTGACACCCCTCATGGCCGGGTACTCCTCTGAGACAAAACTTCCAGAGGAAAAATCAGGCAGCAACATTTGCTGTTCACCAATATCCACTGCTCTGCAGCCTCTGCTGCTGATACGCAGGCACACAGGGTCTGGAGCGGACCTCCAGAAAACTCCAACAGACCTGCAGCTGAGGGTCCTGACTGTTAGAAGGAAAACTAACAAACAGAAAGGACATCCACACCAAAATCCCATCTGTATGTCACCATCATCAAAGACCAAAGGTAGATAAAACCACAAAGATGGGGAAAAAACAGAGCAGAAAAACTGGAAACTGTAAAAATCAGAGCACCTCTCCTCTTCCAAAGGAATGCAGCTCCTCACCAGCAACAGAACAAAGCTGGACGGAGAATGACATTGACGAGTTGAGAGAAGAAGGTTTCAGACGATCAAACTACTCCGAGCTAAAGGAAGAAGTTCGAACCCATGGCAAAGAAGTTAAAAACCTTGAAAAAAAATTAGATGAATGGCTAACTAGAATGACCAATGCAGAGAAGTCCTTAAAGGACCTGATGGAGCTGAAAACCAAGGCACGAGAACTACGTGATGAATGCACAAGCCTCAGTAGCCAATTCGATCCACTGGAAGAAAGGGTATCAGTGATGGAAGATCAAATGAATGAAATGAAGTGAGAAGAGAAGTTTAGAGAAAAAAGAATAAAAAGAAACGAACAAAGCCTCCAAGAAATATGGGACTATGTGAAAAGACCAAATCTACGTCTGATTGGTGTACTTGAAAGTGACGGGGAGAATGGAACCAAGTTGGAAAACACTCTGCAGGATATTACCCAGGAGAACTTCCCCAATCTAGCAAGGCAGGCCAACATTCAGATTCAGGAAATACAGAGAATGCCACAAAGATACTCCTCGAGAAGAGCAACTCCAAGACACATAATTGTCAGATTCACCAAAGTTGACATGAAGGAGAAACTGTTAAGGGCAGCCAGAGAGAAAGGTTGGCTTACCCACAAAGGGAAGCCCATCACACTAACAACTGATCTCTCAGCAGAAACTCTACAAGTCTGAAGAGAGAGGGGGCCGATATTCAACATTCTTAAAGAAAAGGATTTTCAACCCAGAATTTCATATCCAGCCAAACTAAGCTTCATAAGTGAAGGAGAAATAAAATACTTTACAGACAAGCAAATGCTGAGAGATTTTGTCACCACCAGGCCTGCCCTAAAAGAGCTCCTGAAGGAAGCACTAAACATGGAAAGGAACAACCGGTACCAGCCACTGCAAAAACATACCAAATTGTAAAGACCTTCGAGGCTAGGAAGAAACTGCATCAACTAACAAGCAAAATAACCAGCTAACATCATAATGACAGGATCAAATTCACACATAACAATATTAACTTTAAATGTAAATGGGCTAAAGGCTCCAATTAAAAGACACAGACTGGCAAATCGGATAAACAGTCAAGACCCATCAGTGTGCTGTATTCAGGAAACCCATCTCAAGTGCAGAGACACACATAGGCTCAAAATAAAGGGATGGAGGAAGATCTACCAAGCAAATGGAAAACAAGAAAAGGCAGGGGTTGCAATCCTAGTCTCAGATAAAACAGACTTTAAACCAACAAAGATCAAAAGAGACAAAGAAGGCCATTACATAATGGTAAAGGGATCAATTCAACAAGAAGAGCTAACTATCCTAAATATATATGCACCCAATACAGGAGCACCCAGATTCATAAAGCAAGTCCTTACAGACCTACAAAGAGACTTAGACTGCCACACAATAATAATGGGAGACTTTAACACCCCACTGTCAACATTAGACAGATCAACGAGACAGAAAGTTAACAAGGATATCCAGGAATTGAACTCAGCTCTGCACCAAGCGGACCTAATATACAACAGAATATACATTCTTTTCAACACCACACCACACCTATTCCAAAACTGACCACATACTTGGAAGTAAAGCACTCCTCAGCAAATGTAAAAGAACAGAAATTATAACAAACTGTCTCTCAGACCACAGTGCAATCAAACTAGAACTGGGGATTAAGAAACTCACTTAAAACCGCTCAACTACATGGAAACTGAACAGCCTGCTTCTGAATGACTACTGGGTACATAACGAAATGAAGGCAGAAATAAAGATGTTCTTTGAAATCAACGAGAACAGAGACACAACATACCAGAATCTCTGGGACACATTCAAAGCAGTGTGTAGAGGGAAATTTATAGCACTAAATGCCCACAAGAGAAAGCAGGAAAGATCTAAAATTGACACACTAACATCACAATTAAAAGAACTAGAGAAGCAAGAGCAAACACATTCAAAAGCTAGCAGAAGGCAAGAAATAACTAAGATCAGAGCAAAACTGAAGGAAATAGAGACACAAAAAACCCTTCAAAAAATCAATGAATCCAGGAGCTGGTTTTTGTGAAAAGATCAACAAAATTGATAGACTGCTAGCAAGACTAATAAAGAAGAAAAGAGAGAAGAATCAAATAGATGCAATAAAAAACGATAAAGGGGATATCACCACCGATCCCACAGAAATACAAACTACCATCAGAGAATACTATAAACACCTCTACACAAATAAACTAGAAAATCTAGAAGAAATGGATAAATTCCTTGACACATACACCCTCCCCAGACTAAACCAGGAAAAAGATGAATCTCTGAATAGACCAATAACAGGCTCTGAAATTGAGGCAATAATCAACAGCTTACCAACCAAAAAAACTCCAGGACCAGATGGATTCACAGCCAAATTCTACCAGAGGTACAAGGAGGAGCTGGTACCATTCCTTCTGAAACTATTCCAATCAATAGAAAAAGAGGGAATCCTCCCTAACTCATTTTATGAGGCCAGCATCATCCTGATACCAAAGCCTGGCAGAGACACAACAAAAAAGGAGAATTTTAGACCAATATCCCTGATGAACATTGATGCAAAAATCCTCAATAAAATACTGGCAAACCGAATCCAGCAGCACATCAAAAAGCTTATCCACCATGATCAAGTGGGCTTCATCCCTGGGATGCAAGGCTGGTTCAACATATGAAAATCAATAAACATAATCCAGCATATAAACAGAACCAAAGACAAAAACTATATAATTATCTCAATAGATGCAGAAAAGGCCTTTGACAAAATTCAAAAACCCTTCTTGCTAAAAACTCTCAATAAATTAGGTATTGATGGGATGTATATCAAAATAATAAGAGCTATCTATGACAAACCCACAGCCAATATCATACTAAATGGGCAAAAACTGGAAGCATTCCCTTTGAAAACTGGCACAAGACAGGGATGCCCTCTCTCACCACTCCTATTCAACATAGTGTTGGAAGTTCTGGCCAGGGCAATCAGGCAGGAGAAGGAAATAAAGGGTATTCAATTAGGAAAAGAGGAAGTCAAATTGTCCCTGTTGCAGATGACATGACTGTATATCTAGAAAACCCCATCGTCTCAACCCAAAATCTCCTTAAGCTGATAGGCAACTTCAGCAAGGTCTCAGGATACAAAATCAATGTACAAAAATCACAAGCATTCTTATACACTAATAACAGACAGATAGCCAAATCATGAGTGAACTCCCATTCACAATTGCTTCAAAGAGAATAAAATACCTAGGAATCCAACTTACAAGGGATGTGAAGGACCTCTTCAAGGAGAACTACAAACCACTGCTCAAGGAAATAAAAGAGGATACAGACAAATGGAAGAACATTCCATGCTCATGGGTAGGAAGAATCAATATCGTGAAAATGGCCATACTGCCCAAGGTAATTTATAGAGTCAATGCCATCCCCATCAAGCTGCCAATGACTTTCTTCACAGAATTGGAAAAAACTACTTTAAAGTTCATATGGAGCCAAAAAAGAGCCTGCATTGCCAAGTCAATCCTAACCCAAAAGAACAAAGCTGGAGGCATCACACTACCTGACTTCAAACTATACTACAAGGTTACAGTAACCAAAACAGCATGGTACTGGTATCAAAACAGAGATATAGACCAATGGAACAGAACAGAGCCCTCAGAAATAATGCCACATTTCTACAACCATCTGATCTTTGACAAACCTGAGAAAAACAAGCAATGGGGAAAGGATTCCCTATTTAATAAATGGTGCTGGGAAAACTGGCTAGCCATATGTAGAAAGCTGAAACTGGATCCCTTCCTTACACCTTATACAAAAATTAATTCAAGATGGATTAAAGACTTAAATATTAGACCTAAAACCACAAAAACCCTAGAAGAAAACCTAGGCAATACCATTCAGGACATAGGCATGGGCAAGGACTTCATGTCTAAAACACCAAAAGCAATGGCAACAGAAGCCAAAATTGACAAATGGGATCTAATTAAACTAAAGAGCTTCTGAACAGCAAAAGAAACTACCACCAGAGTGAACAGGCAACCTACAGAATGGGGGAAAATTTTTGCAATCTACTCATCTGACAAAGGGCTAATATCCAGAATCTACAATGAACTCAAACAAATTTACAAGAAAAAAACAAACAACCCCATCAAAAAGTGGGCAAAGGACATGAACAGACACTTCTCAGAAGAAGACATTTATGCAACCAAAAGACACATGAAAAAATGCTCATCATCACTGGCCATCAGAGAAATGCAAATCAAAACCACAATGAGATACCATCTCACACCAGTTAGAATGGCAATCATTAAGAAGTCAGGAAACAACAGGTGCTGGAGAGGATGTGGAGAAATAGGAACACTTTTACACTGTTGGTGGGACTGTAAACTAGTTCAACCATTGTGGAAGTCAGTGTGGCGATTCCTCAGGGATCTAGAACTAGAAATACCATTTGACCCAGCCATCCCATTACTGGGTATATACCCAAAGGATTATAAATCCTGCTGCTATAAAGACACATGCACATGTATGTTTATTGTGGCACTATTCACAATAGCAAAGACTTGGAACCAATCCAAATGTCCAACAATGATAGACTGGATTAAGAAAATGTGGCACATATACACCATGGAATACTATGCAGCCATAAAAAATGATGAGTTCATGTCCTTTGCAGGGACATGGATGAAGCTGGAAATCATCATTCTCAGCAACCTATTGCAAGGACAAAAAACCAAACACCACATGTTCTCACTCATAGGTTAGAAGTGAACAATGAGAACACATGGACACAGGAAGGGGAACATCACACACCAGGGCCTGTTGTGGGGTGGGGGGAGGGGGGAGGGATAGCATTAGGAGATATACCTAATGTTAAATGATGAGTTAATGGGTGCAGCACACCAACATGGCACATGTATACATATGTAACTAACCTGCACGTTATGCACATGTACCCTAAAACTTAAAGTATAATAAATTTTTTAAAAAAGGAAATGAAAAGAGGGGACAAAACTGTAAATAGGCATTGTAAAGTGATGAGTTTGCTGTTAGAGGTCTTTCAAAGCCATGTTGAAGAAAATCAAGTCCCTAATTGTTGGAAACAAACAACAAAAAAAGTGACAGTTACTAATAGTAAGTGGTCACTTACAAAGCAGAGGATTCTTTTACTCCTAAAGTCTCCACATTTTTGACTTCAGTCTGGGTGACCCATTTCTTTGCTATTTCAAATTTGTGTCAACCCCAGTGATCTCTTTTCCTTATGTGCCACACTGCAGATTAAGGTCACTGATTTCACACACAGCAATATGAAGGGGAAGAAAAGAAAAACAAAAACAAAACAGAACAAGAACCAATTTCAATCAGTAACTAGGAGGAAAAAGGTCAGTCTGTTAACAGTTATCTATTAAACAGCCACTATGTGTGGAGGCCTGGAATAAATTCTGTATAGGGAAACAGGAAACAGAAGATAGTAACCATACCTCTTGAAGAACTCAAAAGCTAACAGGGATAGAACAAATCTAACAGAGACAGAACAATTATAAAAATCATGACATACAAAAATCTAGGAAAAAATACATATGAACGGCCTGAGTTTTCCATGCAGGAAAAAAATCGAAGATCTTCACTACTTTGCTGAATTTAAGGGGTAGACCGTAGGACAAGAAACCTGGGTCAAACAAACACAACCCACATGTGTCAACCTTTCATCATGCAAGTGTCTGAACATTTCAAAGTTTATTCCTTACTTGTGAATTCAAAGGTTTAAAGAAATCTTTTAATATCAAAACTATATTCTAGATAACCATTAACTTAAATCTTCATTGGAAAGTGAATGTTTCCCACACCCTTCTGGTTTAATAAAAACAATTCAATTTTATTAGTATTTTTCATTGGATTCCTTGAGAAAAACAATTGGAAAAAAAAATTTCTCCATTTGTGAATCCAGGCCAAGCAAGCAGAAGACTATGTGAAAAAACAAAAGATGGCTCTGGCTACCCCGTGGAGCATCAGGGCTGTGTGACTGCTGCTTCTCCTCATAGGGTAGCTGTCCAAACAGAGGGAATTTTTGAAAAACGGTAGAAGATGAACACAGAACCGCAACCTGGGAAAATTCACCAAGCATGCCAAGCTTGCCAAGGAAGCTTTTCCTTCCTTCTTTTGTGTTGGCAATAAGCACCACAAAGACACACGTTCACATGCATTAAAATTTTTCAAGACAAGTTCCTATCTCAAAAATAGCAAGTTCCTAGTGGGAGCAGAATAAAAGGTATGTTGATTCTTTTGCAGATAGATGGTTACCGCTGTGAATGCCAGTGTTTTTGTTGGGCTTGGGTTTTTTTTTTTTTTTTTAAGTACTCAAAAAAAAAATGCCATCCATCTGTCCTTAATCTGGAAATGACTCAATGGTTTAAAAGCTTTTGTTTAAAGCTCACAGGATTGCTATACATTGACTTGACTGCCTAAATGTGAAACTCAGGACTTCAATTAGACACCCAAGTGAGAAAATTATAAGTAACAGAATTGTGTTTTTTAATAACCATTTATTGTCATCAGTATATTTAACTTAATATCTTATGTCTTCCTTGACATCTAGTTAAAATGTTAGTCTCATTTCACTGAAATTGATGAAATCTAAAATGTATAATTAATGACCTCCTTTGCAGAAGAGTAGAAAATTAACTTTATTTCTTTTAGAAAAGGTGTTATTCTCATGAATAACCAAATTTATCTAAGTTGTTGGAAGTAGTTTAGCTTAATAGTCTTATAAAAAAAGATCACAGAATTTTTATTCTTCCTTTTGCAAAAGAAATAAAAGCTGCATGTTCTGTAACACTAATTCTCAAAATCAGAAATTTTATACTGACTACTTTCATTCTTAGCCCCTCACCTCATTGCTTGCTATAACCCCCCTTTTCTATCCTTTTGTATTATTTCTGCATTTCTGTGCCCCCTACCCCACTCCCACCCTCACAAGACAGTAAACTCTTTGGAAACCAAGAAAGGAGTCTTATTCATTGTAAGTTTCAGAGCTTCCATCTCCTAGTCCAATAATGAGTATCTAGTAGGTGCTCATTAAATATTGGCTCACAAATATTTTAAAATCTAAATTAATAAACAGGCAAAATATTTTTATTTTGTTTCTATATACAAAAAGGGAAAATTGTTGACATCACAGCCCTGATGATGGTAAGACTTCCAATTAGGTAGGTGATATGTGAGCAATCCCTTGCCCAGCTCTACCTTCCCCATCTGGCCTGGAGCTGCCGTTAGAGTGAATCACATAACATTCCTTCCTATCCTTAAGGCTGTTCTTGATACCAGAATAAGTCACGTGCTCCAAGATTGAGAACCCATGTCAGGAGAGCTTAGCCATGATAGTGTCTTATTCCAAATACATATATGGCCTTGGCCTGGAGAAACCCCGCTAAACTTCCCCAGGTCCCAATCAGTAGGAGGAGTCCATTGGTTGCCTGAGCAGGAAAATGCAGAGTTCCTTAGAGAATGTGCATATGCTTTAGGAAGATGCTCTAATAGCCTAGGTCTGTTTGAAGAAGGAAAGATTTCAAGCTGCTGGAAGTTGGTGATCTAGAGCACTGCAAGAATGGAGGGGGTGAGTATCAAGACTCTGAAGAGTGTTCGTCTAAATGTTCTCGGAGTCAACTGTGTTTCTGCAATCAGCAGATCCAGTGCTCCATCACACATGGGTTAGAGTGTTTGGCTCTTCGCTGTCCATTCACACTCCACCCTGGTTAATATCAGGGATCCTCAGTAGGGAATGAAAAGGCTGGAACAGAAACCCTTTGGCTTCAACCTCCCCAGCTCCAAGAGTAACAGCATCTAGGAGAAGAATGATCAGGGTTAGCTTGAGGCTGTGGCCAAATGGGGCTCAAAGTCCCACTCCTGCACTAGATAGCTCAAAGCGTCAAGCCCAAGCATCAAGCATAGAACAGAAATAATAGTTCTAAGCACAAGGTTCACTGTGACAGGCAGAGGGCCAGTGGGTTCAGAGGCAGAGCTGTGATGACATGGCAAGAATGGAAGCCTTTAATGGAGTTCCACATACAAATCCACCAACAAACAGGAAACTGTTAGTGGCCATGCTGGTTTGTACTTATTGTTTTCTCAGTACCCAAGAGTATCAGAATAGGAGGAGAATCTTATAGGATCCCAGAACATGCCCTTCCAAGAGGTTCTTAATTTTTGAGTTGTTTGTTTCCCAAAATCAGAATCAGAGAATCACCAATTGGCTCTGGGAGGAAAAGAGCATTGATGTGGAAGATGACAAAAATGATATGAAGGCAACATTGGCGATGGCACCAGAAAAAGCCCCAGGGAAGTCAGCAAAAACGGAGACCCATCTATGGTTCCAGGAGTGGCATCCCTGACTGAGACCAATCAAGGGGAAGCCAGAATAACTCTAATACTTGTACTAATGTGTTGCCTTCACCAAGTAACATAAGTATTTGAGTTACACGAGGCATACGTAAGGCACAGTTTTCTAAAGGAAACAATCAGGATGCTACACTCTCCTGTAGTATATAAATTCTGTGCCTGTGAAGTAACTGCCACAGTTAGATTGGATGGCTACCACTTGCCTTTAAGAAGGAGCATTCATGTGAGAATGGGATTCACCTGGATGCTTCATGCACAGGCAGAGGGGAAGAGGGGGCCTTCATTTGTCATCTGCATAAACATTCTTCAGCTATTCATTGAATGACCAGTAGGCACAAGATTTTGTTTTAGGCACTGGTGATAGATAGTAGTGAGCAAAAAAGGTAAAATCTCTATCCTTATGGAGTTTTCTTTCTACTTGGAGAAATAGATCAATAAGTAAAACATATTTTTGAGATGGTAGGAAGCACTGTGTAGAAAATATATCAAGGAAGTTGGATAAGGAATGTTGGTGGGGGAGAGTTTACAATTGCAAATAAGATATCCAGACAAGGTCTCACTGAGAAGGTGATGTTCATTTGACAGGTGACATCCTCAAGCATTTTTTTTAACCATGAAAATGCATATTATCTTTAAATAAATATGGAGAGCTGTGTAGAAAAATCAAAGAAGAGGAAAGGATGTCACATAAGGGGTAAGGTGTCTGCTGAGAATTATATGTGAAAATGGGGGAGGACTTGCAGCAGGTCCAGCATTGAAGTATTTATAAGGAACTTGGGAGTTCCCTGGGGCCCCCACCTCCTCCTTCAGGGAAAGGGTGCTTTCTGTCCTCTGGGTGCAATCAGAGCCTGTTCTTACTGCTGGTCGTCTCCAGAAGTGGCTCCCTCCCTGCTGGCTTCTTTGTGGGATGCCCTTCAGGACCAGACCTCTACCTGGAGCTCAGAGTGTGACTGGAACCCAGGAGAGGATGGAATGGAATGGAATGGGCATCGTTTCCTTTTGCTGCACAAGCCTTTTAGCTTCCAAAAAAAATAACTCACTAGATTGCACAAAGGCAAATTTCTTTTCTAAAGGATTAGTGGAATTTCAGAAGGTAATAACATAGGCAGAACAAATATTAAAATTTCATCAATTCCAGCACTTTGGGAGGCTGAGGTGGGATCATGAGGTCAGGAGTTCAAGACCAGCCTGGCCAACACAGTGAAACCCTGTCTCTACAAATTAGCCGGGCATGGTGGCAGGTGCCTATAATCCCAGCTACTTGGGAGGCTGAGGCAGGAGAATCTCTTGAACCTGGGAGGCGGAGGTTGCAGTGAGCTGAGATCATACCACTGCACTTCAGCCTGGGTGACAGTGCAAGACTCTGTCTAAAAAAATAACAATAAAAATAAAAATATCAACTTGAACTTCTTCCTTGAGTGTCAAATGCACCTCACAGACACACATCAAGACTTAAACCTTCACAAAGGATGGTCCTGACTTTCCCTAGCTCCAAGTATGTTTCTCTTACTCTCTCTTTCTCTCTCTCTTTCACACACACACACACACTCCCACACACTCATACAACCAACCTTCCCTCCACCACCACCTCCTTACAGATGGCTATTGATGCTAAGCAAAAACAAAAAAACAAAACGATGTAAAACAATCCTCTCTGGTTTTTATAGGTTCCTAAATGTCACTCGGCTGGTACATACATAAATCCTTCAGTAGTGGGTCTCCTGGATACCTTCTTATTTTTTAGTACTATCTGATAGAACTATCTCTATATTTACCCTGTTTCCAACCTATAACCAGCCATTTAGTTCCAAAATCCTAGGGGTTCATCCTCCCATCCTTTCCTAAATTGACTGTATTTGAGAAATAGCTTCAAGCACAAAAGCAGCATAGAAATTCAATCACATGGAAAAAAATGATTTGAAATAGGAAAATTAACCCAAATTTTCCTCCATACCTAGAAAATATAGTTTGAAATTCATCTCTGAAAGTTCTTCTTTGAATGGACATCCAATTGAATAAAGAAAATAAGGTTACCAGTATATCATTTGTTGAACAGCTGTGAATACTCAGAAGACTGAAGGTTGAATGATTTGCTATTAAATATTTTTGACCTAACAAGCTATTATAGAGAAAAAAGGGCCAGTTTAAACATAACCCACACTGGACCATGCCTCAGCATGGGAAACACATGAGTGTGGCCACTCAGATTTGTCAAGGGTCATTTTAATATTTAGTAGAGGAAAATGTGACTATTCTTCTAACATTTAATTAGAGGAATGTCATCTTTGAGAGCTCAGGGCACTCACGTTTTCACCTCCATCTGATTTAACGAGCACTGTCCCTTTTTCTCCCTACAGATTATTTTCCTGTAAATTTTTCTGGGTAAGATTGCATTTTCATCTAACTAATATTCTCTTTATGCAAATAGATGTTATTTACATATATAAAACTGGTTAAGAAATCAAAATGACATTCAATTGATATTTACAGGCAATTTCATGTGCTTATTTTTCAGTTTCATAGGATTTAAATTTAGCATTTTCTGACTTGGAATCCATTGGGTTGATATACTTAAGAGTTAAGCTGATTTTCTTTCATTAAAGTTTAGTTTCTCTGGTTTAATCAGTGAACATATAATTGCTTAAAGTATCCACTTTATAAGATTTTTCAATAAATTATCAAGGATGTTTAAATCTAAAAACTGATGCTATTTCTGTACTTGTGGTCATAGATACACAGCACAATTTTTGCAGCTAGTCAGCCTGCTGTACTTTAATCTAATAAGCCAGCTGGAAAAATGGTTCTGTTTTCTCCCTGCGGATTCTTTTTCCTATATGAATATGACCATTTCATACTCTATCATTCTGTTTCAAAGGCCATCAAGCTTTACTTTGAATCATTTCTTGATTCATCAGGTATACTTAACATTGATTGAGAGCTTACTACATGCTAAGCACAGAGTAATAGATTAACTCATTTGCTCCTCATAACAACCCTAGGAGATATTTAGAAATAATGCTCACCTTCCATGTCTGCCATGTCTTCAATAAGTGCAAGAATGTATATGTAAAGCATGTAGCTTTGTGAGGTCTGCCATGTTCTTATTACATGTGGTGATATATGTGAAATGTGCAGCATAATACCTAGCATCATCTTCGCACTGTAAGCATTCAACTAGACTTAGCTCCTGTTGTACTTTCTGTATACATTCCCCTACTATAGCAAGTGGCTCACCACGTTCCAATTATGTATTTAGCTAAATGAACTTAAAGTGCTTAACAGCTAGCAAGTAGCATGGCAGGATTCTTACCCAGGCAGTTCTTGCATTGAGTCCTAGCTCTTAATCAGTACCATATAGTGCTAGATAAACAATGAAATATTAATAATTCCATCAAATCAACACATGTTCCCCCTTACTACACTATTATGAAACACAGGGGATAACCCTATTACCACAGTTACTGAGAATATCATCCATAGTCAAATCTACATGACAATACCATGGAGTAAATACTAAGGGAAAATATGAAATAAGTGCACACAGTAAAAGGTGTAGTCTGTAGTGAGCACTCTATAAAACCTAGTTAAGACTGGGTAGGACAAAAGCATGAGTCACCTAACTCTGAAGAAAAGGGAAAATGCAGAAACCCAGTCCTAAAATAAGAAAGGGATAAATGAAGCATTTCGTTCATGGCCTTCATCTTGGTAATGCTTTTAAGTCAATAAAGAAATTAGTGAAGTAATTGTAATTTGTAAAACTTTTAAAGATAGAATCATTCTTACCTGCCACCAGATTGCTCTTTCTGAAACACAAATCCAATATTCCTTTGCCGAAACCTTGTGGAGGCTGCTCACCAGCCACGAGGTTCCCCGTGATCTGGTCCTGTCTCTTGCAGCTGTCTCTCCTTTCCTCACCTTGCACTAACCACTTAATGTGGTGGAGAGAACTTGGGTTTTGAAGCTAGAAAGACACATTGAAATTCCTTACTCCATTACTGCAAACTGAGTGATCTAGAGGAGTTTACTTAACCTGTCTAACCCTACTGACCCTTAACCTCTTTGATTCCTTCTCTGTAAACTGCAGATAATTATACATACCTCTAGGGTAATATTATTAGGATTAAATGCAAAATACATACGTATATATACGTGTATATATGTGTGTGTGTGTGTGTGTGTGTGTATGGCATGTAACATAATGCTCAACATACCATAAGTATTGTAAGCATTCAATTAGCTTTAATCCCATTATATTTTATTTGCATATTTTTCTATTATAGCAAGGCTCACACTATATTCCAATGCTTTCAAGGTCCTTCATTTATTTAGGCCCCATTTTCCTCGTCTTCAAAATGGTCATAAGAATACACATTTACCTAGAAGAATTTTATGGGGATTAAGGAAAATAAGGAAAGTGAGCTCTGTTGTAATCACTCCATAAATGGTAACTGTGTTTTATCACTGTGCTGCTGTCAGCCCATGAGCTTCTCCAGGACAGGACTCTGTCTTCTTTTTATCCTGGTGTCTTACGTAGACAGCACCAAACAGATGCTATGCAGTAGGTGTTCAACAAAATCTCAAAGTGTGAACAAAGGACTTATATTCACTCTGCCCTGGAGGCAGGATTCCTTGGGATCCTCCAACAAAACTGGAATTTACAGCAGTTTCAAACCTCATATTCTTAGTCCTACTGGAAATTTCAGAATCCAACTTTATTAGTGAAGGTAAATATCTACAATTGCTATAGCAGACAACCCCCAAACCTCAATAGTTCAACCCGAAGAGTTTATTTCTTAACTCATAGTACAATCTATAGCATGTTGGATTCTCAATGGTTTGTGATGGGGATAAAATTACCAAAAGCTTCTAAGTTCCTGTAGAGTAGGATCAGTGTTGTATAGTATATTTATTTATATATGTGACTTTCTCAATCACCACTACCACCTTTGTCTATAGATATTAGCACAGTCTCTTGTCCTCTGTAAGAATATTTATTGTTTACAAATCAAACTACACAATAAAGTCAGGCCATTGTCCACATATTTTAGAAAAATATTCTCTTATTAAAGAGAAGAGAACTGGAATATAACTTTAGGCAGCTGAGCTCAGAGCCTGTACTTTTAACCACCTCCTCTACTGTAACCGTAATAAAGCATGGATTGAAGAAAAAGAATTTATTTTTGGTTTTCAACTACTGTCTTGGTCTTTACAAAAAACTGTGTAGAAAACCACCTGGGAAAATTGTCATTAGAAACAATATAAGCACAATTGTCTTTTATTATTTTAGCTTTTAAAAAGCTAAAGCTTTAGAATCACCTAAATTGACAGCACTTGAGTTATGAATTAGCTTGGGAGCTGCTTTCTTTGATGCCAAAAAGGCACTTGATTTGATGTGGCAAAATAATACAATCCAGTTTTAAGGGTAACATTTGAGCTGAACTCAAGATTTGCTTTTTAAAAAACAATCTGTAATCTTCAGTTACCAATGGCTGATTTCCAGGTTCTATTTTGAAAGTGATAATTAGGCCTGAAATTTTTTTTTTGCTAACTTTGTTATGTAAATCACACCTTTGGGGGGAAAATTGGACAAAATAACACAATAGCAATAAAAAAAATTTTACTCTGAATGATTTTTTTAAGTCTATTCAGTCAGATGAGATATATGCCAGGCTTTTTGTTACACTCCATGATTTCCAGAGCATTTAAAATTTCAGTCCTCAGTTTAAAAAAGAATGGTCCCTATTTTTGTTTAATCCAACCTCAGATATAATCTGGAGTTCCTTAGGTCTTGAGTCTTCATCCCTTGACTAGTTAGAGGCTCATTATAGAATCTCAAATGTTAAACATTTTTCTCTTTTATATCACATTCCCTTCCCCACCCCTCCAACTCCATTTGTAACAACTCTACTCTGGAAAGACTATAAATAAATCTCCTGTTCATAATTTTTCATTTCTATTTCTACACTTTTTTAAAAACTTTGAGATTAAATTATACAACTCCTGAAGACTTTTCTTATTCAAGGCTATGGCCAAGTAAAAACCCTATAGTCTGCACTGCACAACCAATGGGAGATGGCTTGTTGGGGACAGACAAGAAAAAGAAAGAATAACTGTATCAGTTCTTTTGCTGCAGTGCTGCATCACAGTGGGAGAGAAAATAAAAATGGTCCTACTGAATAGCACTGAACATCCTATTCTGACTCCTCAAGAAGCAGTGTCTGGTTTTGATGGGAAAGTCCAATTCCAATGACAGACTCAAGACATCTGCAGAACTAAATATATCTCTAAATACAGCACAGCTTGAAAAACAGACCAGATCTGGTTTCAAAACACTATGTTGTTAACCCTTTTCAAGATGTGGAATTCCTTGAAATGATTATCCTCATAGTTATAGAGAAAAAAAAGTCATAGAAAATCATTTGGATCCAAATATTTGCTTATATCTTATGATATGACATTCACATAGTGGCTGCATCCTACCTTAAATTACTTACTGTATGGTATCCAATGACTTACCAATTGCTAAAGCCAAGAACAAAAGCAAATGGATATAATTCTCCCACTCATATGTCGAGGTCAGAACAGAGAGGCTGACTCATCATAGAGTCGTTAGCAAGTCATAGTCCTTGCTACTATCAGTTTGTTCATTTGTTATTATGAGCTATTCAGTTGCTGTTTTGCTTTATTCATTCAGGGCAGAAACATAAGGTCTAGGCCAGAGAGAATGGAATCCTTAATGGCTCTTTTCTCTCTCATTTCCCCACTTGACAGGATGGCCAGTTGGCTTACGAAGCCAGTTGGATACAAATGCCTTTGTCATTTCGCATCCTCATGTCTTCCTGCATTAATCACTTGCCAGTGTGCTTTTGTCTCTTGCCTGTTGAGAGGGTAGTTTTGCTGAGCACATATGCTCTCTTTGTTGCTAGATATGACATTTATCACAGTGCAGCTTAAATTTAATGTGTGTTTTAACAACGCACCTACTTTAAGGATGTCACTTTCCCTTAATTCACATTCTTCCCGATGATGAAGATCCCACATGAATAAGGGGACCTTGCTTTTTCTAACTCCAGATCCTAACGTATCCAGGTTTCAATAAACATGCTGACTCAAAGAAATTTTCTCTAATATCATAATAATATTTCCCTTTTCTTTCCCTTGGCAGTATTATTTGGAGTACATATTTAATATCTTATTCTATTCTTTTTCAGTCTTGGCTTGCCTGTCAGTGATTCCCAAACCTGTTGTGTATTGGAAATGCTACTCCTGTGCATTCTGACTCAGTAGTCCCTGAAAAACCCAGGAATTTGTATTGTTTTTAAAGCTCCTACAATTTTTTCTTATTCTTATTCCCACCCACAAAAAGAGATTGCTTGCATTGCACAATGTGAAACAGACTAAGAGAAGCACAATGTCTATGTGGAGGTGGCCTGGGAATATACTTTTTTAAGTTCCATTAATGATTCTCAGGTAAACAGTCCCTGGGCCAGTAATTGAGAATTTTTGTCAGCAACTTATAGTAGAAATAGGGGATGTTAAAGTGGAGATAGGAATGCAGAGAAGACTAGCGTGGCTGGAGCATACAAGTAGGGACTAAAATGATAGGTTGGACTGAATGAATAAGGACCTCAAAATGCTAAGGAATGTGGATTTATTTTGTAGATAATGAAATGCTATCAAAGCTTCTTAGAAAATGGGTGTCGGCCGGGTGCAGTGGCTCACACCTGTAATCTCAGCACTTTGGGAGGCCGAGGCAGGCTGATCACCTGAGGTCAGGAGTTCGAGACCAGCCTGGCCAACATGGCGAAACCCCATCTCTACTAAAAATACAAAAAACCTAGCCAGGCGTGGTGGCGGGTACCTGTAATCCCAGCTACTCGGGAAGCTGAGGCAGGAGATTCGCTTGAACCCAGGAGGCAGAGGTAGCAGTGAGCCGAGATCACGCCATTGCACTCTAGCCTGGGCAACAAGAGCGAAACTCTGTCTCAAATAAAAAAAAAAAAAGTGTCATGATCCAGCCACAATTTTAAAAATATAATTTTGAAAGCATTAGAAGGATGGCATTGATGAGGGAAGAGACTAGAGTCAGGTGAAACCATTAATGGACTAGAGATGAAGAGGGTCTAATTAATGAAGTGTGGGAAAGAAGTAAATGTGAGATGGCAAAGGAAAACTGTCAGGTGTTAGTGTTAGAACGAAGATGGAGAGTCAGGTGGCAGGAGGGATTGAAAATGACCTCAAACCTCAAACTGGATCACAAGAAAGTTTGTAATCCCATTACTTTAAAAAGGAGGCACAGGTTTTGAGGGAAAGATGATGACTATAGCAATGTATTTCTTACTTACAAATGAGACTCAACTTAATTTTGGAAAGATACTCAGTAGCCAGTTGGAAGTTTAGGTTCAGAATTCAGGAGAGAGTTGGAAACTGGAGAGGTATGTTTAGAGTCATCTACATAGAGGTACTATGTACTTCTCAGGGAACTAGAATATTGAGAGTGTAAGGAGATTGGGATCAGTGGGGGCCTTACTTTTGAGTGTAGGCTAGCTGCATGTTCTTTCCTGAATCTATCAGCTCAGTGAAGAGACCATTGTGGGGAATGTGAGAAGGAATAAATCGAGGAGGAGTAAAAGATCATCTAGCAGCATCAATGGCTGTATCAGGCTTTGCCAACTGCTATCTCAAACAGCCTCCAAAAGTCAGTGGCTTAACACAATTACAGTGTATTTCTTATTTATGTCACAGTTCAATGAAGGTTGGTGGTGGCATGGGAGGAGTAAAGGATTAGAGTCAGTGATGGGCTTGACTCTGCTCTGTGTACTCATTCTGGGACCCCAGTTTCTTCACTCTTCAACAGTGGTGTTAAGGCCAACCTGGCATCATCCAACCAGAGGATGCGGAAAGGCATATTGCGGCAAATTTACAAGACATTTTAGAGGTCTGGCCCAGAAGAGGTGTATATTGCTCCATCCACATTCCACTGGTCAGAACTCAGTTAGATGGTTTCATTCAACTGCAAGAGATGCTAGGAAATATAATTTTGTTGCATGACCAGTGGAAAAGAAGACAGACTTGGTGAGCACATGGAATTGTCTCTGCCCTTCTGGTCTCCACATATCTGTTTCAGCCCCTCCTCCTATACACAGAACAAAATCACCCCCTCCCCACAAGAGACAATCCCAGTCCCCATTTAATCACCACATCCAGCCCGAAGACCAGGATCTCTAAGTCATGATCAGATGCTCCATCAAGTCCAGCTAAGAGTCCTCAAGTTCTTACAAACTATGAACTAAAAGAGACACAAGGTGTCTGCCCCTCAACACACACACACTCCCAAAATTCATTGGTAGAATGATCACAGAATGACCATCAAAAAACACCTCCCATTTGGGAAGAGAAAGCAGGCATGAGTTAAAGCAATTCTAAAATTGTGCTGGCCAGGCACTGTGAGGGCCTCCTATCCTGGAGTGGGGAAGGGGTGGGGGTAGGAGAAGATTTTAGTGTGCAGATCTGGATTCTACTCTTTGGGAGTTGACCATTTTATCCACAGCCACTATCCCTTATCCAACAGGTTCTCTAGCCATGTCTAAAATGGGCACTAGGGAGTATTTCCTTCTTGCAGACTGCATAGCTTTTATAGGCTGCTTCCGGTTAGAGCAACTTGAAAGTCTAAAAATTGTCTTATTGCTTGAACAGTCAAGTTTTTTTTTTAAAATCCAAGTTTGCAGTGTTTATGGTTCCCTCAAAAGCACAGAATGTCTCTGGTCTACTTTACTCATGTTCATTCCATTAGCTAAATAACCATCCCAAAGTTATTTCTTAGATGAAATTCTCAAATGTGTTTTGTTTCTTTTTCTTTCTCACCCTGAGCCTTGCTGTCTCAATTTAATGACAGTTACCTCAAAGCCATCAAGCTTCATTGTAAAGCCACATCCTTAACCTGATCTTTGCCAAATGCTTGGCTCTTAATTGGTTTGGGGACTTTTTTCAATCTTATTTCCTACTGATTGGGGCTGAGAAATGGTCACCTTTGCCAACCCATCAAGGCCCCAAATTTCTAGACTCTTACTTTCATTTCTGCTTGCTAAGTGGCCAATTCTTTCCTGATCTGATCTTTTAAAAATATTTTTCAGTATGCAGCCAACAGGAGTCAATACACATGGATACTTTCTTTCCATCCACTTCCTCTATAGTTATTCCCTCAATAGGGATGTCATCTGCTTCCCGAAATATAAGAGGTGATACTTTTACCAAACCATTTACTACTGTGTAACATGGAGTGCTATCTTTTAGCTTCTAATATCAGTTTACTATCTGCTCCCTCTCCTGAAAACTGCTAAGCCAATGCGACATATTTTCCCACAAAACATGCTATGAAAAACCCATTTTCTTGTCTTTGCTCACACTTTTCTTGCCTTTGCTCACACTTTTCTTGCCTTTGCTCACACTTTTCTTGCCTTTTGGAATATCAACCCCATCCTTCTCTGCTTATCAGGCTAAGTCCTACGAATTCCTCAAGTCTCTTCTATGTCCTCCTCTGTGGAGTTTTCTAGGTATTGCAGCCCACCTCAATTCTCAATTACTAGAACTCACTATTTTATAATATTATTTTAGCATACTATCCTTAGATACCTTCTATATAGCTTTTTTCTGTCCCCAATAGACTTAGAATAAAATGTATTTTTATATTTCTAAACTTCTCAGGCTTTCAAAATTCATTTGTTGGCTAGAATATGTTCGCATGAATTACCTGTTCATTTGCTTCTTTCAAAGCCATAAATTGGCAAATCTTTTTTCAGTGTGGTGTCTAGATATGGTCTTCCCTGGTCAAAAGTGTGAAACAGATAATGCTGTGTAGTCTTTCAAAGCTTTTTCCTGCATATTTTTTCCTTTTAAAAAAAATGTACTCTATACCACCTTCCTACCACTGCCAGGGTATCAAGGGCTGCCTTAATTGTGTAGTTCTATCTAGGATAGCTCCTATGACCATAGATACTCTTCAGTTTTCTCATCTCTCCCCTAAAAAATATACTCATCCTCTCTTCCACCTCCAGGTGTCCAAACCTAATCTTATAAACAATTTTAAAGTAAGGTATAGATGCTCAAGATGGCAGCAGTTTCATGACATTCAGGATTGTTTGTGCAAATTGTAGGCAGTGAGGTAACACCGGAAGTGGGAGGGCAATGCGTAAAGAACTTTGCATGTCCCTCAAATAACAAAACCACATGGGCTAAACTCAGTGGTCCAAGGGTATCCAGTAAAGTATCATCATTGTAAGGGGGAGAAAATTCTCCTTAAAATCGATTTGAGTAGTAAAACATCATAAAATGAGTAATCTATAGAAATAATTTTAGTATTGAGGATTTGTATTCCTATTGTAGCTATTGTGGCTGTCTATATATAAGTCTATGGTTATAAGAGAATTGCATAGAAGCTGAGCAGCTACTTCATATAAAAGTTTATTTTAAAAAATAATCATTTTCTGACTCATAAACATCTAGTAAGAGAGATATAATAACAAGCAGTGCTTTGGAGAACAACTTTCTGTTTAACAGTAAATTCATCTAATAGAAAAATAATGACTAGATATAAGCATGAAAATATCTACCTCTTCTGCAAGACAGCTGGATGGCAGGGCCACAGATATAATGACCCAGGCCCTCCAGACATAGTCCAGCCAGGCACTGACCACTTCTGAGAGACAGCTGGAGATGGGCAGGCTCTACTTTTAGATTATGAGCCACATATACCTGGAGACGACCACGTCTCATTGATTCTCCTAGAATACTCTTGCATAGTACCATGTGCATTTTTAACACTCAACTTTCCTTCAGTGCTGATAACAAAAAGCTTTTCATCTTTGCAAAGAAGAGAAACCTTCACCTACACTCAAATGTTCCCATACCATTTAAGGCCCAGCAGCTGAGACGTCTTCCCCCACTCCATCATAAAATATTTTATTATGTCAATTATGGGAAACCCAATTACTCAAATAATTCATAGTGAGCTGGAGCAAAGTACCTGGAGAACCATGGGGAATAGTCATAAAACTGGCAATGGATGTGAGACCATGGTATAAACGTCTTTCTAATTTCAATGATTCCTGATTCCTAAAAATAAAGGAAATTAATCATTCATTCCTCCTTTTTAACTACAAACCTAGATATAAATGGATTTAAATAGAGGAGTTAGGTTGAGCATCATAATCACCAGTTTTCATTATGGATGAGGTCAATTCAAAGAAAGAAGAAAAAGACAAAAACTAGCAACATTCTCCTGTTTCTCTCTGTATATATATACAGTCCTCTATGTATCTCTAGAGACAGAAATATAAACATACACACATACAGTTATCCCTGGTATCCCCGGGGAATTGGTTTCAAGACCCACAAAGATATCTAAACCCTCTGATGCTTAAATTCTTTACATAAAATGGTATAGTATTTTCATGTAACCTACGTATATCCTCCCATATGCTTATAGATTACCTATAATACATACCACAATGTAAATGCTACATAAGTATTATAATAGTTGCTATACTGTATTTTTGTTATTTTTTGTTTTATTATTTTTATTCTTTTTCAAAAATATTTTGATCCTCAGTTAATTGCAGAAACTGCCAATACTAAGGGCCGATTCTGTGTGTGTGTGTGTGTGTGTGTGTGTGTGTGTGTTCATTAGCAAATCAAGCTTCACATATTTTTATTTAATTTTTGAATAAAAGTAATTTAAGGATCTTTGTTATATAACATCAAAATAAAAGACAGAGTTAATCTCTTCTTTCTTTCTTTCTAAAATAGTCCTACCCATTAATAGGTATTTTAAAGCACACTGAAGGGTAAATTGTTACTTATAAAACAAAGGCATACTGATTACCTGTAATGTTTCTTAGCTATATTTTTCTTTACCACACAAAACTACTCTTTTGATTTTATTATTCTTTTTGTTTTCCATTTCAACAATTTTGCCACCAACTGAATTAATATTAACACGTTTGTGAATTTTACAAACAAAACCCTGTAGAATTAAAAGTCTGCCTAATAGCCTTTTTGTTGTCAGAAATTCTTCTTTTCCACATCTTTGCTGTTACCAAAAAAAAAGCCAATCCCAAATTTTATTATAAATGACAAACATTTTAAAAAGAAAAATTGGTTTCAGTGATCCTTTTTCAATTCATGGCAAAATAATTTCTCTGATACACCAGTGACAATGCCTTTGCACCATTCCTCATGAACACTTTTCTCTGTCCTATAATATGTAACCTCTCTGGCTTCAAATAACTAAAGGCAGATGCAAAGTTGCAAAGAAGCACACCTTTATGCCTTTCCAGAAAGAAAGAATGAAGTTCTGTGGCTACATGGCTTCATCTCTGAATGAGTGATTAGTCAGCTTTCCCTTCCTTGTGTTCTCTCCTCTGCCCTGGAATGTGCACCCACAAATGTACGTGGTGGAAACAGGTAGGGTGGCTGTCACAGGTTCAAACTCCCCTACTCGTGGCTGAGTCAATGGGATCTGTTTATGGCCTCAAACATGTTTGTGATGACAAAAGAAAGGAGAAAATACAAAGAAGGGACTTCTCTACCCCTGGCTATTTGAACACTTAAAGATGACCTGCACCCACCTCCAACAAGTTACTGTTCCTGCAGAGCCCTGTTCAAATTAGAGCATTCATCTCCAAAGACTGACTTTTCTAATGGTCCAAATAGACAACCTACATTCTCACAAGAAAAACACATTCTCATTTATTTAAAAAACGTCTTACGTGCTTGGAACCAAAACACTCTTCTAAACAATATCATGTGGTGAAAAGTGAAAGTAATAAAAGATGTTTTAGTCACTAGGTTTTGTTGTGTTAAATAAATGCAGCATGAAGTTTACATATTTATGTGGGTGTAATGATGTAATCCAACCTCTGAAAACTCATACATTAACAAATTGATGTTGGGTTATATGCATTCCTGAACAGTGACATTAACAATGCATTTATATAAAACTATAAAAACTGTTGACGAAAAAAAATTGCCACTGTTAAGAGAAGAAAAATAAAGACAAAGGCCAGCCATTCATATGAAGTATCTTGATCAATTCTCTGTTAGCTTAAAATTGAATTAGCTCAATTTTCTTCCAGTTTAACAGTCCAGCAAATTCTCCTGAAGTCCTCCTAAACCATCCTGAATCTTCTTTTCCTATTCTTATTTCAATTTTACTCTAAAATTTCCTGTTTTTTATCATGCTATATTGTACATAAGCTACCGTAATTTTTTTTTTGAACAATGTGAAAAAGATACCCATTCATATCTCCTTTCCCCAGTCCCAAGAACAAGATGGTACCTACTCTGCCTTCTTCAGAGAGTCTGTGTCCAAAGCTCACCTCAGAACTGCCTTGGGAGAATTACTCAGCCTTCATAGCAGCTCCACTCTTAGCTTCATGTGGTAGAGAAGTTTTGCAGGGATGTGTGTGTGTGAGCATTAAAAATCATCATGTAGAGAGACTGGCTTGAAGAACATACAGGATCAGATACTGTATGTTAGAGCAGCTACAATTAGACCTAGCTCAATTCTGCCCCTTCTTCCAGGTGACTTCAACAAATTGATTGCTCCTCCATGCCCTTTCCCCAATAACGCTAAAGTCCTAAGTGGCAGGATTATGGCCCCAACACTCCTTGCGTTCCTCTTGCATTTCTTATGACCTCATCCAATCCTGTATACACAATGCAAATATTTGTTGAGCACTTAACCATATGCCCAGCAATATTCTACTACCCACTTAACATATATGAGTATTACTGCATTTAATTACATCAACAACACTATGAAGTAGGGATTAATTTTATCAACATTTTTTGAATGATAGAACCAAGGCACAAAGATGTTCAGTAACTTGCCAAAGTACAAATCCACTTTATAAGTAGCAAAGTCAGAACTCAAAGCCAGAGTCTGCACTTTTTTTTTTTTTTTTTTTTGAAACAGAGTCTTGCTCTATCACCCAGGCTGGAGTGCAACCGCACAGTCTCAGCTCACTGCAACCTCCGCCTCTCAGGTTTAAGCAATTCTCCTGCCTCAGCCTCCCAAGTAGCTGGGATTACAGGCGTGTGCCACCACACCCGGCTACTTTTTGTATTTTTAGTAGAGGCAGGGTTTTATCATGTTGGCCAGGCTGGCCTCGAACCCCTGACCTCAGGCAATCAGCCCGCCTCGGCCTTCCAAAGCGCTGGGATTACAGGCATGAGCCACCGTGCCCTGACAAGTCTGCACTCTTGACCACTAAGCAACCCTTCTTCCTACTAAGCACACTAAAGATGTTTCATTTTTGTTTGCTTGCTTAATCAATTTTTGACATGAAAATGGGTGATTTCAGCAAGCAAGATCATGAAAATGGGAGAAAGCAGTTGAAAGGTCAATTGTTCAAATAAAAAGGTGGTATGGTTTGGTTCCGTGTCCCCATCCAAATCTCATCTTGAATTGTAATCCTCACATGTCAAGGGAGGGATCTGGTAGAAGGTGATTGGCTCATGGGGGTGGTTTCCCCATGCTGTTCTCATGACGTGAGTTCTCACAAGAACTGATGGTTTAAAAGTGTTTGGCAGCTCTGCCCTCCCCCTTCCTGCTGCCTTGAGAAGAGGGTGCCTGCTTCCCCTGTGCCTTCTGCCATGATTGCAAGTTTCCAGAGGCCTCCCCAGCCAGGCAGAACTGTGAGTCAATTAAACTTCTTTTGATTATAAATTACCCAGTCTCAGGTAGTATCTTTATAGCAGTGTGAAAATGGACTAATGAAAAAGGAGAGTATCCTTGATAATTCAGAAGTTCTACCTTATATCATGTGTTCAGCCACTGTGAATGGCACCTCTTGAACCAGACTGTGTTGTGGACACTGCCATCGCCTAAATGACAACAGAAACTTCCTACCTGGCCCTCCTTGTCTCCAATCTCTCCCACTTTCAAACCATGTTCTCTGTTTTTCAAATTGATGATATTAAGGGTTCTAATGTAGATTGGATCAAAATAATTTAGTAAAATTATTTGTCTCTCTTATTTGTCTCAAAATTAAAGCTCACTGAGATAGGGACTATATCTTATGATTTTTATGTTTGCTATATTGTCTTTCAAGTAGTAGACCCCCAATAAATGTTGAAATTAGTTTAATGAGAACCTTGTCAGGTTTGGCTACTTTTCAGGGGGCTGAGTAGGGTGACCTTGATTGACAAAATATTCTGGAAGGAGGACCAAGTGTAGATATATGCAAAATTATACCTATATACAGTTTCTTCCTCCAATTCTGTATTGTTAGGAACGTGTTCAGCTTCAAGAAATAGAAAGACTAGCTACATGTTTCAAATGAATAGAGTTTCTTTTTCTTACATAGCAAGATTAAGGGTAGCAGTTGCCAGGATTAGCTCAGCTGCTCAAGTATGCCTCGGGACCCAGGCGCTTTCTATTCTGCCCTTTCACCATACTCAATTTATTGGCTTTACCTCTGCATGATTTTTATCCTATGTTTGAATGGTGGATCTGAACATCACATCCACAGTCAGGGCAGGAAGAAAGGAAAGGGACAACACCAGCCATTCCTTTTATCAGGAAAGCAGTACTTTAC